>NC_000014.9:105974717-106277717 GCF_000001405.40 Homo sapiens
GACAAGCTCACCTGTCCCCATGTGGACCCTTCCCTGAGACAAGCACACCTGTCTCCATGTGGAACCTTCCTTCAGACAAGCACACCTGTCCCCACATGGACCCTTCCCTGAGACAAGCACGCCTGTCCCCATGTAGACCCTTCCTTCAGAGGAGCTCTCCTGTGCTCAGACACCACCAGGGGGGCTCAGACACTAATAGGGTGGCTCAGACACTAACTGGGGGCTCAGACACCATCAGGGGTCCTCAGACACTAATAGGGTGGCTCAGACACTAAGAAGGGGACTCAGACACCACCAGGGGGCTCAGACACTAGCAGGGGCACTCGGACACCACCAGGGAGGATCAGACATAAGGCGGGGGGGCTCAGAAACCACCAGAGGGGCTCAGACACCACCAGAGGGCGCCCAGCAACCAAGGGATGCTCAGAACCTACGGAGGGGCACTCAGGACCTACAGGGGTCGCTCAGGACCTGGCTCAGGAGCAGATGCAAAGTGAAGCTGAGGTTTCCGTTTTCTCTTTGGGGATTCCTTGTCCTGCCCTGCAAAAGCCTTGCTCAGCAGCTATTATTGTTTCTTCCCTGGAATTCCCTAGTTCCTCTCATCTGAAAAGGACATAGAGCAGAAATCCCATTTAACTTTTCACACTTCATTTTCAGTCTCCTTCTAGCGATATTTCAGTAAAATATTAATAAGAAATAATGAAGCCACAGTCCAAATGTTAGCATCATGCAAAGATTTGTGTGTCTTCTCCACTCTGTCAGTTATGCCTTAGGAAACTCTTCTCTCAATCCACTGCTCAGTGTACACTATGATGTTGTGTTTTGTTCTTTGCTTTCATCTGCTTTGCAGGGAAATGAAGCACCATTTATTGGGACGTGTCCTCCATTTCTGATGGACTCCCCGTGGTCTCCACCTCAGACGGTTTTGCCACCATCTTTAATCCGTTAATGCCTTCAATCGACCTCACCATCCATGTAATGAAGCAATGAATGCCTTTACCTCATCTACTTGTGTCTCCATGAGTCAGTTCACTTCTCTCCATTCTCACAAAGGACAGCCAACCTCAGGCCACTGCTTCAGAGCCTCCTGCAGCCTTGGGTGGTCAACCTATTAAAAAGCCCCTGCTGTTTAGAAAGGATGTGTATTGGAAACTTAATCCCAAATTCCATAGTGTCCAGAGGTGGGAATGTTAAGAAATGATTAGGTCATGAGGGCTCTGCCCTCATGAAGCAATGAATGCCATTATCGTCAGAGTAGGTTACTCATTGTGGTAGCAGATTAGTTACTACAGGCCTGGGTTCCTCATTAAAAAATGAGTTTAAACCCCTTTCCATCCTTCGCACCTGCTCTCCTGCCTTCCACATGGACATCACAGCAAGAAGGCTCTTGCCAGATGCTAACACCTTGATATTGACTTCCCAGCCTCTAGAGCTGCGAGAAAATAAATTCCTTTTCCTTATACTTTAGCCAGTGTGTGGTATTCACTCATTGCACCACAAAGTGGACTAAGACGAAAAATCAGTATCAAGAGGTGGGGCTGTTGCGATAACAAATACCCCAAAATGTAGAAGTGGATGTAGTAATGCACAAAGACTGGAATAATTTGGAGGATCAGACTATAAAAAGTCTGGATTGCCCTGAATAGAACACTAGAGGTGATTCTTTTGAGGACTCAGAAGAAGAGAGCTGTGAGGAAATTCTGAAACTTCTTAGAGATTATTTAGGTGATGACCATTAGATGTCAGTAGAAATGTGGACAATAAAGGCCGTTCTGATGAGGTCTCAGGAGAAAAAGAAGAATAGCTCATCGGAAAATGGAGCAAAGGCCATCCTTGCCATAAAGTGGCAAAGAACGTGGCTGAATTGTGTTCATCCCTAGGTCCTTCTGTAAGGTGGAAGTTCAGAGCCATGAACGAGGTTATATGGTGGGAGAAATTTGAAGGAAATCTATGGCCTCACTTCTAGCAGGCACTTTAGGACTCTGTTCCCGGTGTCCAGGCACAGCACTCCTTGGCTGCCCATGCTGTGGCTCAGGAGGACCTAGGTGTGGCTCAAGCCATCACTTTAATGGTACAAGTCATCAACTTCCATGGCATCCATGTGTTGTTAATTCTGCAGGTGTGCAGAATACAAGAACCACGAGGGCATGGCTTTCTCCACCTAGATTTCAAAGAATGCTGTGGACGGCCTAAGGTCTCGGGCAGCCTAAGGACAGCCTAAGGTCTCGGGCAGTGACTTGTTGCAGAGACAGAGTCACCACACTGGGCCCTTAGCACAATGCCAAGCAGAAATGTGGGTTTGGAGGTACCACAAAGAGTTTCCAGTCAGCCTAGGAGAGCTAGAGGCCTGAGAGTCCCACCTGTGAGAGCGGCTGAGTGGACTGAACCCAGAAAATATATAGAGGCAAGACTGCCGGAGGCCTTGGGGGCCCATCCCCCTCCCCAGTGTGCACAAGATGCCGTTAAAGAGGATGATTTTCCAGCTATAAGACTTAATGTTTTTTTCCCTGTTGGGTTTTGAACTAGGCACCGCTTTCTCCTTGCCTCTCTCTGAGCTTTGGAATGGGAATTTCTATCCCATACCTGCCCCATTGTTCACTGTATTTGAAAGTAGATAACTTGTTTTGACTTTATAGGCTCGCAGATGGAAACAATTTATATCAGGCTAAATTGTGCCTCGAGTCACACTCATATCTGATTTAGATGAGACTTTGGACTTCAGACTTTTGCACTGATGCTGGATAAGACTTTGGAGACAATTGGGATGGAATGAATGTAATTTGCATTGTGATAAGGACATAAATTTTGATATTAGGAATGGAATGCTATGGTTTAAATGTGTCTCCCAAAGTTTAGGATCTGGAAATAATCTTTAATGCAACAGTGTTGAGAGGTGGGACCTTTATTATGTGATCAAGTCATGAAGGCTCTGTCCTCATGAATGGATTACTGTCACTATCAATGGAGTGGGTTAGTTATTATAGGAGTGAATTTCTAATAAAAGATGGTCTCCTTTCTCTCGTGGACAAATGGTCTCTTGCTCACCCACCTCTGCTGTGAGATGAGGCAGTGAGAAGTCCCTTGTGAGATGCCAGTGTCTTGATATTAGACTTCTCTGACTCAAGCACCATAAAGCATAAATTCCTTTTCTTTAGAAATTGCCCAGTCTCTGGTATTCGGTTATAGTAACAAAAAGACAGACTGAGACTAAGCCATTGTAACATGTGTGAGGTGATATCTTATCATGGTTTTAATTTGCATTTCCCTGATGATTAGTGATGTTGAGCATTTGACTCTTTATGTTGAGTGAAATAAGCCAGGTATAAAAAATTACTCCATGATCTTGCTTACACATGCAATCTAAAAATGTTGAACTCAGAGAAGTAGAGAGTAGAATGGTGCCTACCAGGGGCTGGCGTCAGGGGCATGTGAAAGCTGAGACGTTGGTGAAAGGGTACAGAGTTTTGGTTAGATAGAAGGAATTCGTTTGAAGATCTATTGCACAGCATGGTGACTTCCATGATACTAATGTACTATATACTTGAAAACTGATAAGAGAGTAGATTTTACACGTTTACACCATAAAAAATAAGTATGTGAGGTGATGGACATGTTTATTTACTTGATTTAATAATTTCACAATGCCCGCATACGTCAAAACATCACGTCATATCCCCATAATATATGAAATAGAATATGTTTTTCTAGTAAGTGTGATGCCTCTGTTTCTTTTTCTTTCTTTTTTTTTTTGGGAACAAAACAATAAACACCTTTATTACATGGGTGAAGACAAAACAAGGATTTATTTGCCTTTCTGGGCCTTGATTTTCCTAAGATAGAACTCCAACTCTTTGCCCTCTAGCACATAGCCATCTGCTCGGCCACACTGTCCCGGCCTTGAAGCCATGCACGCAAGAAGCTTGCCCTGCTGGAACTGCTCCCCCAGGAGACTGCTCATTTTGGCATTCTTCTTCCTTTCATCATATTTCTTCTGAATTTTTTTAGATCGTTTTTTGTTTAAAATCTCTTCTTCCTCAGGAGTCAGCTTGGCTCCCTTCTTGCGGCCCAGGGGCAGTGCACAGTGGGACTCGTACCACTGTCGGTAGGGCGTGCTGTCGATGAGCACGATGCAATTCTTCACCACGGTCTTGGTACGAACCAGCTCGTTATTGGATGCATTGTAGACAACATCGATGACCCTTGTTTCACCAGCGCAGCATTCTGAGCCCCAGGAGAAATTCCCCACGTCCAGCCTCGGGGCACAGTATTTCTTGTTACCTCCTCGCACACGGACTGTGTGGATGCGGCACGGGTCAGTCTTGCTGTTGGCAGCTGGGCGCCCCAACTCATACTTCCGCTTCTTGTGGCAGGGCCATCTCTTGCCCCCAGCTTTGCGGCCCTTGTGCCAGTTGTCCCGAGAGGTGCCCATCGCTCGGCGCTGGCTGGAAAGAGGGCCTCTGTTTCTTTAACAATACTTTCTGGAGATTGTTTTTCCCTTGAGCAATGTTTCCTCTCTGCTGTATTTACACAGTTTTCCTTTCCCATGGGTTGATTTAAGACAGTGACAATTTATTTATTCTATGTCTGGTAATTTCACTGAGAAACTTAATGAATAGCCACTTGAAACCATCTGGTGCCACTGAGAAACCATCTGAAGGACACAGATTTTCTGAGTGTAGGCCACAACCATATTTTAACACTTTTTAAATTCAAAATCGGGGTTTAAATTTTGATATTTTACTATGGCTTCTTTGATTCCCTCCCAAGATCTAACCATTGAGCGTGTGAAAAGGGCTGGGACCCAGGTTACGGCTGTGCTTGGCATGATGACGTCCTGCAGAAATTCCTTTGGCTTTCTACATGGAGCTCAGCCTCCGTATCAGCCAGCTCACCAGGAGGTCAGAGTACTTTTCAAAGATCCTCATTGTGTTGTTTCATTGTGAGAGGTTTCCAGCCCTCGTGAGACACCCCTTGGTTTTACAGTCATCACGAACTTGTTTACGATTCCGAAAACATACCTGCCATCTGTCCATATGTTTGTTCTGCGGCTTTTGATTTGCTAAAATGCTGTAGTAACTGCAATAAGTTCTACCATCTGGATTAATTTTCACCTCAGATGGAAGAGTATATTTTAAGATAAAGATAAAATAGTAATAGTATATCCTCCTTGGTAGTATCCAGTTCTATACTTTGAGCTATGGTCTGTCAATAAATAATGTTATGCCAGGGTCCTCAATGGAGTGCCTGAACATCTAAGGAAGGTACAGAAGTTTCCCTAACTAAGATAGAAACCATGGTGAGCACAAGTTTGCTATGCATCCATGTCTCCGGTCTGTCTCACTATGCACCTGACACTCATTTTAACCTCACCAGGAAGTCAGTTAACTTCCAAATCAGTTTATTGTAATGCTTCTAGGTAATTATATGTGGCAATTTCAGGCAGAAATGAATAAAAATCTTCACCAGAGAATCTAATACAGAAGAATGCAAGAGGCCCTGGGCTTGTTTTCATAAAAGCATCATACACCAGGCAGTTGATTCTTTCAGCTGTCGGCACTGGCTCACCCAGCATGCGGGCTTCATCCCCTAAGTAAGCTTCATCATGCATGGATAGGCTGGCGCCTTTCCTGAGGCCATATGCCGATGGATATGCAGCACTGTGCCACACGTCCACAGAGATACAAAATCCCTGATGGGAAGAACGAGGCTGGATCAACGGGACTGGCAGTTTCTCATTGAGGAAATGTGAGGTCAGTTTCTATGGTGGGCAATTCAGGAAATTACTCAGCAGTTTTGTAATTGATGGTTATGGAAAAATGAACCGTTGAGATGACTAATGACTTACATTCCATTATTCCAAGTAAGAAACGGACATCACAGTTCGCTGTAACTAAATTTTCATAACCAAATGGATTACTTTAAATTTCTTCCTACATCTTCTCTTAATAATTTTTAATAACGAATGTGTCTTACCTATATTCCCAATATTTAAAACTGGGTTGTCAAGAGAGTCTAGAGAATTTGAGAACTAGGAACAGTGAAACTCCTGTATGTTCAGCAGCTCCCAAAGCAACACAATATTCCCCAGGAACACTGTTCTGTCCTCCAGCATAATTCATGCTTGTGTATTTCCTAATGGCTCCAATAGTGACCCTCCATTCCCACCAAACATTTGGCCTCCCCTCTCTCCACTTCCCCTCCATTCATACATTACACTCTCAGCTCTGTCTAGGGTGTCATAAAAGCCAGCGGACGGACCCTCCTGATCTCCTGAACATGAAAGCCAGCACTATCATGTGATGGGCTCCTCTTGGCATGGTGACCTTCAAAGGCACCTCATTTAAATAATCACCTTTTTTTTCCTTCTGTAACAAAGTGTTTCTTTCCATTGTGCCTTCCCATAAGCAGTTTAACATAATTTACTGTCCGACCACAGTTATTAATACACACAAATGCCACAACCTCTTTCTAGCCCAAGAGACCTGATTAATTCTTCTTTGGGGATGAGCACACCCTAGAAACACATCCCATTCACATAAACACGGGCACACCGATGACGTGTTCTTGAGTCTACACCATTCTCCGTCCAACTCCATGAGCCCCTGAAGACCAAGACAGGCTCTTTCACACCTGTGCAAGCTCCGGCCCAGGGACGGCCTGCTGAGGAATGGGCTCAGCTGGGTCTGGGTGCTGGGTTCATCTCTTCCCCTCTCCTGTCCCAAAGCAGGTCCATCACCCTGCTCAGGTCTGAACAGGAGTGTCTAGGTTTTTCTGGCCATCCGACTTTTTCAATGTATAGAAGCTCTCCTATTACCTACTGTATTCATTTTATAGGGCTTTTATAACGAAATACCACAGATCGGATGGCTTACAATACAAAACCAATTTCCTCACACTTATGGAGGATGAAAGCCTAAGATCAAGCTGCCAGCTGGGTGGGTTTCCTCTGAGGTCTCGCTCCCTGGCATGCAGATGGCGCCTTCTCACTGTTCTGTGGTAACATGGCCGTCCCTCGGGGCCTGTGCACCCTCCCTCCTGCTTCCTCTTCTTATAACAACAGTCAGATTGCATTAGGGCCCCACTCCAGGAATCTCACTTTAACTTATTCACCTCTTTAAAGGACACTAATCCAAGTATGATTTCATTCTGAAGGACCAAGGGTTGGGACTTCAGCACATGAATTTAGGAGGGACACAGTCTCCCCTAGCAGCCTCCTTCAGGGATGTCAAATAAAAGGAATAAAAGGACACTGATGCTCCAGAAGGCCTTGAGAGTTTGCAGCTGCTTTGTTGTGGTGGGACGTGGGTAGGCCTGCACCTTATCTATGATGGCAGATGGAATGACTTTAGTTTTACCCAACCAGATGACACCAACTATTTGACTGATAAGCCTGGACCCTGGATTTTGTCTGTATTAACCTCCCATCCTCTATTCAGCAAGTGAGACAGCAAGACAGGGGCTGTAATTTATAAGCTGAAAAAAGACTCAGAGGTTATCATGATAACACCAATGTAGTGGAAAACATGTATCCCCTTTGGGTCAGCCCATCGACTGAGGTTGGAGGTCACTAGGCTGTGAGATTTGGGCTGTGTAAATATCCCTGGAACAAGACAGTAAAAGTCCATTGTTCTTTTTAGGTTAATGCAAATTGATCTTGACTCTGGGGCAACAGAAATGCTGAAGAAGGTATTGACTAAACTGATAAGGAAATGCTACGTGGCTAACACCTCTCCTATTCTCGTCAGACTGGAGGAGATATTAGGAACAGCTGCATTCACTCGGGAGACCACCTTATTTAACTCCCAGTAATCTACTGTCATTCTCCATGTCTCAACTGGCCTCTGCATGGGCCATGCAGGTCTGTTGTAGGAACCATGCAGTGGCCTCCTAATGCCTACCTGGGCTAGCTCCTTAACAATCTTCATGATTGGATCATCTTCCCCTCCCAGGGCAGGTGGTGTTGCTCCAGCTGTGGGACTCCCCATGGGTTGGCAGCTCTACTGGCATCCAGTTTGCCTTCTGCTTGGTCACACACATCACCACTCTAACTCTCCGTTGGAATTCCCTGGCCGTTGTTTGGAGGGTCACGCCTAAGAAGATATCCATTCTCATGTGTTCTAGGATGGAAGCTGTGTATACTACACAGGGTCTGGGTGGCAGTCCCCCAGGTCGTATCACTAGTTCAACCGGTCTGACTTCCGTGGCCCTTCCATAACCACCTATTGCCGCTATGGGCCCAGAGAACTGGTAGGTGTTGCCAGTTAGAGCACATTCGTTGTCTGGCCACCCTGACTGGCTCCTTGGCTGTCTCTCTTCCTTTGGTGCCATTGTTCTTCATCACAGTAGGGTGCATCCCTTGCTTACTCAGTTTCTTCTTTTCTCCTAAGTCAGCAACTACCTGGGGCACATGAAATGTTGGCTGCCCTCCCAGGGGGCTTAACATGGAAATCAGTGCACCATGCCATTGGGTAGGCACTGAATACATAACTGTAGCTTTTATTTTGCAGTAAACAATTCATTGTTGGGACTTCAATAATTCTCAGCATAATTAGCATGCCTCATCTCGACTCCCAGAAGATATCCTGCAACTCTTCTATAGTCTGCCATTGAGAACGAGCTGTGGGGGCATCTTCCTCATTGGACCCGGCCCCCTTGGAGCCTGCAACCACTTACCATAAAGGTGCCATCATAGGGCTGGATGGTTTGTGATGGGTGTCATTTTACTCATCTTGAGTCCAGAGAGTATAATACTCTCCACCCCCTATCCCATAGAGAAGCCACCCTGTGATCCACTCTCTCCCCTTGTGTCTGAATCCAATTCTAAGCTCCCCCAATTCCACAGTGGTGGAATTCCGCATTGTGGTGCACTGCCTTCTCTTAGGTGGGGGAAAGTTCTGTGGGGCTAACTTCTGCTGGCACAGTTGGCCCACTTTTATGTTGGTGGTGACCACCACAAGTACCATTTGGCTACAGACTGTGTCCTGGCATTCCAAGGCTTTTGTGTCTGGAAGGCATCCTTTAGCCAGCCTGCTAAAGGTTGTTCCGGATGTGGAGTGGCCCTCTTTGTCACATCCTACACTCGTAAGGCATGACATGTAGTGCAGTTGCTACTCCTAAACAGTATATCTCACTTCAGCTTCCTTCTGTCTTTGAGACCAGGGTCTTAGGGACACACACTTATGTCCTTGCCTTTAACACAGTCCCCACCTAAACCCCTCAGGGTAACTGACTACATCCAATTCACAGGGCTGTCCCTGCACTAGAACTCCCAAGGTTTGTATTCATTTCACTGTGACTTCAGCTTCTTCAGAGCCCTCATCCTCCCTTTTGGAACAGTCGCAGTGGGGCACCTTCTTGTCTAAGTGCCATGGGGGCCCAAGGGGTTTGCCGAAATGGGGAATAAAGGATCGCCAATGTCCCAGGAGGCCTTGGGAGGTTTCCAACTGCTTTGGTGTGGTGGGACATGAGTAGACCTGCATCTTATCTTATCTATGATGAAATATGGAATAACTATAGTCTTATGTAACCAGATGACACCAAGTATTTGACTGATAAGCCTGGACCCTGGACTTTGTCCGCATTGACCTCCCATCCTCTGTTCACCAAGTGAGACAGCAAAGCAGGGGCTGCAGAGCAAGAACCTTTATGGACTCATCCTAACCTTCATCTCCTTCCCACTGGAGCTCTACATCGGACGCCAGGACTTAGGCTCCCAGGATGACGTAGTCATAGTAGTCCTAATGCATTGGTGTGGCAGTCAGCAACACTTTAAATGGCCTACCAAATAAACAATAGTCTCCAATTTGCTATCCTATCCCTACAGGCGGCATCTCATTATAGTTACAACTGTTCTCGTGGCTGACACACCCTAGCCTGTGCAATGAGCTCTGCCTCAGTGGTTGCTCAGAGTGCAGTCAGGAGTGGCCAACAGCTGCCACAGCTCAGGAATCTGACTGTCACTTTGTCACATTGTCACATCCACCTCAGGCAACAGGTCCTCCAGAACTTTTGGCATTTTGGAGGCATCCCCGTACACATGCAGCGGGCCCCATCCATCAAGGATTGCAGCTGTTGGGCCCACAGAGATGTGCATGGCCTGCCTGGGATTTCCTCACAGGTCTCCCCTTCCTTGACGCTGTTGTCTAAGAGCTTGCAGGATTTTCTTTGACCTTGTTCTGGGCCTACCAGTTGTCATGCTAGACCCCTATTGACTGTAATAGGCGTGGCACCATGTCCAAAAGGCTGAAGAGGAGACCTGGAGCCCATGAACAAGACCTAGGGTGTATTGAGGACTTGCATACAATGTGGCCCAGGAAAAGTGTGTTGGACAGGAAAACCACTACCATTTGTAAAACACATGTAGTTTATATTATGATTTTCACTTAGCACCCTCTACCTAGCAACCTCCAGATTTAACAAAGAGCATCAATCACCTGGACATCCTGTGTTCCAAGGGATAGGCCAGGGATTCAGATGTCCTTCACAGACAAGGAATAAACTTCTGGGTTGACAGCTCCTGGATTTCTTAGCTCAGAGCTCTGAACATACATTCTTCATAAACTATAGGGTCATTCTTACAGTGTGCTTAAATTAACGCTGCCAGGCATTTCTGGCATACATAGATCTGAACACACACCTCATAAAACAATGTATAAAAAAGTGTTCATCAAGACTTTGTATTAAGAATATGTATATTTAAAACAACCATTAAATACTGCTACTCATTTACTATAATATTACAACGGCTGCACAGCAAAGCATTAGTGAATACTGACAAGGCTCCAGAAAAGAAAATCTTATTCACTGTTGGTAGGAACGTAAAATGGCACTTCCTTTTTGGAAAATATTTTCAGTATTTCTTTGGAGTTAAACATGTTAATTGAACAGATGACTCTAAGGTACTTTATTCAACTGTTTTTTTGTTTTGTTTTGTTTTGTTTTGTTTTGAGATGGAGTTTCACTCTGTCGCCCAGGCTGGAGTGCAGTGGCGTGATCTCGGCTCACTGCAACCTTCACCTCCCAGGTTCAAGCAATTCTCTGCCTCAGCCTCCCGAATAGCTGCGATTACAGGCACCCACCACCACGCCCAGCTAATTCTTTGTATTTTTAGTAGAGAAGGGGTTTCACCATCTTGGGCAGGCTGATCTTGAACTCCTTACCTTGTGATCCACCTGCCTCGGTCTCCCAAAGTGCTGGGATTATAGGCGTGAGCCACCATGCCTTGCCTATTCAACTGATTTTAATACTTACTTCTACACAGATACTTTCATGGGAATGCCGGTATCAGCTTTCTTCAGTAGAGCTTTTCCTCCTCCATGAATTTTGCTTATAGGGTGATAATTATATAAACAATTCCCATATAATTGGGCCAGGCGCAGTGGCTCACGCCTGTAATCCCAGGACTTTGGGAGGCTGAGGAGGGTAGATCACCTGAGATCAGCAGTTTGAGACCAGCCTAGCTAACATGGTGAAACCCCGTCTCTACTAAAAATACAAAAATTCACCGGGCATGGTGGCGGGTGCCTGTAATCCCAACTACTCTGGAGGCCGAGGCAGGAGAATTGCTTGAACCTGGGAGGTGGAGGTTGTAGTGAGCTGAGATTGTGCCGTTACACTCCAGCCTGGGTGGCAGAGTGAGACTCTGTCACAAACAAACCAAAAAAAAAAAAAAAAATGAAAAAACTGAAAAAACAAAGTTCCCATATAATTAGAGTATATACTTCTATTGTTACTTTTTTTCAATTTATTAATGACATACTGTAAACAACATTAAAAATAGTAATCCCTTTCATTTCTCAGCCCCAGCACAGCTGCCTCCTCCCTGGGGTTTCTGACACCCTCAGGATGTGGGTTTTCACACTGTGTCTCTCGCACAGTAATACACGGCCGTGTCGTCAGATCTCAGCCTGCTCAGCTCCATGTAGGCTGTGCTGATGGACGTGTCCCTGGTCATGGTGACCCAGCCCTGAAACTTCTGTGCATAGTTTGTGCCACCACTGTTAGGGTTGATCCATCCCATCCACTCAAGCCCTTGTCCAGGGGCCTGTCGCACCCAGTGCATATAGTAGCCGGTGAAGGTGTATCCAGAAGCCTTGCAGGAGACCTTCACTGAGGCCCCAGGCTTCTTCACCTCAGCCCCAGACTGCACCAGCTGCACCTGGGAGTGGGCTCCTGTGGAGAGAACACAGAAGTGGATGAGATCTCCCTGGACTGGACTCAATCTCTTTCTCATCACTGGGACTAGGGAGCCTCTTACCTGTGGCTGCTGCCACCAAGAAGAGGATCCTCCAGGTCCAGTCCATGGTGAGGAACGGAGCTCTCAGGGGATTCTCTAGAGGACAGATGTGGTTGCTGGGTGATGCTCTCAGGGCACAGGACAGATCTGTATTTACTTCAGTAAATCTCAGGTTATTTGCATATTCATGAGGGATACTATTTCATAGCTCTAGACTTGATCCAAGATGAGAAAGAGAACACACATAATTTATGGGCCATGCAACAGTGGGACGCTGAAGTCCCTGTCCCAATCCTTGTTTAATGATGTGTGTCCCCTTGTATGCCCAGAACTCTGCTAAAATAGATTGTCTGCTGAAAACAAGTTCCCGCAGAACATGGTCCTCCAAGTGAACCCATACTTAAATGGCACTTTGACACCTTCATACTTTTCTGGGCTTTGCTTTCTGCATGTCTTACTACTGTCTCTGTTAAGATTGGCAAGCACTGAATTAATAAAACCATCCCTTTTCTCCATCTCCTACCTATTAAGATATCTGAAAATCCTAGAAATTTCTCCTTTTACATGTGATTCTCATTGACTTGTTAGGTTAGATAAATCCTACAAATAGAACTGTATACTGAAAGACACAAAGACACATCAATAGTCTTTACTAAAGTCTTGTTTAACTTATTAAAGCATGTTTGTCCGAGAAAAGGAAGACATCAGACCCTGGGAGGAACCCCTCCCCAGCCTCCCTTGCACCTGCTCCAGGGCTGCAGCCTGTGCTGGGCGAGGCCCTAGCGCTCCCTGCCACCCAGACCTTGCACTGCAGGGAGCTTCCCATTGGGTCTCACAGAGCATTTTTCTCTCAGCCTCTGTAGCTCACTAGGAAGTGACTGTGACCTGGCTCAGAATGCTCCTTCAGTGACAACATGAGCTGATGACACCACCTCTTGAAATAGTGAATGGGCCTTTGGAAACCCAATGTCCTCTTCAGGGTGGCTCCAAGAGAAGAATCGCTAAAATCACCAGGGAGTCCACTTCCTGGAGGTCTAGATGCACTGGATCACTGGAAACAAAGGGAGGCTAAAACTCTGGGGGGGTTGGAGGTGGCTCTTTTCTCATTTCGGCTCTTGCAGATGAATACTGCATCTGAGAATACCTGAAGCTGCAGATGGATGTGGATTAAAGCTCACTCCACGTCCGCTGTTCCAATAACTCCTACTCAAACACACAGAAACACAAACACAAACATTCTCACACACACTGTGGCTGATTTTCACAGTTATGGACCCCTAATTTTTCCTTCTTCGTAGTATCTTACTCACGGGAAGTGCCGCCGACCCTGACCCTAGGCCTCAGTATGTGACTTTCTTTCTCAAACAGATCTAAAGCAATCACACTGCCCTCTTTAATCCATATTAATGATGCTGTTGAGGAGGTAATGTGTGGGGCAGGGGAGCATGGTATGTTCTTACAGTTGACTCTCCCTGGTTTGGTTGCCCTCTTCTCCTGAGCAGTGACCTTCACAAGGAATCTCCAGTGATACAGCTGATTTTCTCTCTTTCCTCCCTTCTGCAGATGCTGCACCCAGGGCTACCGCCTTGAATCTGACTCCTCTTGGCTAATTTTATCATTTGCGTGATAGAGGAAGGCTGAGGAGGAGGGGTCTGTAATTTGGAAGTATTTCCTTCCCCCACATAAACTAAGATTTTGGAGAATACCTTCCCTTGGATGAGCTTTCTAGAAAAGTCTTTTTGTGCATCTTTTCTCCGTGATTACTCCTCCCCAGTTCATGGCTATAGGGAATCTATTTTAATTGCTTCCACGAGAACCTGAAGGCCCTGGAGGGCAAGTCCACACAAGTGTGGGGTGTACAGCCTCTAGGAGTGCTCACCCTCCCCCTAGTCCACATTTGTCCTCCAGACATTCAGCATAATCACCAGGTAAATGTTCTCACCAATGTGTCTCCAGGAGCTTCCCTTCCAAGTCAGCAAGTCTCTGCTGTGACTGTGGATGTGCCTGTCTCTACAGCTTTTGGAGGGAGTAGTTTTTTCAGCAATTTCAGCTCTTAGATGGATTAAAAAATACTTGATATTTAGATGGTTTGGAGATATATATATATAAAAATATATATGTATAATATATATAAATATACATATTATATAATATATAAATATACATATTATATATTATATATACATATTATATATAATATATAAATATGTATGTATAATATATAAAAATATACATATATATTATATAAAATATATATATAATATATAATATATATTTATTATATATATATATATATATATATATAAATTTTTTTTTTTTTTTAGATGGAGGCTCACTCTGTCGCCCAGGCTGGAGTGAAGTGGTGCGATCTCAGCTCACTTCAATCTCCACCTCCTGGGTTCAAGCAATTCTCCTGCCTCAGCCTTTCAAGTAGCTGGGATTACAGGCTAGTGCCACCACGCCTGGCTAATTTTTGTATATATTTTTTAGTAGAGACGGGGTTTCACCATGTTCACCAGGCTGGTCTCAAATTCCTGACCTCAAGTGATTCCTCTGCCTTGGCTTCCCAAAGTGCTGGGATTACAGGCCTGAGCCTATGTGCTCCTCTGGTTCAGATGTTTTTTGATGTAGAAATGGAGCTAATGACTTTTAAGATCATCACATATGTCAGCAAAACCCTGAAGTCCCCTAAGAGGTCATGTGTGTTCTGGTACTGGAAGCAGAACCCTAATCTCCCTACACAAAAGTGACATCTGGACAGACACAACTGAACATGTGGGGACAAAGGGAATGGCACAGCAGGACACTTATGAGGAAGTTTCAACAGTTTCCTTTTTATTCAGAGGAAGCTGCAGCAGGTGAGAGCTGGTTATACCTCAGGCGATGTCATTTTCTGGAAGGCTGTTCTTGCTCTTGTGCTGGATCAAGTGGATGCACCTGGGCCCTCACACCTGGAACAGGAACTCTCATTCCTTAACACAAGGTGCTCGGTGAGACAGTTGCTTCCAGCTGAAGTGCAGAGAAAGGGGAGAGAAGGAGTTGTCTCTGGTGTCCCAGGATGTGTGTCAACTCTAGGATAAGGTCACCTTGGAGGGGCAGTGGTCTACCTTAGGGGATTACATCAGTTCTGCCTTCAATAACCTGTGGCTGTGGTCAGGAGTGTGACTCATCCCCTTCTGCTCCTCCTACCTGCCTTTCATTAAATGTGCAATGAATGAGTGATCCCTCACCAGAGAGTGTCATGGTCTAAACATCATGATCTCACACAATAACATCCCCACACCCAATCTCAAATACATTATAGACCCCACTCAATCAGCAATTGGCAAATAATTTGCTCTTGTAGATTTGGTGAATACATTTGCTCGGCGTTCATTTCAACAGCCTCTCAGCCACATTTAGCAAAGTGATTGACAAAAATGAACATGTCTCTATCAGCAAATAGAAAATATAAAATCACCGAGTTGGTTGAAACGTACACTATTAACTCTGAACAAATATAATAAGAAATTAGGCATATCACAATGGCACACAGTTTGTTTTACCCTAAAAATATCCCCTGAGCTTTGCCAAGTCAGTCTCTTGTCTTTCCCCAAAAGCCCTGCCTATCACAAACCTGTTTTTAAAATCCTTTTAATTTTACTGTATTTAGCAGGTCTCATGAATGGAATTGTACAATACTTAGTCTCTTTTGTCCATCTTCCTTCACTTAGAAAAAATGTTAAAATGTTGTCTTCTGAATTAATAACCCATAGTTTTTATGACTGATAGTATTCCACTGTATGAGTATACAAATATTTGAGAATCAATTCTGTTGAAATACATCATGTTTACTTTTGTATTTGGTAAATATGAGTATCAGTTTATGACAATTGATACTGAACAATTTTATATATTCTTATTTTCAGATAACATTTTTTCTTGGTGAGGTGTTTGTTCAGATTTTCACTCATTTTAGAATTCTGTTTATATTATGCTTTCTGTTGAGTTTTACAAATTCTTTTTATAGCCTAGAGACAAGACCTTACAAACAGTAAAAAGAAATAGTTTCTGATTTTGAATAGATTCAATATACATACATAATTTTTAATTGTTATAAGCACATAATAGTATATATATTTCTATTTGTTGGGTATATGTGATGTTTTGGTACAGGCATACAATGTGTAATGAACAAAGTAAAAAAAAACTACAATAAATCTATAAAACATTGAGGAAATAAAGAGGACACAAGATGGAACAATATTCCATGTTTATGAATTCAAAGATTCAATATTGTTAAAATGTCCATAATACTTAAAGCAATCTACAGACTCAGTACAATCCCTATGAAAACAACAATGATATTCTTCACAGAAATTTTTAAAAAATCCTAAAATATATGTGGAAAAACAAAAGATGCAGAACAGCCCAAGCCATTCTGAGCAAAGAGAACACAACTAGAGAAATCACATTACCTGACTTCAAAATTTATATTTTTATTATTGTTAATTATTTGATCTAAAAGTTATGTTTCAAACAATGAGAATAACAATACGTTAAATGAGTCTGATGTATGTATACTTGAAATTAATGGCATCAATTTTATGAATGATGGAGGTAATTGAGAATGTTCTGTGTGAGGCACCTGCACTAGATTTGATGTGGAATAATGTCATTTTGAAGATGGAGACAGATTAGTTACACACGCATATTGTAGGCCATGGTGCAAAGCAGGCTCACCATGCAAAAGTGACCAAAACGAGGCCACGTGGGTTGTACACCTCAGCAGCTGTGTTACCCACTGGGACAAAGCTCTGAAGGACATCCTGCCTCCAGGGGAGAGAAGAACAAAGCCCAGGGTGTCCCTGGCTGTTTTTCCCTAACTCAAGATTTTATATCCTCTAGGAGAAACAGGAACAAACCTGAGCTGTTCCAGACAGACAGGATGTCCTTGGCTCTGTGCACGTTCAGGAACAAGATCAACTCGTTCTGAGTCTCTATTCAGTGATTTAGGTTCGGGGAAATAAGAATGCAGATCTGAAATTATGGAGCTTTCAGAAGGTTTTCATGTGTCTCAGTGCAATTTCTTCATGTGTTATTTTGGCTTATGGTATTGATAGGCCCACAAAAACTAGATTTAATTCAATAATTCAAGTGATAGAGCAAAACTGAAAGAGCTGAGGGGTTTTCTAGCAGGATTTAGAAAGTTTAAAATACTTCATCTTAGAAAATGTATTTGCTGGACATTGATGGGACTGGAGTAGAGATGGATGTGGGGGAGCCCAAGGATTGTGTTTTCACACACACCACAATGACTTCTGCTGTCCCTTCCTTCCCTCTCTCCCTCTCTCTCTTTCTTTCTTTCTTTTCTTTCCTTCCTTCTTCCTTCTTCTTTCTTTCTCTTTCTTTCTTTCTTTCTTTCTTTCTTTCTTTCTTTCTTTCTTTCTTTCTTTCTGTTTCTTTCTTTCTCTCTTTCTTTCTTTTCTTCTTTTCTTTCTGCTGAGTGAGCCCAGAAGTACACACAGGTATAAAACTCACTGAATCACCATTAGCTGTTCTTCCTTTTGCCTCCCACCCAGGTCAGGAGGAATTACAAGTCCTACGGAATTCTAGTTCTAAGAGAGTGAGAATCTTTATATGGCTGATTATTCCAGAATTTTCTATAATGATGCAGCTGTTGTTTCTTTTAGCCAGTTTTTATTGAATTCTGTTCTTTTCCATTGAGTCGTAAAACTTATTTCTATATTCTGTTGCAAGTTTGTTTTAAGATATATATATATATATATAAAATATTCTTGAAATCTGAAAGTTTCTGTTCATTTTCTTAATGTAATTATTTAAATATGAAACTTATTTTATTATAAATTACAAATAATTTTTGCATATATTTATGACATATGTTGTTTAGTTATGATACATGTATACATTATGAACTGGGTAACTCAAGCCGCTTATATTCATCACCTCACAAATTTATCATTTCTTAGTGGGGAAATTCTAATGTTTATTTTTTTAGTAATTTTGAAATATATACTACCTTATCAGCTATAGTTGACATGCTGTGCATTAGAAAGGCATAACTTATACCTCCTGTCTAACTGGAACGTTGTGCACTTTAACCCACATCTCCCTTTCCCAGTCCACCCCTCTAGGCCCTGGTAACCAACATTCTACTCTACCTCTGCAAGTCTACTGCTTTAATATATACAGTGAAATCATGAATGACTCTTCCTCTGTTCCTGGCTTGTTTCACTTGGCATAAGGTCCTCTAGATTCATGCATGCTGTCACAGAGGCAGGGTTTCCTTCTTATTTAAGGATGAACATTACTCTGTTGTGTCTGTATGCATTTTCTTTATTCATTCATCCATTCATGGGAATTTAGGATGTTTCCATATCTTTACTATTTTAAATAATGCTGCAATGAACGTGAACATGGAGTGCAGATATCTCTTTGACATGTTGATTTCATTTCCTTTGGATACATAGCCAGCAGTGAGACTGCTGGATTCTACAGTAGATTTTGTTTCTTTATTTTTTGAGGAACATTTATAGTATTCTCCATAAATAGCTGTATTCATCTACATTTTCACTCTCCATATTCTGAGTTCTGTTTCTGTCATTTCAGCCATCTCAGCCCCATTCAGAACTGCTGTTGAAGAGGTGCTGTGGTTGTTTGGAGGAAAGAGGGCGCCCTTTTTGTTTTCAGGACTTTTGCACTGGTTCTTTCTCATCTTTGTGGGCTTATCCACCTTCAATCTTTGAAGTTGCTGACCTTTGGATACATTTTTATTTTCTTTTACCCTATTGGATGACCTTGAGGGTTTGATTGTGGTATAAGGTGGATTCAGCCAACTGGCTTCATTTCTGGAAAAATTTAGGTGGCCAGTGCTCAGCTCCCAACACCTAGACTGTGTGCTCTGACTCTGGGGGAAGTTATACTAGTCCCTGACTTGGTTCTCCGGCTCCTTAAGGTTAGGAATCCACTGTCCTGGGCTGTTGGAGGTGTGGCAGCTGTGGCAGAGTGCTAGTGGGTGTCTGGGTGCCTGCCTCCCTGCAGGTGTTCGCCACAGTGGCAGAGGCATTGCGTCTGTGGGTGTGTGGGGCCCTGTTGGTGACTGTGTTCAAGGTCACACTGGAGGAGGTGTTGGCTCAGGGATGGGACACTTGTGGGCACAGGCCCGGGTGCCGTATTCATGCCCCACAAGCAGGAGTGATTTCTGAATGTGTGAGATGATCTGCTATTCTCTGTGCAGAATTAGCGCAAGTGCGGGACGCTGACAGGAGCGGCCCTGGCTTTTTCCCCACCAAAGCTTCCTCTGCCATGGTGGTTGGGGTGGGGGGAGGGGACTGCACTCCACGCAATGGTGGGACAAGAAAAGCAAAACCCACCTATACAGACATGTGACTGCAAAGTGATGTGGGAAGTTACGTGGGCCTGGGTGAACCTACAGTATTCGGAGGAAGTGTGTAAGCTGGTGTGTGCACATGAGGGCTGCCCGATTGGAGCTCTCCACCAGTCAGGCATGTTCTGCCAGGGCAGAAATTTTGGTGCGGGATCCCAGGGCGTCCAAGACTGCCCTGCAAGAAGGTGTGGCCAGGCTAGGGCCCCAGGAGAGGCCAGTAGATGGAGGGGCACTCAGGTCCCTACATTATTTGAGAATGTGGCCATGTTTTATGTGAATGAGTGATGACTTGATTGTAATGCAGCATTTTATTCCAGTACACAAACATATCTCAAATTGTTTAACATTCACCTGTAATGGATATTCAATGTGTTCTCTCAGTTTCTGGCTTTTATACGGAAAGCAGCTATTCAGTGTGGGAATGTGAAAAAAATGAGAAAACTGTGATTTTATTCTGACCTCATTAACAACGAAGCTGAACAGCTACAAATAAAAGAGAGAAAAAACATTCAACATATCTGAGTTGATTTCACCAAGCAAACAAGAAAACTGAAATCTGAGAAGATAGGAGCCTGCAGAGAGAACCAGGACCTACCTGCTAGTGTACATAGGGCAGGTGCCACTGGATGGCATTTGAGATAGAAACAGACTAACCTAGAAATACTTAATGACTTTTTTTTTTTTAGTATGCATGTACTAATGGTGTTAGATTGGCCTAGTGCTTGCAAGCTTTTCCTAGAGAACTTGAAAAATCCACGGACAACTTCCTCATCTGGTGTCTTGTGGTGTTGACTGGGGAAAAGAACAGCAGCTCCTGTGGAATGCCTGAATGCACCTCCACTACCTCCAGGGGAAATCCACCAAAGCATGTGTCATATGAGCTGTGGTGAAGTCAACAGAAACAAAAGGAAACAGACGACACCAAGGAAACTTGATCCAGAAACACCTCCTATCTCTTTCCTCAGGAAAGAAATCCTTACTCTTTAGGGTAAGGATAGTGGGTAAAAAGCTGGGGACACTGGTGAAAAACAGTTGTGTCTGGGAAAAGACGTTCCAGCCCTGGGGAAAGAGTTAAGGACAGGACAATGTGGAAGGCCACTCCCCAGAACTATGCTTACTACTCCTGCATAAGAAGGAGACTCAGTCAGAAGGTTGGAGGAAGTCCCGCTTTGTCCAACCTCCTTCACCACACAGTCATCAATTTAAACTGTCAGTAGGGTGCACTTTCCACAGCTGAAACAGACAGCCTCCCTGGGGAAAACTAAATATAAAGACCCAGGATCAAACAGGGACACAAAAGCAAGTATCATGGGAGGAACTTGAAATCTCTGTGGACAGCAGAAGCTGACTTCAACTCTGATAATTGTGGCATCCATAAATTGCAAATATAGCCCTGAATAGATACACACAAATATCTATAATGAAGGCCCAGCAGAATGGAATGTGTTACCATCTTCAGGAAGAAAATAATGAATACATGAGTACAAGAAAATAAATTACAAATTAAAGTCAAACTGGAATTCTATATATATTAAAAATTTCATTTAAAGCGAAAGTCAAATGAATACCCTGTAAGACAAATCGATTCTGAGAAAATTTATTGCTAGTGCATTCATCCTTCAGTAGGTGCTTTGGCAAATTTTCCGCCAGGGTGAGTAGCCATATGATATACATCCGAAACATGAATCTATCCAAATAAAAAATGTGGTCAAGAATGAAAAAATGAAGTTGAAATGTAGTTTTTATATTTTTAATTGTTCTAATATATGTCTATGTAATGATAAAAATGCACATATTATATTTTATAGCACATATAAGTGCAAACTGAGAATAAACTAAGACAACGGATGAGAAAGAGGGTTTAGAAGAATAAGTTATAATAGCTCTACAACCTATGAAGAGGTTTTACGTTATTTGAATTAGAATCTGATTATACACAATTCTTATTGTATATCTTAGGGCCAATACAATATTCATAAAAGATGAGCTAAACAATAAGTTAATAGAGAAATAAACATGATCATAAAATGCCAAATTAAAATAGAAATTAACAGAAAAATAGTAATACCAGTTTTAAAATAGAATTTATTATAGTTGATTTAAAAAGCAAGACCCAACTACTAGCTCTGTACAGAAATTTGCTCTACATAGAAAAGTTAAATACAGGAAAACATGGACTATGAAAATATGAATGAAAAGAAAGCGTGCTTAGCTATGTTAAATTCAGACAAGGTAGACATAAGACTTTCAGGAATCAAGGGGCATATTACATAGGGTAAAGGGATCAGTTTTCTAAAAGGCATCACCAAAGATTTAACCAATGGATCTGGGATAGAAAATAGGCTAACATCTATAACAGATAGCGAATTCGACACTTACTGTGATTGACAAAACAAACGTGATAAAATAGGTAAATATATAAGTGACCAGAATCAACTTATTTGACTAGTTTCATTTATAGAATATTCAATGGGAAGACAGCAGGAACCCAAACTGTGATTAACCAGAAGATATGAGAGGAACATGGTGACTGAATTTGATGTGGTTACCTGGGTTGAACAAAGAAACAAACAAAAAGCAATAGGAAAGTGAGACCTTATCTCAAAAAGAAAAGAAAAAGGAAAAAAGGAAACTGTTAAAAATTGGCAAAATTCAAATAAATCCCAGAGCTGAATAAACAGAAACTTATCAATGTAAATATATTAGTCCCATGTCCCATGTTTTTTTTGACATATTAACTTTAGTGAAAACTTGGAGATGGATGTGAACACACTGTATTTTCCTTACAATTGTTCTGATAACCTATAATTATTCCAAATAAAAAGTGTGTAAAATATAAAGTAACAATCATAAAAATAATAGTTCAAAGACCTTATAAAATAGGCTTCTGAAAATAATAAAATTGTTACTAAAATTATTATGGATAATTATTTCAGAGGATAATCCTGAAATGATCATCGAAGTGGTGGACAGATGTTTATTTATTTCAGAAAAAGATGTGAGGCATCTCATATTAAACGCTAGTGATGGAAGTGTTTATAGAGTTGTTTTATCATCTATAATATGATGGATGAAAAGCATTATCATAAGCATTTGATGGATGAAAAGCATTACTATCATAAGCATTTATGTAGCCAATATCATGAACGTATTATAATTTCCTCAGTTGTGCACCATTTTTGTGTTAATACCATGTGAACGTTTTCTACTGCATGTGTCATATCTAAACATTTGAACTAGTTTGTTTGTTATTAATGTGACTCTTGTAAATGCTGTAGGCATTGCTGATGTTCTCTGTAATTTCTCTACTGGTGTTTTTTTCCTAATATTTTAACATGATAAATTTGGATTAATATAACTACGTAATTTAATAATATATTTTAAACTTCATAGTTGTACACACAGACACACACACACACGCACACATACACAACAGCCCAGCAATGACACATATACCCGTCCATGCAAAAATGAATGTATATTAAACACCAAAACAACACACCCATTTTTTTCTATATTATTTTAATTATTTAATTGAATGTAACTCGTATTTGCAGTTTCATTTTTGAATGAATGTAAATGCCATTCTTGCCAAATATATTACTTAAGTGTACAATGGTATTTACTTTTTTTTTTTTTTGAGACAGAGTTTTGGTCTTGTCGCCCAGGCTGGAGTGCAATGGCGTGTTCTCGGCTCACCGCAACCTCCGCCTCCCAGGTTCAAGCGATTCTCCTGCCTCAGCTTCCCCGCCACGCCCAGCTAATTTTGTATTTTTAGTAGAGAGGGGGTTTCTCCATGTTGGTCAGGCTGGTCTCGAATTCCCGACCTCAGGTGATCCACCCACCTCACCCTCCCAAAGTGCTGAGATTACAGGCGTGAGCCACTGCGCCCAGCCAGTATTTACTTTTTAAATATCAGTCAGTTATTAATAAATTGAATAACTAATAAGACAAACATCACTTAAATTTTTATTAAATCATTGATTAAAGTAACATTGTATTTTTTTAAACTAGGCAGGATAGAACTTTTCTATTTGAAAAATTTTTTAAAAAACTTTTTGGCGTTAATTTTCAATACAAACTCTAGTCGTTATTTGCCAATATGCCTTTATAATAAAGAACATCCAGCAATAGGAAACTGAAAGCAGCCCATGCTTTGCAGGATTCAATCACAATGGCAGCTTGCTGGAGGGTGGTCTGAGACTGGGCAAACACATTAGGGATTTGGACTTCATGAAAGCACTACTGAGCCCCTGGGCTGAGCACACAGAGGGTAGCATAAGTTGCAGAGCCTAGTCTGTGGTACTTAGGGAAAAAGAGGAATGGGTGGGGGTTATGTCTGCAGGACCCTAGAAAAGTGTGATGAGGGCAGAGGGTCTGCAGGTAGAGTGTATTCTAAGGAGAACTGTTACTCTCCTAAACTTGGTTGGCTTCAGTGATCATGAAAAGAAGTGAACTGATTTACCAGACATGGAGGACAGGAAGTAAAAGGACTTCCTGTTTCCTGCATGGAGACTGAGGAAGATAAAATATTTTGACAGAAAAAGAGAAGATGGAGAAAGTTTGAGAAGCAGAACACCAGGGGCCAAAGTGGAGGACAGGAGCCCTTAAAGTGGTGTTTCATCTGCACAAACAGCCGATGAAAGGAAAAGAAACTGGACCCCATGCATATGCTGAGTTGTTAGAAAAGCATTTACAATAGTGTGTCTGACAGCACAGAAAACAAAAAAATTGTGCATAGAGCCAGACTTTGGATTGAATATACACAATTAAAAAAAATATACTGAGATATATCATTGCTAGTATAACTCTGAAAATAGGCAGAGTTAAAAGTTGAATTGAACCCCTGTTCTAAGTTAATGTTTTATAGGTGAAAGAAACCATGAGTTACAAGGAAGACATCGTAAGAGATCCTGGGGAAGACTTTTGCTTGACCAGGTCAGGAATCACCAAGGTGGAAAAGGAAACCTCATCCTCCCCAGGTACCTGATATGGAGCTGCCTCCAAAGAGCCCCTTGGAGGTCCTGAGTGCTCCCTGGTGTCCTGAGCCATTCTTGCTGTCCTGAACACCCACTGGTGGTTCCTGAGTGCCCCCTGGTGGTTCTGAGCACCCCCTGGTTTTCTGAGCGACCTCTGGTGTCCTGAGCCCCCCCTGGTGGTTCCTCAGTGCCTACTAGTGTCCTGAGCGCCCCCTGGTGGTTCTGAGCACCCCTTGGTGTCCTCAGTGCCCCCTGGTGGTTCCTGAACCTCCCCTGGTTTCCTGGGCACCCTCTGGTTTCCTGAGCGACCCCTGGTGTCCTGGGTGACCCCTGGTGGTTCCTGAGCGCCCCCTAGTGTCCTGAGCATCCCCTGGTGGTTCCTGAGCGACCCCTGGTGTCCTGAGCATCCCCTGGTGTCCTGAGCGCCCCCTGGTGGTCCTGAGCATGCCCTGGTGGTTCTGACTGCCCACTGGTGTCGTGAGCGCCCCCTGGTGGTTCCTGAGCGCCCCTAGTGTCCTGAGCATCCCCTGGTGTCCTGAGCGCCCCCTGGTGGTTCTGAGCATGCCCTGGTGGTTCTGACTGCCCGCTGGTGTCGTGAGCGCCCCCTGGTGGTTCCTGAGCATCCCCTGGTTTTCTGAGTGTCCTCCGGTGGTTCTGAGCACCCGCTAGTTTCCTGAGCATCCCCTGGTGGTTCTGAGAATCCTCTGGTGTCCTGAGCACCCCCTGGCAGTTCTGAGTGCCCCCTGGTGTCTTGGTCACATCCTGTGGTTCTCAGCACCCCCTTGCCACAGTCTCATGAGTGCCCCTTGGTGTCCTGAGCGCCCCCTGGTGCTTCTGAGCACCCTCTGGTGTTCTGAGCACCCCCTGCTTCTTCTGAGCGCCCCCTGGCGGTTCTGAGCGCCCCCTAGTGTCCTGAGCGCCCCCTGGCGGTTCTGAGTGCCTCCTGGTGTCCTGAGCACCCCCTGGTGGTTCTGAGCGCCCCCTAGTGTCCTGAGCGCCCCCTGGCGGTTCCGAGTGCCCCCTGGTATCCTGAGCTATCCCTGGTGGTTCTGAGTGCTCCCTTGTGTCCTGAGCGCCCCCTAGTGATTCATAGCACCTCCTAGTGTTCTGAGCGCCCCCTGGTGTCCTGAGCACCTCCTGGTGGTTCTGAGCACCCCCTGGTGTCCTGAGTGCCTCCTGGTGGTTCTGTGCACCCTCCCTGATGGTCCTGAGTGCCCCCTGGTGGTTCTGAGCGCCCCCTGGTGTCCTGAGCCCCTCCTGGTGGTTCTGTGCACCCTCCCTGATGGTCCTGAGTGCCCCCTGGTGTCCTGAGCTATCCCTGGTGGTTCTGAGTGCTCCCTTGAGTCCTGAGCGCCCCCTAGTGATTCATAGCACCTCCTAGTGTTCTGAGCACCCCCTGGTGTCCTGAGCCCCTCCTGGTGGTTCTGTGCACCCTCCCTGATGGTCCTGAGTGCCCCCTGGTGGTTCTGAGCGCCCCCTGGTGTCCTGAGCCCCTCCTGGTGGTTCTGTGCACCCTCCCTGATGGTCCTGAGTGCCCCCTGGCGGTTCTGAGTGCCCCCTGGTGTCCTGAGCTATCCCTGGTGGTTCTGAGTGCTCCCTTGAGTCCTGAGCGCCCCCTAGTGATTCATAGCACCTCCTAGTGTTCTGAGCACCCCCTGGTGTCCTGAGCCCCTCCTGGTGGTTCTGTGCACCCTCCCTGATGGTCCTGAGTGCCCCCTGGTGGTTCTGAGCGCCCCCTGGTGTCCTGAGCCCCTCCTGGTGGTTCTGTGCACCCTCCCTGATGGTCCTGAGTGCCCCCTGGTGGTTCTGAGCGCCCCCTGGTGTCCTGAGCCCCTCCTGGTGGTTCTGTGCACCCTCCCTGATGGTCCTGAGTGCCCCCTGGTGGTTCTGAGCGCCCCCTGGTGTCCTGAGCCCCTCCTGGTGGTTCTGTGCACCCTCCCTGATGGTCCTGAGTGCCCCCTGGTGGTTCTGAGCGCCCCCTGGTGTCCTGAGCCCCTCCTGGTGGTTCTGTGCACCCTCCCTGATGGTCCTGAGTGCCCCCTGGTGGTTCTGAGCGCCCCCTGGTGTCCTGAGCCCCTCCTGGTGGTTCTGTGCACCCTCCCTGATGGTTCTGAGTGCCCCCTGGTGGTTCTGAGCAGCATCTACCACATAGTCCCCTCCTGTCTCCCTGCGGTGAGCTTTGTGTCTGGGCTCACACAGGGTTTCCCTCACTGTGTCACTCACAGTAATACATGACCTTGTCCTTGGCTTTCAGATTGGTCATTGTAAGGCAGACTGCACTTAAAAGGGTGTTGCTTGAGATTGTTAATTTATTTGTACTCATGGAGAGTAACCCTGAGAATTCATACTTGATCACTCACTGTTGGCACCCACACCTATCCCTGTTGTGAAGCATGCTGGACCAAGCTCATGCTGTAACCAGTAAAGGTGAAACCAGAGGCTTTGCAGGAGAGTCTCACCACTGGGCTGTAAAATTTTTCCCCCTCTGACTCCATCAGTAAACTTCACACAGGACTTCCGTGAACACAGAAAACAGACTGAGAACAGCCCCGTGAGGAGAAGCCACAGCTGGACCTGATTTACGAAGGACACTAATATTGACGGGGATGAGAAGGGAATCCAGATCAATGCAGACCCCACGGTGTGGACACTGAGGAAGGGCACAGACATGGGGTGGCTCCTCGCCAGGGCCTGAGGGAACAGGGGATGAGCTGCCTTTCATGAGAAGTGGAGGGGACACATTTCCACGTCTTTCTTTTTGTGGTCATGGGTGCACTGCTCAGCATTGCTCATCCATCCTCTGTGTCTACATTTCAGGGAAGTCAAGGTCAAAGGATTTCTGGGTCTGGATGCACAGAGTTAATCTGCCCATTACTCTTTTTTATTCTCTAATGTGGACACTGTTGGGGTATCTTCATAATAGCAAACATTATCAACAAATATGTCCAGTAAGAACATAAAAATACGTTTCCAGAGAAAATGGACACCTGTCTCTAATTGGTATATTTAGAGCTGCAAACTACTGTTCTTGACAATAAGGCAAAGTTAGGTTACAATGAAAAAAATACAGATCTACGCCTTGTCAGGGAGGGGGTTTATGATTATCATTATCTTGAGATCATTTTGCCACAGAACAATTCGACATTGGATATATGTACTTGTGTAAGGAAACAGTAAATGTGGACATATGTGTACTTATGTGAGTGAAGAGTTCACATGGAGACATGTTTGCTTGTCTGAGACAAGAGTCCACATGAGGAAATGTCTGTTTTCTGAGGAAAGAGTAAATGTAAGAACATATGTGGTAGTCTGAGGAAAGAGTCCACGTGGGGACATGTGTGTTTGTCTGAGAGAAGAATCCACGTGAGTAAAGGTGCGTTTGTCTGACAGAAGAGTCCACATGTTGACAGATGTGTGTACCCATCTGAGGGTAAATGCCCATTCAGGGACAGTGTATGCCTGAACTGAGCTGAAGTTTGGGGAAATATTTCTCAACCAAGGAAAGAAAATAATCCTGTCGGTTATTTGCTTGTCAAGAGGAAAAAACCTGGGTCACATAGAAAATTGATTTAAAAAAAAATTTAAAAAATTAAAGGTCTTTAGTGAATGGCAACATCTTATATGCAAATCAGGAAAATTACCTCATTCTTTGTTGCATACATCTCATGAAATCTCCACCCTCACAAAATAAGTAATGAGATAATTTTATACAATCTGCATTTGATCCTTGGGTTAATGAACTGCTAAATTTTTTTTAATTGTATATATTTAGGTTTATATTTTCCATCACAAAACTATGTGCTTAGACAAATTAATTGTGTCATATCTGAACCATTGCATATCACTAAAAATAATTTTAATCTTCTTAAACAGTGTCTTTTTAACTTATTTTATACCCAGTCTCTAAACTCCTCGAATATCCTCTATATGTTGTTGTTTACTTGACTACAGTTTTGGCTTTTATAGAATTTCAAATAAATCAAATTATACAGTGTCATTGAAATGACTTCACTGAAGAAAGTGGAAAATGAAGTTGCTGACCTAAGGAACTTTGAAAATGAGGAAACTCTGTAAGTTTAAAGTGTAAAGAAACTGAACATAAGCACTCTATTCTAGTAGATAAACATGTTTCCTACAAGGGTACAGCTTTACATTTCTGATACTGCTATGCATGTGTCCTGAAATTGTGCAGCTAAGTAATAAAATGGCATATGGTTGGATGGGGTTCCTCATTTTGCAGTGAGAGGTTATAGACAGTCAAGGAAGGAAGGCTAGAAAGATCCATGTGGTAGCATAATTGGGTAGAGAGACCAGTGTGTTCTCATTTTTAATGTAATCACATTACAGAAGGTTAGATACATAGTTTACTAGGCCAGTTGGTTGAGAGGTCCTGCAAGTACTTATACCACATTAACAATGCACATACCCAGTATTACAATTTTTTAAATACTATTCTTTAACATCAGAAGCAAGCAATCTTTAGAAAAATGGCTGATTCTATGTATGAAAAAGATAATATAGAAAATGAGTTTAGAATTTATTATAATAGCAGGAAACAGGGAAGTGTTCAAAAACAAAAGCATGAGGTGAGCTGTAAGGATGCAGGATCCAAACTCAATGAGCTCCCAGCACATAATAAAGCCATGGTGGTTTGAAAAATAAAATGAATAATGTAGCATGGATCTTCTTCAGAGTATGAAATAGACATCCATAAACCAATACACATATTAATAAGTGATCAAATAAAGAAATAATAGGAAGAGGAACACATCTTTTTACAGAAGTATTCCAAATATGTTAGGTTGATAGTCCTCCAATCAAGTAGGTGAAGCTTAAACACTCATGAGATGATTGTAGCCTGAGATTAGAGACATGGAAAAAGTAATTGATATTACTGTATTTTATAATGAGATTTCAGATATAATACCAAAGACATGATCTGTGGATGAATAACATTTTACATTTTTAAAATCTAAATTTGTATAAACACACACACACACACACACACACTTTTCTGCAATACATACTGATAAGGGAGTAAAAGACAGCCGCAGACTTGGAGAAAATACTTCCAAGTCACATATTTGTTAAATGAATTCTTTTAATTTGTTAAATGATTTTATAATCAATATGCAAGTAAACTTACAACTAATCAAAAGAAAACAATGCAGTTAAAAATGAACCAAATATGAGAAGAGGCATCTCGGCAAAAATTATATGAAAATTGTTAAATGTGAATTTTTATTACGGAAATGTGCATTTAACTAAAAATTAGATACCATTACTCACCTATTAGAATGGTTAAAACACACAATTCTCATAATGATAAATGGCAATATGAATGTGGAAAACCAAGAACTATCATGCATTGATGGTGGGAATTCAAAATGCTACATGCACAAAATGAGTTTTTTTGGCATTTTTAATAATAGAGATAAAAGTAGAGATAAAATGTGATTTGTGTGTGTGTTCCAAAATATTTACAACACTGATTCAGAAATTGATGTTTACACAGATACCTACAGAGGAAGTTCTGTATCAGTTTTATTAATTCAATCCCTGAAATTTGCTTGCAGAATAAATATTGTATGAAAAATCTCTCAAATAATTAAAATTTCTCAAATACATGTTTATATTGTTCCTTTTCCTTAATGACTTAATATCATTTTCTGAGAAAGTCTTCAATCTAATAATCTTTGTCATTTCCTCCATGCCAGCACAGCTGCTTCCCCCCTGGGGTTTCTGACACTCTCAGGATGTGGGTTTTCACACTGTGTCTCTCGCACAGTAATACACAGCCGTGTCTTCAGATCTCAGGCTGCTCAGCTCCATGTAGGCTGTGCTCGCGGATGTGTCCCTGGTAATGGTGACTCTGCCCTGGAACTTCTGTGAATATTTTGTGTTACCATTGCCAGCGTTGATCCATCCCATCCACTCAAGCCTTTGTCCGGGGGCCTGGCGCACCCAATGCATAGCATAGCTAGTGAAGGTGTATCCAGAAGCCTTGCAGGAAACCTTCACTGAGGCCCCAGGCTTCTTCACCTCAGCCCCAGACTGCACAAGCTGGACCTGGGAGTGGGCACCTGTAGAGAAGACACAGGAGTGGATGGAATTCCCCTTGACTGGCCTCGATCCCTTCCTCCTCACTGGGATTTGGCAGCCCCTTACCTGTGGCTGCTGCCACCAAAAAGAGGATCCTCCAGGTCCAGTCCATGGTGAGGCGTTGTGCTCTGGGGGCTTCTGAGGAGGGATGTGGTTGTTGGGTGATGCTCTCAGGGCACAAAGATATCTATAGTCATCTCAGTTATTTGCATATTCATGAGCGATGCTATTTCATACCTAACACAGCATGAGAAAGAGTGGAGAGATGACACATGGATTACCCAACAGGAGGATGCTAAGGGTTCAAGCTATAATCCCCTTAGAGGCCATGTGTGCCCTGCCATATCCCTAAGCTGTATGTTGACAGAGCTTCTCCCACTGGAGAACAATTTTCCCTAGAACAGGACTTCACTGGGAACCCACACTTGAATAGCTCAGAGGTAATTTAAAGTATTTCTAGGCTTTAATACATGAATGTGTTATTTGGGGGATGAGTGTGTTTCTCCAAAAGTTGCACTTATTTATATAAAATAAAAGCTTAATTGACCTCCAGATGCTTACTATTAAGATATGTAGCAGGGTTAGAAATCTCCAGTGTAAATTGATAAATTCTTGCAATTGAATAGGATATTTATGGACTCTTCAGCAGTTTTTGTCAAATACTTATTTTAGATTTTTTTAGAAGAATGACACAGATCTTAAGGGGACTCCATCCGCAGCCTCCTGTGCACCTGCTCTGGGGCTGGAGCCTGTGCTGGGTGGGCCTTGAGCGCCCCCTGCAGCCCAGCCCTTGCACTGCAGAGAGGCTCCTGTCTGGGCTCCCAGAGCATTTTCCCCCCAGTATGAAGTGGCTGTGTCCTGGCTCAGAATGCTCCTTTAGTGACACGTGACACCATGTGCTGCTGACGCCATCGCTTGCAATAGTAAATTGGTCGTAGGAAAAAGCCAGTGAACTCTGCAGAAACACCCCAAGCAAGGATTCTATGAAACCACCAGGGAGCCCCTTCTGTGGCGCTCCGGAAGCACTGGATCAGTCCACACTCACAGTGAGTCCAGGAGCTTCCAGGGGCTTTGGGAGAACACCTAATCTCTTGTCGGTTCCTGTGGATGAACATCTCATCAGATAATTTCTAAACCTACAAAATCATGGGTCTCAGAAGCCACTGCAAAACTCCTAATACACACACACACACACACACACACACACACACACACACGGTGGTTAGAGTCCCCACAGTAATGGACACACACACACACACACACACACACACACACTGTGTCTAGTGTCCTCACAGTAATGGGAGGGAACTGTGCCTTACTCCCTGTGTCTCGCGCATTGGTCGTGCGCCCACAGTGCCCCTAGGCCTGGGGATATGCCCTTGTCAACAGAGCGACAGCAAACACTTTACTGGAGATGGGGCCCTGCACACACTGTGGCTTCCCTGTTCTCCCAGAACCTGGGATCCTGCAGATACCCCTAAGAAGAGTCCAGGCTCCCCCTGGGAGGGTCAGCCACAGCCCAGCCCCACCGAGTCGGTGCAGCCTGCACTGAGCCGCTGACCTGTGGAGAGGGTCACGCCAGACCCACAGCCCAGCCAGCCCCACTCCCAGAGGCACATCAAGGAAGGGGGCAGAACCCTGGGGACTCTTGATGGGCATCTTTTCAGGAGCAGACACACGAACTGTTCCAGGAACAGGGGACCTGGGAAGGTCAGTAGCTGGTCAGGGTTTCTGAGGACCAGCGTCAGTGATGGGACCTGCCTGTCCCTTCTCATATGGGATGTCTCTCCTGGGGATCCTGTACTGTCTTATTTGTGCAGGTTCACTCTGTGGGACTTGTCTTTATAAATCTCAAATCTCAGGAACAGGAGAGCTGTGCTTCAAAAGCCCCCATAGAGAAGACACATTCCCATCCTGCTGTGACTGAAACAGCTCCATCCTGGGCATGGGGAGGGCTCATGTGTCCCACCTGGGATGAGAAGCAGCAGCCACACGTGAGCTGAGGAGGACTCAAGGCTGCTTCCCAGCACTTCCCCACAGAGTGAAATTTGTGTGTTTGCCCCAAATCCAGGCTGGCCCTGTGACTTGCTTCTTTCAAACTTCTTGGCCTGGAAAGTGCAGGCACCAGCTGTCACTGTCACCACTATTGTGACAGTGTACACAGCACCAGGACAGGATCCCAGGGATGGGGCTGAGGACAGACACTAGCTAAGTGGACCCATTGAAAACGTGCGGATCTGCTGAGGTTCACACTCCTGGAAGGACAGATCTTGGAGGGTTTGGAGGAGGAAGCAGCCACTGTCGGTGACTCAGGATCTGCTGCTCTGCGGGTCACCTCGTTGGCAAGTAACAGTGGGCAGGTGAGTGTGGTTCATCCCCTACAGGGACACCAGGCTTCCAAATGCCCCTCTTCACCAGGAAAGAAAGTGGCTTTGTTCATACTGGTTGCTCCAGCCGTCTGGTCATCCTGTCTTCCTGACCTTCTTCCCGTGTCCCTCAGGGCTGTGACACATGGACAAAGACACTTTCTACTCCAACCATTGATTCCCCAAGCCAGCTCCCTCTAGAAAAGCCATGATGTCTTCCTGGTTCTGTGTCCCTGGCTGAACCAGAATGGACACACATGGATATACCAAAGTGTCAAAGTGGAGGAGAGGAATCTTGGCAAAGATCACTCAGGAAAGAGAAAGGAATTCATTTGTGTGCAATGAGAGGGTGTGGGGCATGTCTGGAGGCTGCAGGAGCCAGAAGCTTCATATTTTTTTAGTGACCTCGGTTTTGTCTCCCCTGTTGTTGTGAGGCTTCCCTGAGTTCTCCTCCTCAGATAGACTCTGTGCCTTTTCACGCAATGACCTATAGGAGATGTTTACACCAAACAAAAAGCCTCAAACCTGGTTTATATTCTGATCTAAATTTTCAAAAGATAAACCCAAGAGAGATTCAAAGAAGTGATTATAAAATATCAGGATATAGCACTTGGCTGAGAAAACCTTAAACTCATATTATTTTTATGAACCATATGCATAACAAAACTGCCCAATTCCTCCACTTTATCAGAGACTGCCTGCAGGATGAATTTCAATGCCACCTAATTTAGAGTAGGAGCAAAACTTAAAATCCTCTGTAGGTCTGAGTGCCACTAATAACAACAACAACAAAAAATTTCAACCATTATGAAGTTTTAAGAGATGCCACAATGACAGCCTGGGTTGATAGGTGATGGCATTTTCCCTGGGCATATTCTGTGAAGAGTGATTACGGTAGCTTTTTCTTCTAATGAGGAGAAAGCAACAGAGAAAGTAAAAAATAATAATAATAACAATAATCACAAAACAGAAAAAAGTGGTCCAAATTATTTAACAAAAAAAGCACTAGAAACTGACACAAATTAAAAGGAGATACATTGATTACCTAGCAGAAAATTCAAAGTAAACCTTATAAATATGTTCACTGAGCTAGGAGAAGAATGCACGCACAACATGAAAATATTAACAGGGACAAAAAAGGGAGAGAGATGAGATACGATGATTTGTGGCTTAACAGTAGGGATACACTGGCCAGGCGCAGTGGCTCACGCTTGTAATCCCAGCACTTTGGGAGGGCAAAGTGGGTGGATCATGTAGGTCACGAGTTCAAGACCAGCCAGGGCAACATGGTGAAATCCCATCTCTACTAAAAAATAGAAAAAAAGAATTAGCTGGGCGTGGTGGTTCATGCCTGTAATCCCAGCTACTCGGAAGGCTGAGGCAGGAGAATCGCTTGAGCCTGGGAGGCGGAGGTTGCAGTGAGCCAAGATTGTGCCACTGCACTCCAGCCTGGGTGACAGAGTGAGACTCCATCTAAAAAAAAATGAAAAACAGTAGGAATACATCTGAGCAATGTGTCCTTAGGCAATTTGTCATTGTGCAAGGATCATAGAGTGTGTTTACACAAACCTACATGAAATACCTTGCTACACCCAGGCTGCGTGGGATAGCATAGTGCTCCTAGGTAACAAATCTGTATGTCATGTAAGTGTAGTGAATACTGTGGGCAGCTGAATCACCATGGTAGATGTTTATACAGATGAACATATCTAAGCATGGAAAAATGCGGTGAAAATACAGTATTATAATCTAATGAGACCTTTGTCCTGTAGGTGGCCTGTTGTTCACCGAAATATCATGATGTGCACGATTCTATTCAAGTTGCTGAAAATAAAAACAAAGCCAAGAAACTTCCAAATAAATATGTTACATGGATTAAAGCTTTTCTTCAATAATGCAGGAGGTTTGAGAAGTTTCCCAAAAAAGTAAAAAGTGGACAAGTTCATCACCACTAGACCGGCCTTACAGGAATGCTAAGTGTCTCTGGCAGGTTTCCAGAACAAGGAAGTAGCTGCATCAGCTCCACTCTGTTATCTGCCAATTGATAGATTTGCATAGTTTTTAATTTTAATTTATCTTCTGTTTTTTTCCCTCCATAAACTCCTTCTCCCTTCCTTTCATAATTCTGTCTATTAATGCAACTCATATTTAGCTGAAAATGCTGGGGTCATTGGAATAAATTTCTATTTTTCCTCCACCAAATCTAATAAGCTGTCTCCAGGGGTGTCCATCTCCGTTTTCTTTTCTGCCATTCCCATGGGATAATTTCCTTGTTCCTATGTGAGTCCAGCCCTCATCACCATGGGCCATCCAACCATCATGCACCCAGGAACAGCTTCAGGAAATGTACCCTGCCAGCTGCCTATCATCCTCCACCTGCACAGTGATCATTCCTTCAGCTTTCACTCATGCTGGAGGGCTTTCTACACAAAAGGGCATTTCACACCCACTCCCAGCACAGTTCTGGGACCCTGTATACCTCCCAGAGACAGGTACACATCCTTCCCCTTTGTTGTTAATTTTGTTTAATTTATTTAAAATTCACTGGGAAATCACTGATGATGGGGGTGACCAGCCTGTCCATTCCATCTGACGGCCCCACCTGTGAGGTTGGCCACCCTAGTGTGCTGTGCTCATGGGGCCATCTGGACACACACAAACACCAGGTGTGTGAGTTATTAGAGGAGACCCGGGGTCAGCAGGTGTCTGTGCCCCACAGGACACAGGTCTGTCCTGCAGTAGAGCCTGCATGACCTGGAATCATACATGTGCATGACCCGTGGTCTCAGCACATCAGTTGAGGCCAGCTTCAGGCAATTCCTGTGTAACCTGCCCTGAGTGCCCACAGAGGACAGATGCATGACAAGGATGTAAGGGAATGATGTGGGTTAGGGGAACTGAAGCTCAATCTTTACTGAGGCTTTACTCGGCACCTGGACCTTATGGAAGACTAAGAAGAAGAGAACAAGAGCCCGGCCCCAAATATCTCCTGGTTTAAGGTCAGCTTTAGTGGGATTTTAGAGAGTAGAAGACACAGGGGTGACGCTGGAGTGGTTTTCTTTGGGATACTTGGGGAGCAGCAGAAGGTGGGCCGGGATCAGGACTCCATCTGGCTGGTTCTCATGATCTACATGGATTCTCATAGTGGAAAGTGAGAGACATGACCTAGAACACAGCCCCCCAGGGCTGATCTCAGAGAAGCCTGCTAAGTGAATGACTCAGCAGAAATGTGGTGGGGTTTTCATCTTGGATCTATTTTTCTTTATAAAAATAATCTGAGAGATGTGTCAGCCTCGGTGGGCTGCTTCTCCCTCCAGGAGACGGAGCTAACACAATTGTATCTGTGAATCTGCTTGGCTTTCCATCAGAAGATACCACAGACTAGGTAGTTTCAAATAACAAATATTAATTTTCTTATTGTTCTGGAGTCTTGACGTCCAAGATCTGGGTGCAGAAAGGGTTAGTTTTTTGAGAGCCCTCTTCCAGGCTTGCAAAGGGCCACCTTCTCATGCAGCGCGTCCCCACATGGCCTCTCCTCTGTGTGCATGTGGAGAGAGAGGCCTCTGATGTCTTCCACTTCCCATAAGGACAAGAGTCCTACTGGATTAGGGTCCCACATTTATGACCACAGTTAACTTATTTGCCTTCTTAAAATCCCTCTCTCCAAATACAGAGCCACTGGGATTGGGGTTTCATCACATGAATTTAAGAGCAGGACACGATGCAGCCGATGACGCCAATCAAGAGATGGTGGGAAGCCTTGAAATATTTTTTCAAGAAGGTAAAATGGGCCTTGTGGGAATTTGTTGAAAAAAAGGTGCCAGTGACTGTTAAAACCTTAATGGTAAACAGAGAAATTTCTCCCTTCTTTCTTGCCTGCAGCGAGGATGTGAGGAAGCAGAACCACAGATAATAAAGAAAGAGGAGGCCTGGGGACAGCTGAGGTCCTGGCGAGGAGGGAGAGCACTGAGCTGATGAGGAAGCCCCGCCCTCCCTGCACCTGCTCCAGACCCGGCCTCTTGCTCTGTGGGCCCCGCGCGCCCCCTGCTGGCTCTGAGCAGCACCTGCGCCGGTCCCCTCCGCCTCCCTGCAGGGAGGTTTGTGTCTGGGCTCACACTCACCTCCCCTCACTGTGTCTCTCGCACAGTAATACACGGCCGTGTCCGCGGCGGTCACAGAGCTCAGCTTCAGGGAGAACTGGTTCTTGGACTTGTCTACTGATATGGTGACTCGACTCTTGAGGGACGGGTTGTAGTTGGTGCTCCCACTATGATAGATTTCCCCAATCCACTCCAGCCCCTTCCCTGGGGGCTGGCGGACCCAACTCCACCAGTTACTACTGCTGATGGAGCCACCAGAGACAGCGCAGGTGAGGGACAGGGTCCCCGAAGGCTTCACCAGTCCTGGGCCCGACTCCTGCAGCTGCACCTGAGACAGGACCCCTGTGAACAGAGAGACCCACAGTGAGCCCTGGGATCAGAGGCACCTCCCATACCCCCATGTCTGCAGCCTTGAGACACTCACATCTGGGAGCTGCCACCAGGAGGAGGAAGAACCACAGGTGTTTCATGTTCTTGTGCAGGAGGTCCATGACTCTCAGAAAGTATTTCCCATGTGAGCTGGACCCTGAATTTAAGGAAATGTGTGGTGGTTTCCTGTGGGTGCCTAAGTGAGGATTTGCATGTAGGTGGTGCCTTTGTATAAAGAGGTGAAAAGGGATGAGGGAGGCCCCAGTCTTTTAGGCTCGCCCTGGGATGAGGATGCTTGCTTTGCCCTTTGAGAACTCAGTTCTCTTCCTGGGGCCTCAACTAGCCATGCCCTGGCTCCTCTTTTCCCAGGTGAGGAAGTAGATTGGAACAGCAGCTTAACGTAATAATCATGTGAGTTCAGACACACCAGGATTCACTTAATGTATAGTTCGGGACCTCCATCATGTTTAGAGGGAATCTCTCTGTTCTAGGGAGTGGGCCATTTTTTTAAAATTTTTAAATTAAAATAAATTTTTTAGATGAACTTTTGCTCCTTTGCCCAGGCTAGAGTGCAGTGTCCCGATCTCGGCTCACCGCAACCTCCGCCTCCTGGGTTCAAGTGATTCTCCTGCCTCAGCCTCCCGAGTAGCTGGGAGTACAGGCACGCACAACCACCCCCGTCTAATTTTTATATTTTTAGTAGAGATAAGGTTTCACCATGTTGGCCAAGCTAGTCTCAATGTCCCGACCTCAGGTGATCCACTTGCCTTAGCCTCCCAAAATGCTGGGATTACAGGCCTGAGCCACCATTTTAACTAAGGCACTGGGAGCTGCCCTCTGAGACCTTTTGAGTCCTGGAATTCTTTCTGAGACCTTAGGAAAAACTCGTGGGACATATCTTCATCATTCTCAATGTGTGACCCTGAGGATGTGTCCTGACCTCTGTACACTTCTGTGTGAAAGAGTAGATTGTGAATTGCAGTGAAAATTTCATATGTAAACTCTATAATAGGTCAGCACTGGAGGATATTCTCATTACCAAGATTACTGCAGTTACCTTTCCTGGAAACCAGAGAGGAATTCTGTGAGCCCTCACCTCTGAGTGCACAAGGAACCCTGGTCCTGTCTGACAGGTCTCACATGTGACATGGGGGAAAACAGATACATTCAAGTCCAGTGTTTTCACCCATATATTGACCAATCTAGCCTGATCTATCTGTCTCTGAAAAGCCTTTTCCTTCATTGAATGCATGAACATACCCTTGGGTATGGGGTATTGCAATGTGGGTATTTGGTATTTGTTTAGTGAATTATGTAATTAATAGGCTACCTCCATGAATGTGTGTAACAGTAGAGTTATCAGAAGTTGGATGAGTCATATTATCAGGACAAACCTGGACTCTCTTCTTGGGACCTGGACAAGTGGCCAATCTTCTGTGGTAAAGCAAAGGGGAAGAGACAGATCCAACATCCAGAAGCAGGGTAGCTCCTCACTTACCAGCTGGTGTCTGAGACTTTTGTTAGAATAGATGAAAAACGACCTACCTTCACCTTCAGGGAAATGATGAACTTCGTATGAAATTGAGGTTAATTTTCACTTACAGAGAAGAAAATGTCATAGCCATGTATATATCTATGTGGGTGTGTACGGGTTTCCAGGATGTGTTCATACACAGAAAGGAAGCAGCTATATTTGCTGGGAAGAGAACCGAAGAGCTTCTGAATTTGTAGGTGTTGTTAACCACAAATGTGTCATGTTACTACATCGTGTCATAGTGCTGGTGGTAAAACCTCCCAAAATTGTCATGGAGACAAATGCAAAGAAATAAAGATTCAAATCAGATGCCTTTGGTCTGTAATGAACAGACCAAGAAATCAACCATTATGGAAAGAGTGATAGTTAAATGTAGTAGTAAATTCCACGCTGAGGTGAGAGGGAAGTTCCATCTGACAGCTCACTTTCACCTCTGGGAAGACTTCAGAGCACAGACTAAGAGCAGAGAGTGAACTTAGGGCAAGTGCGGTCAGATGTTTGAGGAGGATGGAGAGAGAGCTGGAATCCTTGTGAGCCATTCGGAGAAGCAGCAGTGTGCCAGGGTGTATTGAGTCCTCCTGAGTTAACAGGTGCTGAACAGATACCAGTTTCACTGCCCTCATTTTGATTTATCCTCAAGAGTCTATTGGATTTCTAGATTTGAACACTGGAAAAGTTGATGAAACTCAACATGACTAGGAATATTTCCGGGAAGATTTATGTAATGATGTGAGCGTATTTAAAATTAGGTTATGAAAATTTCATTATCTAAAATGTTGGTATCAGTATCTATTGATTTGTTCTATTTTTCTTAGAGACAGGGTCTTGCTCTGTCTCTCAGGCTGGAATGCAGTGTCATCTATGAATTTTATAGTATTAAAAATGATCGGCCGGGCGCGGTGGCTCACGCCTGTAATCCCAGCACTTTGGGAGGCCGAGGCGGGCGGATCACGAGGTCAGGAGATCGAGACCATCCCGGCTAAAACGGCGAAACCCCGTCTCTACTAAAAATACAAAAAATTAGCCGGGCGTAGTGGCGGGAGCCTGTAGTCCCAGCTACTTGGGAGGCTGAGGCAGGAGAATGGCGTGAACCCGGGAGGCGGAGCTTGCAGTGAGCCGAGATCCCGCCACTGCACTCCAGCCTGGACGACAGAGCGAGACTCCGTCTCAAAAAAAAAAAAAAAAAAAAAAAAATGATCACCCTGATTAATGTTACCGTATTATCCCCTTGAGGGATTTTGCTCCATGTGTGCCTGTGACATAGTTCTAGTCACAGATGCAGGAGAAGTGGTCTGTTGAGGCAATTCTTCCTCCTCAGAGGAGAATATAAACTATCATCTCCTCACCTTGCTTATTCCATTTTCAGAATTGCACACGACCTTTGGGAATGCTGTCGCCATGTCTTACACGGTGGGAGTCGACTGTGGCATGAAGCTGGACTGGAGATGTGCAATTTTAGGAAAATACAGAACCTGGGCACACAAAGTTTTGAACTAATTGGGCCTGGAGCCACTCACATCCTGGCATCTTGTTGAATTGTTTGTCATTTTAAATTCTGGTTATTTAGTTCAAGTTTCCTTGATTCTCTTTCTGCTAAAATAGTCATTCATAATCATCTAAATAAATTAAATTGGAAAAAAATTACTAATTTGAAAATTAACCTCGTTTCTGCTGAGGTCAAAATTAGTTTGAGGTGCACAGAGTGATGGGCATGGACATAGCAGATTACCAAGATTTCACTCACAGCCTAGGTAATCACTACATTTTATCTAAATTAGGAAACACTTCTGTACATTCCTTATATTTATTAAACTCCTGTTGAGAAACTTCAACTGTTATATGTTGATGGATCCTGCCCAATAATAAAACTAAATGTTTTTAAACACGAATTCCTATTACAATGTTAGCTTTACTTTAGGACACATTTCTTCACCTCATTTCAAATTGGCCCAGATGCACTGATTAGAGCGTGTCAGTTAAGAAACGACCAGGAAATGAGATCACGTTTCTGGAGCAGGACATGGCTTTGGGATGCTTTGCAAACGAAGTGGTTTCTCATGTCTTCTTGAAAATCCATTGAAATGGGCAAGTTAAGGACCTCTTAGAAGCACTCTTCCATCCCATATACTTGACTAATAAAAAGGTGGAAGTCAGTGCGGAAAAATAGATAACATGAAAGCTAAAGTAAGATTTGTACCAGTTCATTGCGCCAAACATGTAATCTTAACCTAGAGTAGGATCTTATCTGAACCCTCAGGAGGTAAATTTCCTGAGAGATTCAAAGATGTCTTTATAAAATAACAACACTTAGCCCCCGATTTTATGTTAAAATAATGGAAAACTCCTGGTAATCTACTTCACTCAGTGTAAATCAGTTAAAAACAAAATTCTGGAAAACCTGTGAAGGTGGGACTTGCCGAGGAACTGAGCCTTGGGGGCCTTTGGACACTTTTAGTTGGATTTTCTTCAGCTTTGACTCTCCATGGAATTTGAACAAGTTTCGTTTACTGTCTGCTGTTTTTCTGAATGACTTGAAGTAATTACTTGACAAAAGCCTACAACCTTCTCAGTTGATAGACATATTTTATGTTTTCGACCTGTGACATGCCGATGTTTTCATCAGGTAACTGAAGCACACCCACTACAGGAAGCAACTGTTATAAAGTGATTCTGTAAGGTGTTTCCATTACTCAAATGCTAAACTGCTATTACCAGCAACAATATTCTGTAAATGTTGAAAAAAATGGCATTGCTACGTAGAATTAATCACAAATTTTAAAACTTTTTCATATATTATTTATTGTTTAAATTCATAAGCATGGAATGTTTATTTTTCCATTTATTTGTTTTATCTCTGATTTTTTTCACATGTGTTTTGCTGTTTTTCTAGTAGAGATATTTCATCTCATTGGCTTAACTCTATTCCTAGGTATTCCACTGTCTTGATGGCTATTGGGAGAGCATGTTCTTGATTCCACTCTCAGCCAGAACGTTGTTGGTGACTAGAAAGGTTACTGTGATTTTCGTACATTGATTTTATATCCTGAAACATTCCTAAACGAATGTATCAATACTAGGAGACTTTTGGCAGAGCCTTCAATATTTTCTACATATAGAATCATATTATCAGTGAAAACAGAGGGTTTGCATTCTTCTTTTTCTTTTATTTGGATGCCTTTTATTTCTTTCTCTTGCCTGATCTGGTGAATACTTCCAGTACTAGGCTGAATAGAAGTGGTGAGAGCGGGCATCCTTGTCTTGTTTCTGTTCTTAAGGAAAATGCTTCCAGTGTTTGCCCATTCAGTATGATGTTGGCCATGGGTTTGTCATAGACGGCTCATCAGATTGAGGTGTGCTCCTTCAATGTCTATAATTTTGAGGATTTTTATCATGAAGCGTTGTTAGATTCTATTGAAAGCTTTTTTCCTGCATCTGCTGGAATACTCACATGGTTTTTGCTTTTGATTCTGTTTAGTAGAGCATCACATTTATTGCTTTGCACAGGTTAAAGCACTTGTACAGTGCTGGATGGAATGTGAATTAGTCCAAGCACTGTGGAAAGCAGTTAAAGCAGCCTTGCATTTGCAGAATGAAGCCTACTTGATTGCAGTGTGTTAACTTTTTGATAAACTACTGGATTTGATTTCCTACGTTGAGAATTTTTAAGCCTATGATCATGAGAAGTATTTGTCTTGAATTTTCATCTCTTCTCAGGAGCAGACACAGGCACTGATCAGGAACTGGGGACCTGTGAAGGTGAGTAGCTGGTCAGGGTTTCTGAGGATGAGCGTCTGTGATGGGACCTGCCTGTCCCTTCTCTTATGGGATGTCTCTCCTGAGGATCCTGTACTGTCTTATTTGTGCAGGTCCACTCTGTGGGACTTGTCTTTATAAATCTCAAATCTCAGGAACAGGAGAGCTGTGCTCCAAAAGCCCCCATAGAGAAGACACATTCCCATCCTGCTGTGATTGAAACAGCTCCATCCTGGGCATGGGGAGGGCTCATGTGTCCCCCACACTGGGATGAACAGCAGCAGCCGCATGTGAGCTGAGGAGGACTCAAGGATGTTTCCCAGCACTTCCCCCAAGAAGGAAATTTGTGTGATTACCCCATATCCCGGCTGGCCCTGTGACTTGCTTCTTTCAAACTTCTTGGCCTGGAAAGTGCAGGCACCAGCTGTTACTGTCACTCCTGTTGTGACACTGTACACAGCACCAGGGCAGGAGCCTGGGGATGGGGCTGAGGAGAGACACTAGCTAGGTGAATCCATTGAAAACTTGGGGACCTGCTGGGGTTCCTACTCTGAGAAGCACAGATCCTAGAGGGTTTGGAGGAGGAGGAAGTCACCATCAGTGACTCAGGAGCTGCTGCTCTGCAGGTCACCTGATTGGCAGGTAGCAGTGGGCAGGTGAGTGTGCTTCATCCCTACAGGGACACGAGGCTTCGACCTGCCCCTCCTCACCAGGAAGGAAACTGGCTTTGTTCATCCCGGTTTCCCCAGCTGTCTGGTCATCCTCTCTTCCTGACCTCCTGCCCAGGGCCCTCAGGCCTGTGATGCATGGACAAAGTACCTGGAGGTACCAAAGGACCTGGAGGTTCCAGGAGGAAATAAAAACGAGTTTGGGGTCTATGAGCTCTCTCACCCTCACACTAGTTCAGACATGCCCTTTCTGTTTATTTAGTTCAGATTTACATATAACAAACCACACAGCCAGGCTCGTCTAAATTGCCACATGCTTGTTTAAACACATTGGAGCAGCATTAATCCTCACATTGATCTCAGAGAATCTTGGTTCCAGTTCACTGTTTACATTAGCTGAGAGCAGCATCAGGGACACACTGGAGTGGACATTTCTTCCCTAAAAAAGCCTCACTCCCAAATATACTAAAGAGCTGCCATGGAGCCATTGTGTGGTTGGATTTCTTCTTATCAGCCTGTCATGGAGGATATTTTGAATGATGTAGACTTTACACTTAGATGGTAATGACTCCCATTGTTGTTGAAATGGCTGGCAGCCCACAATCCTGTTTCTCCTCTCAACTCACCTGAATGTCTCCAAGAACCCCAGGAACCTCAGGACTCCCTTCATGGATGACTCTGAGGATTGTTAGTCTGCTCAGTGCTACACACAGAAGTAGCTAACAGAGGATTCTCAGTCCGCTGACATGTTGGGCTCATAACATAGGACACACATCCAAGAGTGGCCAATTCATGTCAATGCCAATGGAAATTTAATTGAAGAGGCATTATTTTTAGTGCATTGGAGTGTAAAATCTTCATGATTCATGGCAATAGAGCCACAGACTGAATGCTTTGCAGAAGAAGTGAGCTCATTGTTAGAAGAAAGAGGCCTGCCCCCAAGAAGTCAGTCTCTTTAACTAAAGCACCTGAAATATGGTGTCCTGAGACCTTGTGAAAATTCATTTCCTGGAGTAAAGAAAGGGGAAAGCTATTCTTAAATCATTGGAAGAAACCATATCAGAAATTTTATCAACACAGCAGTCAAATTCCAGTAAGTCAATGCTTGGGTTTATGTTTCACAACTCAGGAAGCAATAAAGAAATCTACATAATCGGAAGGCTACTCCAACAGAGGGAATTTTGACCTATTTAATTAATAGGCCAGTATTCACTCAAAGACACACTCCTGTGAGATCTCCAACTTAAACAGATCTCTGTAACCTGAAGAAGTTTTCTCAACAGATTCTTTTTTCTCTAGACACTCGCAAATGCAAAAATACATTTTGTATATTTGTGTATGAGTGATCTAGAGAAGTCCTTGCCTTGTTAATGAAAGTTCATGGAAATATGATAACTGCATCACTTACTGTGAACTCACACTTCACTTGTCTCAAAAATTTCTCACCCATGTGATGGAGCAATGGGTGCCTGTAAGAATATGCTGATTTTTGGACTCAATGTGTTCTCTTTGCTTGACTTATAGACGCATGTCTGACATCTGAGACACACCCTGGGGAGCTGTCTCCAGACACAATAATGTAATCTTCTTCATGAACACAACTCTGCATTCTCCACATACCTCAGCCACACCTGAGGGGAGAGCTGTTAGCTTCACCGTCCAAAAGCGCTTTATACCCTGGAGTCTGAAAAATAATTTGGATGTGATACCACCTTGTACTTGTAATATAGAGGGCAGAGGTCAGCCTCCCCCTGGACTTGAATGTGTTTTATTGTTGTATGTATTTTCTTGCAGACATGAATTACTTGCTTGACAAAAACTACAGCCATGCCAGTTCATAAAATTTTCCTTATTCTGATTTTCCCATCTGTGGCATTTGAATTTCAATACTGAGTGAGCGATGTGCATACCTCACAGGAGCAATTACAAAATAACTCTTTTTAGCTCCTTAGTGTTACTCAAATGCTGCACTGTCCTTACTGCCAAAAATCTTCTGGAAAGTTCTAAATAAAACTGAATCATATGTTGCATCGTTAAGTTAAAAGTCGCATAACATTCAGAAACACATGAGCTTTTTTGCCGAAGGTAAATCTGCTAAAACTTACAACACAGGGTCTGCTTTCTCAAGGACACAAACATTATCACCGTATGACTTGATTCATCAAAAGCCCATGTATTTTCAATTACATCTTCAATATTAGACTCTGATTCATTAAATGCAGATACAGCAAAGTATTTTAGGGGACTCATGTGCTATGCAGAAGCATTCAACAGGATGTTAAAGATGCCTTCCCACCAAATCTTCCTAATTATCTTTTTATTGTCATTAACTTGGAAATTCTTTATTTTAGAAGAGACATCAGAGAAAAGCAGCTTCAAACATTGTCAAAAGGCCTTATTATTTAACGTTATCAACAAACGCAGCAGTAATCCAGGATATCAGTTCATAGGTTTATGAAGTGAAAATGGGATGGGTTACAAAAGTTGTTTTGAGAGAACGATCCTGTAGTTGTAGAATCAATATCAAGGGTGGCATCAGTGTAAGGTTGAACTGGCAGTGTCTGGGATGATGTCCTTGCAAAAGTAATTCTTTATAAGATTGTGGTGTCTTCTTCCCAAGATTGTGGTTAAGCAGAGTCTATTTATGATAGTTCTTGTTATCAAGAATATGGGCTTAAGAACCCTCCTTCATGGTCATTCCTAGTTTCATTTGTCAGGGTGTTAACACAAGTGGCTCCATTTTGATTCTGACAACTTTCCCACTCTCTTTCTAACACTACAGGTGAGGAAGGTGAACCTGTGTTAGTTTGCACAACACAGGATAAATTCCACATCCACATCCCATTTTGACCACACAAGCTCATCCCCTTCACAACTATTGGTCACTTGCATTCCCAGGTGAGTCTCCACACAACACACTGGAGGGTTCTGAGCAACGGGAGAGAAGATAGTCCCGTCAGCCTCTCCCACGTGGCTGCAGGAGCCACAGTCTGAGCCCCACCTGAGCTGCAGGGAAAGGGCTTGAGCCCTGGAATTTTTACAGCAAGAACCACATCTCCACTTTACAGGGATCAGGAACAGCGAAAGGAAAATCAACAACAAACACAACTAACAAGAAATAGAATGGGCTACGAGCAAAAGGGGCCCCAGATCAGTGCTGATACAGATTTGCATACTTTAGTGTCAGGAGAAGGGTCAGACGTAAATCCTGTGAGGTTCTACCTGACACTGACCCTGGCCCAGCCTCTCTCTTGGCTGAGGTTAGAATTCCTAAATACTGCTTTCTTCAGGGAACCCCACTAAGGTCCCTGTCCTGAGTGTGACTGGAGAAGACTCACTGGGTTCCCCTCAGCTTCCACAGGGCTGTGACCCTGGTGACCACTGGCAGAGGGATTGTTCCGCATTTAGTGCCTGTGAGAAGGTTTCCTCCTGGTACAACAAAACTGTGGTATTTCAGAGACGTAGAGCTAGGCACAGCATCATGAAATAAGGGAGGGTCCCTGGAGGAAACATGTAGATGTAGAGGCAGCCCCACACCCTGGCAGTAAACCAGCCTCTCATCTCCACCCACACCTGCTCTGGGGCTGGCCCTGTGCTTCCTGCAACCTGCTCTTCCCCTGGTGGTCTTGAGTCCCCCTCACGGTCCTGAGTCTTGCTGGCGGTCCTCAGTGCCCTGAGAGCAAGTTTTGTGTCAGGGCTCACAAGGACACCTCCTCACTGAGTCTTTCACAGTAATACTCAGCCATGTCCTAGGCAGCCATGGAGCTGAGCCTCACAGAGAACTGGCTCTTGGTTGAGTCATTGTTGATGGAGATGCAGACCTGGGTAGAGGGTGCATGATGTGTATTCCTTGGTGATCTTGATGATGATCTTGGTGATCTTGGTGATCATGATGTGTATTCCTGGTAGCTGTGCCCCAGCCATTCTAATCTGTTGCCCAGGGGATGGTGGATTCAGCTCAAATAATATCCACCGGTAAAAAAAAAGAATCCAGACACAGCACAGGTGGAGGGCAGTGTCTGAGGGCCTCATGGGTCCTGGACCTGACTCCTGCAGCTGCACCTGGGACAGTACACCTGGAATAAGAGGGAACATCCTGGTGAGTCACACACAGAGCTCACTGTCCCCATCACCCCATTTCTTATTTCTAGAATTTCACACTGAAAAGCTGTCATCCATCAAAGACATGTAAAAAGTTGATCTAATTGAGAGAAAGATTAACGCCTTTCATGGGGAAATTGTGCTCAGGCTGATGACAGAGCAGTATCTAGGGAGGAGAGAGGCTGACAACACCCAGCATTGTTCTCCTAAACAGAGTTTGAGGAGAAGTGTGCATGTGCCAGGAGCCCCGCACATGTAAGGGGCAGGAACCATGGCGACCCTCTGTCTCGGAGCCTCTTCTCAGGGGTGATTTTCCTGCTCAGGCGTCAGATGACACGAAGTCATTCCTCCTCTGAAAGAGCATCCCTCTGCTGAGTGTTCAAGGCATCCATTCTCACCCCAAGGGCAGGAAGGCAGGTGACAGAAACAAGCAGGTTTGCTGGACAGAGAGGGAAGAATAGGAGTAGGAACTGGGGAAACACATGGTGCCCAGGACCTGTGGTCTACAGTCCTCCTGCTTCTTTCGGGTTCCCAGCTGGAGATGATACATTGTGAACTTTCCTGGCAGTCACGCTTCTGGAGGGAGGATTGGGGGAAATGCTGAGTAAGTTCTCCTCTTTGCTGAGCACAGCGTTTTCACTCTCTGTGGTATGTGGTTTAATCCCTTCCCGGTTGAGTCACCCCTGCTCATCCCTCCCTGTTGCTCCCCAGGTTTTGCTTCTTTGCTCACAGTCTTATCCTTTTCTAGATTTCTTTTCCTGGAGCCCCCATAGTAGCCTTGAGTGACAACATCACTCCAGTCCACAACATCTTATAAACTGTGATTAATTTCCTTTTGATTACCTATGAACACTTTATAAGAAAATAGATGGTATGGAGAAACATTGCTTTCCTGTTATACATAGAGCCCTGCTGCATTCTCAACAGGCCTGAGGAAACACACACACACACACACACACACACACACACACACACACACATAGATTCCCACATCCCCTTTCAATTTCCAACAGGAAAAGTCACAACTGTTTTGGAAGAATTGTTTGCATGGGGCATGGGAGCCACATGAGTCATCACCCCTCTCTGAGCATACAGGATCTCCATGTTCAAAGAGGAGAGAGACTCCAGGTGTGCAGGAGCCCAGTGTTTCAGGACCTGGGAACAGAATCATGGGAGACCAAGTACAGCAGGACTGACCAAGAGGACTAAAGCACTGATGGTAGACTTTGAGTGAGGAGAACAAGGTAAGGCCTGATCTTATGTCTTCTGCCCTTCATTCTGTTGACATGATGTGTCACATTGATTGATTTGCATAGGTTGAACCATCCTTGCATCCCTGGGATAAACTGCACTTGGTCATGATGAATGGTTCTTTTGTTATGTTATTGAATTTGGTTTGCTAAGATTTCCTTGAGGAGTTTTGCGTCCATATTCATCAGTGATATTGACCTATAGTTTTCTTTTTTTTTAGGTGTGTCTTTGTCTGGTTTTTGTATAAGGGTAATGCTGGCCTCGTACAGGAGATTTGGAAGAATTCCTCCCCTCTTTATCTGTTTTTGGAATATTTTGAGTGGGGTTAGGTATTATCTCTTCTTTAAATATTTGTCATAATTGAGCAATGAAGTCATCAAGTCCCGAGATTTTATTTGCTGGGAGACCTTTTATTACGGCTTCATTCTCACTACTTGTTACTGATCTGTTCAGGTTTTCAATTTCTTCCTCGTTCAATCAAAGTTGTATGTGTCTCTAAATCTATCCATTTCTTCCAGATATTTCAATTTATTGGCATTTAGTTGTTCCTGCTAGCCTCTAATGATTCTTTGATTTTCTGCACCATTGGTTGTAATATTTCCATTTTTCTCTCTGATTTCATTTACTTTGGTCTTCTTTCTTTTTTTCTTAGTCTGGTTAAAGGTTTGTAGATGTCTTTTATCTTTTTAAAAAACAGCTTTTCATTTGATCCATCTTTTGTATTGTTTTCTTTATTTCAATTTTATGTATTAACGTTTTGATCTTTCCTTTTTTTTTTTTTACTGTGTTTGGGTTTGATTTGCTCTTGCTTTTCTATTTTTTAAAAGACATTCCTAGGATGTTTATTTTATGGTTGTCTACTTTTTTAAAGTAAGTGCTTATAGCTATAAACTTTCCTCTTAATACTGCTTTCACTGTATTTCATAGGTTTTCATATGCTTTGTCTTCTTTATCATTTCTTTCAATAAATTTTAAAATTTTTTATGTCTTTATTAACCCATTTTGGAGCATGTGGTTCAATTTGGGAGCACATTGTTTAATTAGGGAGCATATTGTTTAATTTCCATGTGTTTGCATAGTTTTCCAAGATTCCTCTTATTAATTTAGTTTTCTTCCATTATGATCAGAGAAGGTACTTGATATCTTCTCAATTAAAAAATGACTAATTTTCTGGTCTACTATATGGTCTATCCTTGAGACTGATCCATATGTTTAGGAAAAGACTGTGCACTCTACAGCCATTGGATGAAGTGTTCTGTCAATATCCATTATGTCCATTTGGTCTGTCATGTACATTTAGTCTAAGATTTCATTGTTAATTTTCTGTCTGGAAGATCTGTCCAATGCTGAGGGTGGGGTGTTAAAGTCTCCAGCTTTTACTGTATTGGGTCTATCTCTCTGTTTAGCTCTAATAATGTTTGCTTGATATATCTGGGTACTCCACTGTTGGGTGCATATATATGTATGTTTATAACCCTACAAAGGGTGCAGCCACGTTGTCCCTGTCACTGCCTCAGCTCAGCACAGCTGCCTCCTCCCACAGGGTTTTTGACACTCTCAGGATGTGGGTTTCCACACTGTGTCTCTCGCACAGTAATACACGGCAGTGTCCTCAGCCTTTAGGCTGCAGATCTGCAGATATGCCGTGCTGACAGAGGTGTCCAAGGAGAAGACAAACCGTCCTGTGAAGCCCTGGGCATACGTTGGGTTCCCAGTGTTGGTGTTGATCCATCCCATCCACTCAAGCCCTTGTCCAGGGGCCTGTCGCACCCAATTCATAGCATAGCTAGTGAAGGTGTATCCAGAAGCCTTGCAGGAAACCTTCACTGAGGCCCCAGGCTTCTTCAACTCAGACCCAGATTGCACCAGCTGCACCTGGGAGTGGGCACCTGTGGAGAGGAGATGGGAGTGCATGAAGTCTCACTTGACTGTGCTGGTTTCTCCCTCAGCCCAGTGACTGGGGAGCCCCTTACCTGTTGCTGCTGCCACCAAGAAGAGGATCCTCCAGGTCCAGTCCATGGTGTGGAGCTGTGGTCTAGGGGCTTCTTCTTAGGAGGGGTGTGGTTGTTGGGTGATGCTCTCAGGGCCCAAAGATAGCTATATTTACCTCAGTTATTTGCATATTCATGAGTGATCCTATTTCATACCTGATATTGCATGAGAAAGAGCAGAGAGATGACACACGGAGGATGCTCAAGGTTCAAGCTGTAATCCCCTTAGAGGCCATGTGAGCCCTGCCATATCCCTAAGCTCTATGTTGACAGAGCTTCTCCCATTGGCTAACAATTTTCCCTAGAACAGGACTTCACTGGGAACCCACACTCAAATGGCTCAGAGGTAATATAAGCATTTCTAGGCTTTAATACATGAATGTATTATTTGGGGGATGAGTGTGTTTCTCCAAAAGTTTCACTTATTTATAGAAAAGAAAAGTAGTTTCCTTAACCTCCAGCTGCATACTATTAAGATATCTAGAAGGGTTAGAAATCTCCAGTGTAAAAGTGGTTCTCATTACAACATCAAGTTTGATAAATGCTCGCAATTGAATAGGATATTTATAGAATGTTCAGTTGTCAAATATGTATTTTAGATTTTTTAAAGAATGACACAGATCTCGAGAGGAATCCCTCCCCAGCCTCCTGTGCACCTGCTCTGGGGCTGAAACTTGTACTGGGTGGGCTTTGAGCGTCCCCTGCAGCCCAGCCCTTGCACTGCAGAGAGGCTCCTGTCTGGGCTCCCAGAGCATTTTCCCCCAAGTATGAAGTGGCTGTGTCCTGGCTCGGAATGCTCCTTTAGTGACACGTGACACCATGTACTGCTGACACCATCTCTTACAATAGTAAATTGGCCGTAGGAAAGCCAGTGAACTCTGCAGAAACACCCCAAGCAAGGATTCTATGAAACCACCAGGGAGCCCCTTCCCTGGAGCTCCGGAAGCACTGGATCAGTCCACACTCATAGTGAGTCCAGGAACTCCCAGGGACTTTGGGAAAACACCTAATCTCTTGTCAGTTCCTTTGGATGAACATCTCATCAGATAATTTCTAAACCTGCCCACTCCACAACTCCTAATCTACATACACACATACACACACACACACACAGTGCCTAGATTCCCCACAGTAATGGGAGGGAACTGTGCCTTACTCCCTGTGTCTAGCACATTGGTTGTGCACCCACAGTGCCCCTAGGCCTGGGGATATGCCCTTGTCAAGTAGAGCAACAGCAAACACCTTACACCTGGAGACGGGGCCCTGCACACACTGTTGCTTCCCTGTTCTCCCAGGACCTGGGATCCTGCAAATGCCTCTGAGAAGCATTCAGGCTCCCCCGGGAGAGTCAGACACAGCCCAGCCCCACCGAGTCGGTGCAGCCTGCACTGAGCCGCTGACCTGTGGGGAAAGTCACAGCAGACCCACAGCCCAGCCAGCCCCACTCCCAGAGGCACATCAAGGAAGGGGGCAGAACCCTGGGGACTGTTGATGGGGATCTTCTCAGGAGCAGACACAGGCACTGATCAGGAACAGGGGACCTGGGAAGGTCAGTAGCTGGTCAGGGTTTCTGAGGACCAGCGTCAGTGATGGGACCTGCCTGTCCCTTCTCATATGGGATGTCTCTCCTGGGGATCCTGTACTGTCTTATTTGTGCAAGTCCACTCTGTGGGACTTGTCTTTATAAATCTCAAATCTCAGGAACAGGAGAGCTGTGCTCCGAAAGCCCCCATAGAGAAGACACATTCCCATCCTGCTGTGATTGAAACAGCTCCATCCTGGGCATGGGGAGGGCTCATGTGTCCCCACACTGGGATGAACAGCAGCAGCCGCATGTGAGCTGAGGAGGACTCAAGGATGTTTCCCAGCACTTCCCCCAAGAAGGAAATTTGTGTGATTACCCCATATCCCGGCTGGCCCTGTGACTTGCTTCTTTCAAACTTCTTGGCCTGGAAAGTGCAGGCACCAGCTGTTACTGTCACCCCTGTTGTGACAGTGTACACAGCACCAGGGCAGCAGCCTGGGGATGGGGCTGAGGAGAGACACTAGCTAGGTGAATCCATTGAAAACTTGGGGACCTGCGGGGGTTCCCACTCTGAGAAGCACAGATCCTAGAGGGTTTGGAGGAGGAGGAAGTCACCATCAGTGACTCAGGAGCTGCTGCTCTGAAGGTCACCTGATTTGCAGGTAGCAGTGGGCAGGTGAGTGTGCTTCATCCCTACAGGGACACGAGGCTTCGACCTGTCCCTCCTCACCAGGAAGGAAACTGGCTTTGTTCATCCCAGTTTCCCCAGCTGTCTGGTCATCCTCTCTTCCTGACCTCCTGCCCAGGGCCCTCAGGCCTGTGATGCATGGACAGAGGCACTTTCTACTCCGGTCGTTGATTCCCCAAGCCAGCTCCCTCTAGAAAATGCATGATGTCTTCCTGGTTCTCTGTCCCTGGCTGAACCAGAGAGGACACACATGGATATACCAAAGTGTCAAAGTGGAGGAGAGGAATCTTGGAAAGCAGTCTGGAGAGAGGGTGCGAAGAACAGGAAACACTTGTACAGTGTTGGGTGGAATGTGAATTAGTCCAAGCACTGTGGAAAGCAGTCTGGAGCGAGGCTGCAGAGAACAGGAAACACTTGTACAGTGTTGGGTGGAATGTGAATTAGTCCAAGCACTGTGGAAAGCAGTCTGGAGATTTGAAAAGTATTTGAAGCAGAGCTGCCACTTGGCCCGGCCATCTCATATGTGGGTATATGCACAAAAGAAAATAAATCAGTCTACCAAAAAATACACCCACTTACATGTTCATTGCTATGCTACTCTTAATACCTAAGACATAAATCCAACCTATGTGTCCTTTCATGGTGAATTTGATCAAGAAAATATGGTACATGTATACCATGGAACACTATGCATTCACAGAAAAAGAATAAAATCATGTCTTTTGTGGCAACATGGATGCAGCTGGAAGTCAACATTCTAAGCAAGCTGATGAAGAACGAGATGATGAGAGTCAACGGGAGATGAAGCTGACATTTTGGGTTTGCCTGTGTGTAAAACGGAGAAAAGAAATCACCTGGGCACATAGACTCTTAAAATAGCCAAGTCTGGAGCCACTCATATCCCAGTTTCCATTTCATTAGGTTTTAATCTTCGTCATTTTTAGTGAGTTAAATTTGGTTTTCTTTACTCTTGGCTAAAATAACCACACGTCCTGAATTAGAGGCATTGCAATCAAAAGGTCATATTTGAAGCTTACAAGTCCCAAGTCAGGTCAAAGTTAGTGTGAGATTCAGTGTGATAGATAGGAGACATGGCTGGATACTAAGAATGGGCTCAGGGTTATTTTACCTAAATTAGGAAAATTTGTTCACATCCCTTATGTTAGATTTCATTGGAAACCTTTGTTCTAATACCATCTCTGATAGATTATACCTCAATAATTAAGCTGGAGGTTATGAATTAGTAATTTAAATTAATAGTGGAAGCCTCCATCTAGAATATATTTCTCTACCAAGTGTAAAGTTAGCTCAGACGGCAGAAATAACTGCACTCAGCAGAGCTTGTCAGTAAGGCAAAGACATACACAAACACATTTATTGCAAGGGTAGTACATGACTTGGAAGTGATCCACACACAAAAGGATTCTCGCATTGTCTAGAACACGTCAAAATGGACAAGGGAAGGGATTGTAAATGCACTCCTAAGTCCTGGAGACCTGACTAACATAACATAGGAAGAAAAGGCAAAGAAAAAAGTAGCATAATAACTAAAATACATCTGTAACTCTATCTATCTATGTATTTATGTTTGCAACTATATCTCTATCGAGGTACGTATGTATGTATGTATGTATGTAGCCATCTATCATCTATCTATTTAAAGCAAGCAGCCCTAAAATTGTTTGTAATACTATCTAAAAATGGAAGGAACTACAATCACTCATATAACACAGAATAATACTGTCTACAGCTTTCTGGAAATGTTGAAAAAATTGTAACCCTTAAATTAAAATCTTCAAAACTTTAAGAAAATCTCGGCTGGGTGTGGTGGCTCACGCTGTAATACCAGCACTTCGGGAGGCCAAGGCAGGAGGACCACTTGAGGTCAGGAGTGCGAGATCATCCTGGCCAGCATGGCAAAACCCCGTCTCTACTAAAAATATGAAAAACTTAGCTGGGTGTGGTGGCACATGCCTGTAATATCAGCTTTTGGGAGGCCGAGACAGGAATCGCTTGAATCAGGGAGACAGAGGTCACAGTGAGTCGAGATCGCACCACCGCACTCTAGCCTGGGCAACAGAGTGAGACTCTGTCTCAAACAACAACAACAAAAAAAAAAAAAAAAAGGAAAAGGAAAAGAAAATCTTGGACTTCCTTGGCCAAAGTTTCTCCCCGTGGTGTTACGGTATTATAGTCAGCTCCTCCAGAGTATGTCCGTTATTACACTATTATTTGGTGGCTGAAAGATCGTACCTTTAGAGACTTTACACTCAGTGCTCACCGCTGTCTTATTGCACGCATGCATGTGTTACAAAATATTGAAAGTGATTTCTGTATTATACCAACTCCATTCACCAACAGATTAAGGCTACTTTGGTACTTCATCTTTTCAACAGTCTCTCATGTGTCTATTGCAAATAAAGTCATGAGAAAATACTGCTCTTGAACCTCATTTCAAGGACTCTTGCCAAGTACTTTTAGCCAAAACAAAGGAGTGACTTTTAGAATGTCAATACTTAGGTCCATATTTATAAACTTTAAACTAAAAGTAAAATTGCAGTCACCCCATGAGATTGAGTGGTTCCCCCTCTTGGCCAAGGAGGCACCAAAAACACCTAAAAACTGAGTTCCCAGCTGGGCAGAACAAGAGATCAGACACACCTCATTATACCCACTCCCTTTTGTGGTTCAGAGACAACATGGACCAACACTAACATTAAAATGGAGATCATAAGACTGACAGAACAGATTCTCTGGGGCAATAAGATGCCCCGTTATAAACAAGACCTAAGGCCATGCCAGGCAGGGGTTACATCCCTCACCCCAACTCTTAAAGAATATAAACTGTTATTTTCTTCTGTAGCAGCAAAATAAGCACTGATCCTGAGATAAGCACGATTTAACCAACTGCAGCTCATCCTCTGACTAACTGACCCCCCATTCCACAGCCATAACCCCAGCTTGGATGGGACACCAGATTGATTTCAGGAATTTTCTCCTGATCAGAGACCACTGACCAAGGCCTGGTTCTGGCCATTTATGGAGGCTGCGCTCTGAGGGTCTTTGTGCCCCTGCTCCAGCTTTTGGCACTTAGGGCCTAACTGTAACACATTTAAATGCTAAGTCCCCACTGCTAAGTGGGTCACATGTGACGTGTATGTTTGCTCCCATATTCATGTGTCATGACCACCTTTATGAACACGCATAGCCCCTCCTGTAATCCGTTGATTATGTCTGTTTAGCCAACACGTTCAGCATAAAGTTTCTGCCCCACCGCTCCTCCTTGGGAGTGCCTGTCTCTCGTCTTCACCAATGGCTGTGCTTCCCAGCCTGTGAAATGGCTGTAATCTTTTATAAAAAGTAAAGGCTTATTTTTTAAAATTTGTAGATTGTGTGATTTTTCATGTAATGCAACCGAGGAATTAATTCATAAACCCACCCAGTTGTAAGGCTGCTCAAGTACGAAGGGGAGACCTGCCCCTCCACACCTGTGGGTATTCCTCGTCAGGTGGGATGAGAGACTGAGAAAAGAAATAAGACACAGAAACAAAGTATAGAGAAACAACAGTGGGCCCAGGGAACCGGCACTCAGCATACCAAGGACCTGCACTGGCACCGGCCTCTGAGGTCCCTCAGTTTTTATTGATTATTATTTTCATTATTTCAGCAAAAAGGAATGTAGTAGGAGAGTAGGGTGATAGTGGGGAGAAGGTCAGCAAAAAACATGTGAGCAAAAGAATCTATGTCGTAATTAAGTTCAAGGGAAGGTACTATGCCTGGACATGCATGTAGGCCAGATTTATGTTTCTCTCCGCCCAAACATCTCAGCGGCATAAAGAATAACAAGGCAGCATTACTGCAAATATGTCTCGCCTCCCACCATAAGGCGGTTTTTCTCCTATCTCAAAATTGAACAAAAGTGCAATCGGGTTTTATACCAAGACATTCAGTTCCCAGGGGCAGGCAGAAGACAGTGGCCTTCCTCTAACTCAACTGCAAGAGGCTTTCCTCTTTTACTAACCCTCCTCAGCACAGACCCTTTACGGGAGTCAGGCTGGGGGACGGTCAGGTCTTTCTCATCCCACGAGGCCATATCTCAGACTATCACATGGGAAGAAACCTTGGACAATACCCCGCCTTCAAGGGCAGAGGTCCCTGCGGCTTTCCACAGTGCACTGTGCCCCTGGTTTATTGAGAGTAGACAATGCGGATGACCTTTATCAAGTATACTGCTTGTAAACATTTTGTTAACAAGGCACGTCCTGCACAGCCCTAGATCCCTTAAACCTTGATTTTATACAACACATGTTTTTGTGAGCTCCAGGTTGGCTCAAAGTGGCTGGGTCAAAATGGCTGGGGCAAAGCTACAAATTAACAACATCTCAGCAAAGCAATTGTTTAAAGTACAGGTCTTTTTCAAAATGGAGTCTCTTATGTCTTCCCTTTCTATATAGACACAGTGACAGTCTGATTTCTCTTTCTTTTCCCTAGTGAAGGACACCAAGCTGAGCATTCCCATGTATCCTGTAAGGCCTGAGATATATTGAAGAAGGACTTGACCCGAGACCCTCAGAGCAAGCTGATGATCTCACAGAGTGAAGAGCTTCCACCCAGGACATTGGTCCAAGATCCCTGTTCAATTTGTTCTTCTCTTTCTTTTTGTTATGTGCTTACACTTAAAAAAACTCTATTTTCTGCAGACCTATTTGCTGTCCACCCAGAGTGAACACTTACCTCATTTTTCACTCATTTGCTTAAGTTGCTAAGTAGAATAAGTCATCAGACTCTATTTTGATGCCTCATTACTGATGACAGGATTAATCCTTTTCCTTCACTTTTGTCCCCCACACATGGGAAATTTAGTAGAAAATCATGGAAGTGTCCTCACTGGATGCCAGTATTAGGTTCAAATTATACAAGCTCCTTCCCCTTAGTAGGAAGCCCCACCATTCCTTCAACACCAAACCATCATAAAAACCCTGAGGCAGCTTCTTTCCTGCTCTATTGAGCCAGTTTGGACTTTATTGAGAGGCCTGTGCAGCCCTCAGCAGACGCCTCAATAATGGAGTTGGTAAATCTTTCCATATTCACGTGGTGTGTGAATGTGGCACCATCAGACTCGACATCCACACTAAACATTGGTGAGGGTATCTTTTCCTTTGCATGGGGTCACCTGCAATTGGAGCTGTGAGCTTGGGTCCTGACAGTGACCACCGCGGGCACTTTCTTCTCTTGCACTGGATACTAACTCCTTCCGCCCCAGTGTCTGGCATGCACCGTATCCTGCCTGCTGCTTGCTGGCCCTTTCAGTGCTGTCATGCTGGGCTGCAGTGTTGAGTTAAACAAAGTGTCTTTTATAGATTTAGCTGATTTACTTCAGAAGCATTGATAATTGACATTTAAAGACAAGATTAAGCGACTGTAGGAAACTGTCTTTTACACATGTGAGAAGATTTTTCTTTTATTAAAACAAACATTTTCATTTCAGAGACTTTGGAGATAAGCAAAAAATCATGAATTCAGATAAATTCCTCAAGGGAAGATGTTTTATGGAGAAGAAGCCACAGTGCTGACGGGAAAGAAGAGCTCAGCCTCCATCTGCACCTGCCCCTGAGGCTGGCTCTTGTGATCAGCGTGTCCTGAGCACCCCTGGGGTTAGAATCCTGTGCTCACTTCAGTGAGGTTTGTGTCTGGACTCAAACTCACTTTCCCTCTATTTTTTCCTCCAAATTAGAGAAATTGTAAGTCATGGATCAGTGCAGGTCAGAGAACACCAAATAGCAGGATAAGCCCTTAACACACACACACACGACACACACATACCCACACACACACAAACACTCTTAGGTGAATCATATTCAAATTACTAAAACATACAGACAAATGGAAATACATGCCAGCAATTGGAGACGAGTAGAGGGGGCATACCTTGCAATAGAATAGAAATGAATAATATCAGCATTGCTTTGGTTATAACCATATAAGCAATAGGACAATTGATGGTATCTGTAAAGTGTTGGGAAAAAAGTCAACCCATTATTTTATAACCAGTGAAGGAAACAGTTCCACATCTCACATGACGGTACAAGGAGCTCGATATATCCATGCCTCCATGAAACTGGTGAGATTAATTTTGAAAAATTAACGGGTCTGGAAAGGCCCTGTCAACATACAGAAAGTGAAGGAACATTTATTCGAGATAATCTACAAAACCTCAGTAAGGTCAGACATGATATTGATATTTGATCAAAGATTCTCTTCCTTCCTTCTATGCCCGAGCTCAGCATGATGTAAATTCCACCACAGATGGCTGCAGCCAAGTAGACAGGATTCCTTCTGCCCAGCTCCCAGCAGAGCACACTCTTCCCCAGGGGCCAGGACATTGGCCCTCCGACCTTGCCCACAGGTCATGCTGCTGAGGCTCAGTTCTAGACAAGACTTACTGAGAACCAGAGACTCACTTCTTCCACACAGCCCCACTCATGGATGCAGGCTCTGCCCTGAGTGCAGCACCAAGGAGGAGGACATTGGCTGCCTGGTTCCCAGCCCTGCTCCTATGGCAGAGGGTCCACCCCAGCAGGATCTGCATGCTGGTAAAGTGGAAAGCTCCTCCCCATCCCTCCACTGAGCACTCATCTCCTACATTGAGGAAGAAAAACGCTCTTAATCTCCACCTGCAGAATCTTATTTAGGAGCTCTGTCTCAGGAGTGGGGGTGAGGCTGAAATTTGGTCATAAAATAGAGTCCCGAATCTGGTCTCGAAGGACCTGACTTCATTTACAACAGAGTGTGGAGAATTACAAAAACAGTGGAGGCTGTGGTAAAATGCACTTGGGAGGAGATGGGTAGATGCATGAGAGGTCCAGGCTAAACTGCAGGGCTGCTGGCCTGCAGGAGAGAACCAAGAAGAAAGAGAGCGGGAAGAGTTCTCCTGGGGTCGGTACAAATGTCAGGCACTGTTTGTTCAAAGGCGCCCATGTTTGTTTGGTTCAGTCTGTAGAGCAACTTAGCCCTCAGTGCATTGTTGAAAATATAAACTTCCAACTGCAGGTAGTGGAGCTCAACATCTGGTCCTGGTCAGGGAAGAGCCAGAGAGAGCCCAGCCCAAGCCAGTGACATGTGAGGGTGACAGTGAAATCCATGACTGTGTCTCTGGGGATCTTTCAGGCAGGCCTTCTGTCACTCAGAAGAAAGTCTGGAGTTCACCTGTAATGGTTTGTGTCAAATTTTCAAAGATGTTCATGTTGTTTTTAGTTTCTAACACACACACACACACACCACACACACACACACACAATGTTAAACATCTGAATACGTGTGTGTGTGAACACATGATTTTAATCCTTTGTAGGACATACTCAGGGATGAGAGTTCTAGGTCATGGATTAAGGACATGTTTAATTTTATAAGAAACTGTAAACAGTTCTCCCAGAAACTCTTTCATTTTGCACTAGCAATATTTTAGTCTCTCGGGGCCTGGCATGCTCACTGACACTGGTACTGTCAGTATTTCTTCTTTATTTTTCCTCATTCTAAAGCCTAAAGTCGTGTCTCCTTTTGGTCTTGATTTGAATTTCTCTACTGGAAAATTACATTCATATGCTGATGTGTCATCTGTACATCTTCTTTGATAGAAAGTTTGCACAAACCTTTGCCTATTTTATAAACAGATTGCTTCTTTTTACTGTTGAGTTTTGAGGGTTCTTATTATAATTACATTGTTAGATGTATGATTTGCAAATACTTTCTCCCCTGAAGCTTGTCCTTCAGTTTCTTGATAGTCGGTTGAATAGAAAATGTTTTAAAATTTGATGAAGTTCAACTAAAATTATTTTCATTTATTGATCACACGTTTTAATTTTCAGGATTGTTGATCAACTGTTAATAATTTCACATTTCAATTGTATTTGTTTTTATTTTATACGTATACATTTACGGGGAGTGACTGCAATTTTGTTACATATATATATTGCATAGTCGTCTTGGCTTTAATGTATCCATGATCCAAATAATGTACATCATACCCTTTAAGTAATTTCTCACCATTCTCCCAACTTCTGCTCTCCCATGTTTCTGAGTCTGCAATGTCCATCATTCCTTTCTCTATGGCCCTGTGCACATATTACTTAGCTCCCATTTATAAGTGAAAAAGTGTGGTGTGTGCTGTTCTACTTCTCGTTTATTAGACTTAAAATAATGACCCAGAGTTCCATCCATGTAGCTGCAAAATACATGATTCCATTCCTTAATATGGCTGGATAGTATTTAATTGTATATATATGTGACTTTTTAAATAAAATTATCTGTTGTAAGACACAGGTTAATTCCTTAGGTTGATATCTATGCTACTGTGAATAGTTCTGCAGGAAAACAAAAGTTTGGTTATCATTCTGATATGATGATTTATTTTTCCTTTGGGTAGTTACCCAATGGTGGGGTCATTGAATCAAAGGTAGTTCTGCTTTTATTTCTTTGAAAAATCTCCACATTGTTTTCCATAGAGGCTGTGCTCATCTACATCCTCACCAACAATGACTGAGACTTCCCTTTGCCTTTGATCGCCACCGATGTCTGCTATTTTTGCTTCTTTTATAGTAGCCATTCTGACTGGTGTAAGATACCTCTTTGCAGTTTTAATTTGCATATCCCTGATAATCAGTGATGTTTAGCACTTGTCCAGTTATATGTGTTCTTTAAAAAAATTCCTACTCGTGTCCTTTGCCAATTTTTAATGAGGTTATTTGTTTTTTCATAGCTGTTGTTGTGGTGGGGTTGTTTCAGTTCCGTGTAAATTCTGCCTATCAGTCCCCTGCCAGATGCAATGTGTGCAAATATTTTTTAGCATTCTGCAATTTGTCTGTTCACTCTGTTGCTGTGTGGAAGCTCTTTAGTTTAACTAAATTCCATTCATCTATTTTTGATGTTATTGCTTGTGCTTTTGAGGTTTTTGTGGTAAATTATTTACTAAGCCCAATGTCCAGAGGAGTTCTCCTGGTGTTTTCTTCGAGTACATTTATATTTTGAAGTCCTATAATCAAGCCTTCAGTCCATTTTCTTATGGTTATGTATATGTCGACAGGTTGGTGTCCAGTTTCATTCTTCTGCATATGGCAGTCCAATTGTCCCAGCAACATGGCATGAAGAGCGTGGCCTCTTCCCCGTGCATATTTTTGTTGACTTTGTCAAAGATCACTTGACCATAGATTGTGTGGCTCAGTTCTGGGTTTTGTACAACGTACCTGAGAGCCTTGATTCTCCGGGGATTTCAGCACTGACCTGCTCACTGCTGGAACTCTGTTAGCTCAGTACCTTTTGAGTGTAGTGACTTGTTGCCATGGGATGGTTTTCCTAAAATTGTAGACAGTTATGTTTCATGTTGAAACGTGAGCTAGGATTTTCATAAGAAAGGTATTGTTGAATTTTCCATTTCTTTTCCACATTGCTCCTCAGACTCACTGACGTGGGTTTCTGATGTCAAGTTGAGGCACTCCCTTTCTAAGAGCTGGATTTTTAATTACATGGGTATTTATGGGCTCCCTGTGTGGAAATAAGCCTTGTCTATCACACCTACCCTACGACATTTTTAGAAATTTATTTCTGCACTGTTACTGTGAGACACTCCGTGATGGGGACACATTCCATCTGTTTTATTGTTTTATAAAATTATTTTATTAACGCACCTTTCTCTCTACGAGAAAAGCTATTATCTGAATTTTCACAATTCCTCCTGCTCCCTTATCCCCACATTTTTCTCCAGTGTCATTTCCTGCAGTTTAATAAAGGCATATGTTCTGCTGTTTTGTATTCGGCCGCTTGGAGTAGTATGAGCCCATTAAACTGGCGGCCACATACCAGTGATGCATCTGGCCCAGGTAACATGAACATTTCATGCTGAATGTTTGACAAACAGGACTCAGCTTCTGCTTCTATGAACTATTAACAGGAGTCATGCCATTTATTATTAAAGAAGAAGGAGGAAGACAGGGCTCTGAGTCTAATGGGGATGGGAAATGCAGGCCCTGGCAGGAAAACGTATCTCAGCTGCACTTTCCTGTTCTGCAGAGGTGGGGAGGGAGCACCAATGAGAAGCAGCCTGGGTTTTTGTACAGGAGGTGCCCTGGGCTGTGTCTTTGTGGTCTGTGTGCACAGTAATATGTGGCTGTGTCCACAGGGTCCATGTTGGTCATTGTAAGGACCACCTGGTTTTTGGAGGTGTCCTTGGTGATGGTGAGCCTGCTCTTCAGAGATGGGCTGTAGCGCTTATCATCATCCCAATAAATGAGTGCAAGCCACTCCAGGGCCTTTCCTGGGGGCTGACGGATCCAGCCCACACCCACTCCACTAGTGCTGAGTGAGAACCCAGAGAAGGTGCAGGTCAGCGTGAGGGTCTGTGTGGGTTTCACCAGCGTAGGACCAGACTCCTTCAAGGTGATCTGGGACAAGACCCCTGTGGAGAAAGCATAAGAAGATGAAGCCCACAAACAAGAAAACTGATGTTTCACCCGTGAAGGAGTCCCTGACCACAGCACTCACATGAAGGGATGGTCAGCAGCAGGAGCGTGGAGCAAAGTGTGTCCATGGTGGGGCACAGGAGTCACTGAGCTGGGACCTGTGCTCGGCTTTTTCAACCCAGAGGAGGGTGGAGCTGGTGGAGATTTGCATTCCCCTCATCTGTGCCCTACTCTATGGGATGGAGTCAGGTTTCAGGACTCAGGAGGGTGTTGCATCTGTGGTGAGGAGCAGTGATAGTAACATGATCAGTGTAATTCAGATGGCATTAATCTAAGGCTGGGCAAGTAGATTCTGAGTAGAAGTCTTTGCAGAAGTCATGATTATGAGGTCATGTTGGTCTTTTTGCAAGAACTATTTTATGATAGTTCTTGTTGTCAGGGATATGTGTGTAAGAATTCTCCCTACACTTCCTGAATCCATTTGTCAGGGTTTTAACATATGTGACTCCATTTTGATTCTTACAAATTTCACAATCTCATCCTAAAAGCACTGGTGGAGAAGGACAGTTTATGTAGCAGCCAATTAACTCTACATCCACCTCCCATTTTAACCAGACAAACATATTTCTTTCACTACAAATGGCCACTTGCATTTCCAGAGAAGCCTATACACAATACAGTGGATGGTCCTGAGCAAGGAGAGTGAAGAAAGTCCCTTCAGCCTCTTCCACATGGCTGCAGTAGCCACAGCCTGAGCCCCAGCTGAGCTACAGGGAAAGGGCTTCAGCCCTTGAATTGAGGTCACGGAGACCACATTTACCTTTTCCAGGGAGCAGGAAAATCCAAAGGAAAAGTGAGAACGACAACTAAAAATAAAATAAATTAGAATCAAAAGAAGCACCAGATCAGTGTTATTAATTTGCATAATTTAGTGTCAGGAGAAGGGTCAGACAAAAAACTTGTGAGGGTCCCCATATTCTATATGACACTGACCATGGTCTACCATCTTTAGGCTGTTATCACCATCCTTAATGACTACTCTAAGGGAGACCCACTAAGGTCTCTGTTCTGAGTGTGATTGGAGAAGACTCAACAGGTCCCAGTGAGCTTCTACATGTCTCCAATTTTGGTGACTATGGTTGAGGGCTTTTCATCTCTGTGTCAATTTGTGTTTTGTCCATGTGAGAGTATGTCCTCAAAACACAATATTTTAAAAAAATATTTGGAGATGTCATTGGTAGGCACAGAATTCTAAAATTACAGAAGTTCCTTGGAGAAACTGTCAGACGGAGTTTTTTTCTTCTTTTTTCAATGCTTGCAGGAAAGCAGTCCTAACCTTTGCACTCCCCTCTGTGGTTGACTGATCAGTGGGTCCTGAGCACCCCCTGCAGCTCATTAGCCCAGGTGTTCCTGGAGGTTTGTGTCTCACACCGGCCTTTCCTCATGTGCTTCTCTTGCACAGTAATGTAGTGACGTGTCCTTGGTTTGCAGATTGCCCATTTGCAGAAACAGCATCTTCTTGACATTGTCTCTTGAGATGATAAATCAAAGACAAATAAATACTCTGTCGGACAAACAAATCCTGAGAAAATCTATTCCCAGCATATTAATCTTGCCATAGACGTTTTAGCAGAGTTTCTAGATGAGCAGCCATATGATATACATCCAATACCTGAATGTATCCAAAAGATAAAGATTGTCAACAATGAAAAAAATGAGGTTTAAATTTAGTTTTTGCATTTGTGTTTTCTTTATTACATAAATGTGTAAAGCAATTATAAAAATGTCAATATTACATTTTTATAGCTTATGTAATTACAAACTGATAAAATAAAAAAGGGATAGAAAAGAGGAATTAGACATATATAGTTATAATATCTCTGTTCTATATATAAAGGGGTAGGCTGGGCACGGTGGCTCATGCCTGTAATCCCAGTACTTTGGGAGGCCAGGTCAGGCAGATCACAAGGTCAGAAGATAGAGACCATCCTGGCTAACACGGTGAAAGCCTGTCTCTACTAAAGATACAAAAAATTATCCGGGCATGGTGGCAGGTGCCTGTAGTCCCAGCTACTTGGGAGGCTGAGGCAGGAGAATGGCGAGAACCCAGGAGGCAGAGCTTACAGTGATCTGAGATTGTGCCACTGCACTCCAGCCTGGGCGACAGAGTGAGACTCCGTCTCAAAAAAATAAAAAAGAAAAAGAAGTACTACATTTTTGAATTAGAATTCAATTATAGAAATGTCTTATTGTTATCCTTATGGTAACCAATAAGATATTCATCAATAATAATTAAATAATAAATTAATAGAAACAATACATATTATTGTAAAAAGACAAAACAACCATTATTGGACAAAAGGGTAATATCATTAAAAAATAATTCCTCATAGTTGACTAAAAAAAAAAAAGACCCAGCAATTATCTTTCTCCAAGAAAACTTCTTAACATATTCACAAAGAGAAGAAATAAGATGGAAAAATATAGACCATGAAAATATAAACCAAAGAAAACTTGAATAGCTATGTTAATTTCAGACAAAATAATCATAAAAAGAATACCTTTGCAACTCAAGTGAAATATTGCATAAAATAATAGGATCAACTTTTCCAAAATCCATTTTAAAAGACCTAATAAATGGATTTGGAACAGAAAATAGACTAACATGTATAGAACATGGAGAAATCAACACTCATTGTGATTGAGAAAACAAGCAATGATTAAATAGGTAAAGATATAAGAGTCCCAAATGGCACTATCAACCTACTTGATAAATTTTTATCTATAAAATATTCAACTAGAAAACTTCAGAAATACAAACTGTCATTTACCAGAAGAGAATAAAGGAACAAGACAACTGAATTCAAACTGATGGCCTTGATGGAATCTGGAAACAAACAAATATACGAAAGCAACAGCAAAGAGAGATTCTGTCCCAAAAAAAAGAAAAGAAGATATCCACTAAAAGGGACAAACTATGAAATATTTAAAATGGCTCATTCTGAGATATATATGAGTTACCAAGGCCCATGACACGACCCCAGGAATTCCTGAGAACACATGTCCAAAATGGCTTGATTACAGCTTGATTTTATATACTTTAGTGGGTCAGAAGTTACAGGCAGATATTAATCAACACATGTGAGCTATACCATTTATGCAGTCTAGAAAGGCAGGAAAGTTTATGCACAGGGTTCCAGGACATAGGAGAATTCAAAGATTTTCTGATTGGCAATTGGTTGAAATGTAAGGTAATACAATCATTACAACTGAGTGTCTGGATTAAGATAAGGGGTCCTGGAGATCATAGTTCTTATTATGTAGATGAAGCCTCCAGGTAGCAGATTTCATACAGAATAAATCATTAGGTTTTGCTATTTGTCATGTGATGCTATACTAGAATCAAGTTGTAATTTGATGTCTTTTTGCTATAGAAAGTGTTTACAGCAAAAATATAGTTTTGCCCGTCTTAAGATCTTTGTTGTAGTACTAATGCTGGCCACTGGTGCCTTAATTCCAAAGAGAGGAGCATGTAATGAGGCATGTCTGACCTCTCACTTTCCCATCATTGCTGGAACAAGTTTTAGAATTTACTTTGAAATTCCCTTGGCTGAGGGTTGAGTTCATTTAGTTGCTTGAGGAAGCTTAGAATTTTATTTTTCATTTACAATAGAAATTATTGGAAAAATGATAAATAAAATAAGGTCTGGTATTGAATATATTTACACTTATCAATGTAAATGTGTTAACACCATGTCTTATGATGATAGAGGATATTCATCTTAGGAGATACTTGGAGATGGGAACACACTGTATTAACTTTATAATTTTTTTATCTATAATTATTCTGAATCAAAAGTATATAAATGTAAAAAGACTATCATAAAAATACAAGTCACAACTGATAAAATAAGTTTCTGAAAATTATACAATTTCAATTACATTTATGAACATGTATTCTGGAAGAAAATATTGAAATTACCATCAAAAAATGACCAATGTTTATTTGTATAAAAAACATTTGAAGCACCAAATACTAAAATCAAGCAAAGAGAGTGCTATTTATATAGTTATTTTATTTTCTATAATATGATTTAAAAAGTGTTATTATAGGCATTTTATAAACCAGTAGTGAGCATAATTATGTTAATTTTTTCTCAATTTTGTGTCAATATCTTCTTAATTTCATATAGACATTTGTTACTGCATGTGTCATTTCCAAAATATTCAGCTATTATTTTTCATATTAATATGACTCCTTTGTTGGCCCTAGGCATTGCATTTTAATATGGACATTTATCAGTTCCCAAAATTAATACTTTTATAATTTCTTACACCTGTCTTTACTGGAATCTCTAAACATAAATTGTGAAGATTTCATTTTAATATGGACATTTATCAGTTCCCAAAATCAATACTTTCATAATTTCTTTAATCTCATAATCCTGTTATCTTTGTAAGCTGAGGATGTAAGTCACCTCAGGACCCTGTGATGATTGCATTAACTGTACAAATTGATTGTAAAACATGTGTGTTTGAACAATATGAAATCTGATTGTAAAACATGTGTGTTTGAACAATATGAAATCAGTGCACCTTGAAAAAGAACAGAACAACAGCGATTTTAGGAAACAAGGGAAGATAACCATAAGGTCTGACTGCCTGCGGGGTCGGGCAGAATAGAGCCATATTTTTCTTCTTGCAGAGAGCTTATAAACTGATGTGCAAGTAGGGAAGATATCACTAAATTCTTTCCCAGCAAGGAATATTAGTAATTAATACCCTGGGGAAGGAATATGTGATCTTTGCCCTGCTTTTTGCCCCTTAAAGCATGTGATCTTTGTGACCTACTCCCTGTTCGTACACCCCCTCTCCTTTTAAAATCCCTAATAAAAACTTGCTGGTGTTGCGGCTCAGGGGGCATCACGGACCTATCAATATGTGATGTCACCCCCGGTGGCCCAGCTGTAACATTCCTTTCTTTGTACTCTTTCTCTTTATTTCTCAGACCAGCCGACACTTACAGAAAATAGAAAGACCCTACATTGAAATATTGGGGGTGGGTTCCCCCGATAAATCACCTGAGGTCAGGAAGTCGAGACCAGCCTGTCCAACATGGTGAAACCCCATCTCTACAAAAGATACAAAAAAAGAAAATACAAAAATGAACACATATCCAAATATCAAACCAAAACATGAATTTATTTAATGTTATTTTAATTATATAATTGAATCGAATGTACTATTTTATAGTATAATGTAATATTCCAAAATGTTGTTGCTCTGTGTGATTGTTTCACTATCCTAATGCCAATTAACAAACATATTTAAAGGCAAGGTTTGGTAGAAATGAAAATAAATGCCATTCTTGCCAAATTAATTAATGTACAATGGTATTTATGTATAATCGCTGTGTTGGTTTGTTTGTCATTTATGCTGTTAGTATACTTTAAAATACCAATTATTAATACATCTAATAACAAGATAAACATCACTTTAAACACATTTTATTACATTATTGGTTAAATTAACATTGTGTTTTTATAAAGTCAGGATAAAATGTTCTTATTTAGAAATTAGGATTGTTTTCTACCATTGATTTTCCACAAATTTTCAATACAAATTCTAGATGTTTATTTGCCAACACGCCTGGATGCTAGAGAACATCCAGCAATATGGACCTGAAATCAGCCCAGGATCCCCAGAATGCACTCACAATGGCAGCTTGCTAGAGGGTTGTCTGAGAATTGCAAACACATTAGGGATTTGAACTTCATCATCAAAGCACTGGTGAGCCTCAGCGCTGAGCACACAGAGAGCAGCAGGAGCTGCAGAGCCCACTCTGTGGTACTTAGGAAAAGGACTGGATGTTGTGGGGTGATGTCTGCAGGACCCTAGAAAAGGGTGACGATGTCAGAGAGTCTGCGGATAGATGAACATATGCTTTTTTTTTTGAGATGGAGTTTCTCTCTGTCGCCCAGGCTGGAGTTAAGTGGCATTATCTCAGCTCACTGCAGCCTCTCACCCTGGGTTCAAGTGATTCTCCTGCCTCAGCCTCCCGAGTAGCTGGGATTACAGGTGCCCGACACCATGCCTGGCTAATTTTTCTATTTTTAGTAGAGACAGGGTTTTGCCATGTTGGCCACGCTGATCTCAAACTCGACCTCAGATGATCCACCCGTCTTGGCCTCCCAAAGTGCTGGGATTACAGGAGTGAGCCACTGCACCTGACCTACATGAGCATATTGTAAGGTGAACTGTTATCCTTCTAAACATGGTTGGGTTCAATGATCATGAAGAGAAGTGAACAGATTCACCAGACGTGGAGGAGACAAAATAAATAGATTTGTTGCTTCTTTGCCAGGAGACTGAGGAAGACAAAAGGATTTGACAGAAGGGAAGGTGGAGAAACAGTGTGAAGAGCAGAAGACCAGAACCCAACCAAAGTGGAGGAACTGACCCGTGAAAGTGGTGTTTCATCTCCACAAATGGCAGACAAAATGAAAGGAAACTTAACACCGTGACATTGTTGAGTTATTATTAGAAAAGCATTGACTGTAGTGTGACTGGCACAGCACAAGAAACAAAAACCCATGCGTGGAACCAGAGTTTGAATTAGGCATACACAATTTCTTATTATCAAAACACATTGAATTACTATTGCTATTATTATTCTAAAAATATGCAAGGTTAAAAGTTGAATTGAATTCCTATCCTAAGTTAATGATTTGTATGTGAAAGAAACCATGGGTTACAAGGAAGAAATAGTGAGAGATCGTGGGAAGACTTTTGCTTGACCAGCTCAGGAATCAGCTAGGTCTAAAAGCAAACGTCACCTTCCCCAGGCACCTGATGTGGAGCTGCCTCCTAAGAAAACCGTGGTGTCCTGAGTGATTGATTCCCTCGTGGTTACTGAAAGCCCCATGGTGGCCCCGAGCACTCCCTGTTGGCCCTGAACCCCTGGTGTCCTCAATGTTCTTCAGTGGCCATGAGTGTCTCCTGGTTGTCTTGTGGGCCTTTAGGTGGTCCTGTTACACCTGGTGGTTTCTGAGAATCTCTTGTTGGTCCTGAGTGTTTCCTGGTGGTCTGGAATGCACCCTTGTCATTCTGTGGCCCCTGCTTGTGCTGAGCGCCCCCTGGTGTCCTGAGCGCCCCCTGATGTCCTAAGTGTCTCCTGGTGTCCTGAGTGCCCCCTGCTGGTCTTGAGCACCCCTAGTGTTTTGAGCACCCTGCGGCATCCTGAGCACCTTCTGCTATCCTGAGTGTCTCCTAGTGGTTCTGAGTGTCCCCTAGTGGTTCTGAGCACCATTTACCACAAAGTCCCCTCTTGTCTTCCTGCAGGGAAGTTTGCGTCTAGACTCACCCATATGTCCCTCACTGTGTCTCTCACAGTAATACACTGCCTACTCCTCAGCTTTCCAGTAGATAATTTTAAGGGAGATTGTGATGTTAAGTGTTGTCCCCAGGAACTGTGAATCTTCTTTGTGCTGGAGCAGAGCACCACTGAGAACTTCCACTTGGGTCACTCATGGCTACCACCCACTCCAGCCCCTCTCCTCCAGCCATCAGGGCCCAATAAATGCTGCAGTCAGTGAAGGTGAATCTTGATGCTTTGCAGAAGAAGCTAAGAGAATAGCCAGGCTATTTTGCCAAAGACAAAAATATAGATCCAGTAAACCTTTGTGGTTTTCCAGGAATCTGGGGAAAAGGTGTGTGGATTAGGTGAAACACACACTTTTTAATCACAATGAAACTATTTTCATGGTGTTCAATGATAAACACATGGCATAAATAATTTGTGAAAACTCATAATTTTTTGAGACAAAGTGTTAACCTAAATGCATACAACTTCAAAAGTATTTAGCTGGTCATGAAACACAGAATAAAATGAAAGCTGTATAAAAATATCTAACAATGATAAACAGGTTTGTACTAATTTCACTGCAGAAAGGGGGGCATGAATATCAGAAACAAGTATCTTTGGAAATAATTTGATGTTGTGATTGTAAAATATAAATAAGCTGCATATAAGCACGGTATTCTAGTCGATAAACATATTTTCAACAAGGGTCAGTTTAATAATTCTAACACAATTTGTGTATTTTGAAATTGTGCACTAAGTAAATTAATGTCATATGATAGGAAAGGTTTCCTCATTTTTCAATGTCAGATTATGGACAGGCAAAGAAAGAAGGCTACGGATGTCTATGTGGATCTTGGTAGTGTGAAGAAACCAGTATCTTCTTAGGTTTAATGTAATATAGATACAGAAGATGAGATACATAAATACTTTAATTTTGAATTTTTGTGGGTAAATGGTATATGTGTATATTTATGGGGTACCTGACTTTGATATAGCATGAACTGCATAATACTCACATTATGATGAATGGTTCCTACATCCTTTCAAGTATTAATTCTTTGAGTTACCAACATTCCATTTATACACTTTTAGTTATTTTACAATCTATAATTATGTTATTAAGGATTATACTTAGTCTGTTGTGTTATCAAATACTATGTATTATTTGTTATTTCTAACCACTTTTTTCATCCATTGAGCATCCCCAATAATCCCCATCTACCATAGACCTTCCCAGCCTCTGGTGACCATCCTTTCACTCTCTATCTCCACGAGTTCAGTTGTCTTAATTTTTAACTTCCACAAATATATGAGAATATGTGAAGTTTGTCTTTCGGTTCTGGGATTATTTCAATTAATATAATGAACTCCAGTTTCATCCACGTTGTTGCAAATGAAAAAATCTCATTCTCTTTATGGCATAATATTAATCCATATGCTATATGTACCACATTTTATTTATCCATCATCTGTTAATGGGCAGTTAGGATGCTTTCAAATTTTGGCTATTACGAACAGTGCTATAACAAACATGGTAGTGCAAACAACATTTTTTTTTTGTGGGAGGGAGTACATGCCAGCAGCAGGATTGCTGGATTATATGACAACACTACTATTAGGTTTTGAGGAAACTCTAAACTGTTCTCCATAGTGGTTTTATTAACTTAAGTGCCCACCAACAGGTTATGAGTGTTCTCATTTCTCCATATCCTTCCCAGCATTTGTTTCTGTCTGGCTTTTGGATGAAATCATTTTAAAATCAGATGAGATGATATTTCACTGTAGTTTTGTTTTGCATTGTTCTGATGATCAGTGTTACACAGCACATTTTATATGCCTGTTTGCAATTTGAAAGTCTTATTTTAAGAAATAAATATCGCCTGCTTTTTATTCGGATTACTAGATATTTTTCCTATAGAGTTGTCTGAGATCCTGGTATATTCTGATCAATCCTTTGTCAGATGGGTAGTAATGTCTCTTTCTCTCACACTATGAAAGACATGATGTCCTCATTCACAGGTGCATTCCGGGATATACACACAGTATCAATGGAAAAGCAGTCATTAGGCAGTGAGGCCTTTGACAGCCTCTACCTGATGTCTCTTTTTCGGAGTCTGTATCTCTTAACATAACAACTGGATGTTATTCTGTACTCATTGCTGGCATGCTGTCACTGTTTTGTGTCAAAAATTCATCCACATTTTAATGCAATTAAATTTGTTCCTATTTAGAGGGTCAGTTTTTGAGGTTTGTCATGACCCAGAATGTTATTTTTTTTTTTTTAAGAAAATGGGTCTAGCAATATCTTGCAGGCTGGCCTTGAAATCCTGGGCTTGGGTGATCTTCCCACATTAGCATCCTCACTAGTTGAAAATACAGGCACATGGCACAGTGTCTAACTGATTATTCTTAAATTATGCTATTTCTCATTCTCTCTGCTAAACCAAGTGGATATTGCTCTTGTGGAGCTGTCAGCTTTTCATTAATTACTTACAGTAAAAATATATTATGTGTTTTAGGATAACTTCATGGTAAAAATTATTCACAGTCAACTGCAAATATAGTCACACAATTTCCAGAGTGCTGTATCTCTGTCTTTATGCCATGCATCTTTACCTATAAAAATATAACAGCCTCCACCTTAGTGCACATGAAATTATTCATATATCTCAAAGTGATACTCCTGCTTTAAGAGCATAAAACTGTTTGGGAATCGTGGACTTAAATAGTCTCATTATGCCTCTCCCAGGAATATCCCCAGAACCTCTGCCATACAAGTGAGCAGGGGTGAGAATAATTGGAGTCCTTCTTGGTTCTTGGTCAATAACGCATGGCATGGAAACTCTGTCTCGTAAGTGAGGGTGGGAGGAGGCAGGCATCCATTACATCACAGACTGGAATTTAGTCTCCACCATAGAGATGTGACACCATGGCTTCAACTGAGATCTGAGGGAGAGAAAGCCACATCTTCTTTTCAGATCAGCTCGTGATCATGCTTCTGTCATCCTGAGCTGCAAATGAGAGAGTAATGCTTGTCTCTCAAGCATGGTGGACCCTCACTGCCCTTACTGAGACTTGGTAAATGGTTTAGTCTGTTTCAGCTGCTATAACAGAACTCCATTAAATGGGTGGCTCAGAAATATCATAAACATTGTTTTCTGAATTCTCAAGGCTAGGAAGTTGAAGATCTAGATGCTTTTGAGATCGGTGAGGACCAGCAATTTCTGGTGAGGACCGGCTATTATGTTCATAGGGGTGTAACTGACGGACATATCCAAACAAAAAATTTTGCATGGATGTTCATTTATATTTCCCCAAAACTGCATACATGTTGTATTATTCCTGATCAGTTGAGCAATTATAAGGCTTGAATAAGAAACTAAAACCTGCGCATTCAGCACACATATCCCTGAAATTAAAGTAAAAAAAAAATCTGTAACCAAACTTACAAATAAAGGAGGTAAGAAAATGAGGTCAGAACAGTTAACATTGAGTCCTCACGTGAAGGCCATTGGTGGTAAGTTACACAATGGGGCTGCAGTGAGATAGGCTACCAGGTGATCTAATTCTGAACCCCTCAATAACAGCCAACCAGCAATCTCTGGCAGTGGGTATGCTAGAAGTTCCCAGACATGGGAAAACTCTCTTACTCCATAAAACTGCACTGGGGTCGTCTGCAGCCTCTAAGTTCCACAGGAGCAGCTCCTACCCCAGACAAATCTCTGCTCTTTCTCTGGGGTCATGAGAGATGATGCGGAGAAGGTCAGTGATATGGTTTGTTTGTGTCCCCACCCAAATTTCATCTTGAATTGTAACTTCCACAATTCCCACATGTCATGGAAGGAACCTGATGGGAGGTGACTGAATTATGGGCATGGGTCTCTCCTGAGCTATTCGTGTGATAGTGAATGAGTTTCATGAGATCTGATGGATTAAAAAGGGGAGTTTTCCTTCATGTGCACTCTTCTCTAGTCTGCCACCATGTGAGACGTGATTTCCACCTTCCACCATAATTGTGAGGCCTCCCAAGCCATGTGGAACTGTAAGTCCAATAAACCTTTCTTTTATGAATTGTCCAGTCTTGGGACCAGCGTGATAACAGACTAATACAGTAAATTGGTACCAGTAGAGTGAGACATTGCTGAAAAGATAACCAAAAATATGGAAGTGACTTTTTAACTGGGTAACGGGCAGAGATTGGAAGAGTTTGCAGGGCTCAGAAAAAGACCGGAAAATATGGGATAGTTTGTAACTTCCTAGAGACTTGTTGAATTGCTTTGACAAAAATGCTGATAGTTATATGAACAATAAGGTCTAGCTTGAGGTGGTCTCAGATGGAGATGAGGAACTCATTGGGAACTGGAGCAAATTGTGGAATTTTGAACTTGAGAGAGATGATTTAGGGTGTCTGGCAGAAGAAATTTCTAAGCAGCAAAGAATTCAAAAAGCCACTTGAGTGCTATTAAAGGCATTCAGTTTTAAAGGGGAAACAGCATAAAAGTTCAGAAAATTTACAACCTGGCAAGGCAGTAGAAAAGAAAATCTTATTTTCTGAGGTGAAATTCAAGCCAGCTGCAGAAATTTGCATAAGTAATGAGGAGCCAAATGTTAATCCTCAAGACAATGGGGAAAATGTCTCCTGTGAATGTCAGAAGTCTTCACGGCAGCCCCTCCCATCACAGGCCTGGAGGCCTAAGAGGCAAAAGTGGTTTTGTGGTCCAGGCCCAGGGTGCCCGTGCTGTGTGCAGCCTAAGGAGTTGGTGCCCTGTGTCCAGCCACTCCAGCTATGGCTGAAAGACGCCAATGTAGGGCTCAGGCCATGGCTTCAGATGGTGCAAACCCCAAGCCTTGGCAGCTTCCACATGGTGTAGAGCCAGTGAGTACACAGAAGTCAAGAACTGGTCCTTGAGAACCTCTGCCTGGGTATCAGAAGATGTATGAAAACACCTGGGTGTCCAGGCAGAAGTTTGCTGCAGCAGTGGGACCCTCATGGAGAACCACTGCTAGGCCAGTGAGAAAGGGAAATATGGGGTCAGAGCTCCAACACAGAGTCCCTATTGGGGTATTGCATAGTGCAGCTGTGAGAAGAGGGCCGCCATCCTCCAGATCCCAGTGTGGTAGATCCACTGACAGCTTGCACCATGTGCCTGGAAAAGGCACATTCACTCAACACCAGCCTGTGAAAGCAGCCAGGAGGGAGGCTGTACCCTGCAAAGCCACAGGGGTGGAGCTGCCCAAGACCAAGGGAAACCATCTGTTGCATCAGCATGACCTGGATTTGGGAAATGGAGTCATAGGGGATCATTTTGGAGCTTTAATATTTGACTGCTCTGCTGGATTTTGGACTTGCAGAGGGCCCCTTTGTTTTGGGCAATTTCTGTCATTTGGATGGGTGTGTTTATCCAATGCCAGTACCCCCATTGTTTCTAGGAAGTAACTTGCTTTTGACTTTACAGGTTTATAGGTGGAAGGGACTTGCCTTGTCTCAGATGAGATGTTAGACTGTGGATTTTTGAGTTAATGCTGAAACAAGTTGACTCTGGGGGACTGTAGGAAAGGCATGACTGGTTTTGCAATGTGAGGACATGAGATTTGGGAGGGGCCATGGGGCAAAATAATATGGTTTGGCTGTGTCCCCACTCAAATCACATCTTGAATTTAACTCCCATAATTCCCAGTGTCATGGTAGGGACCCAGTGGTAGGTCATTGAATTATGGCTGCGGGTTTCTCCAGCACTGTTCATGTAATACTGCATGAGTTTCACGAGATCTGATGATTGTAAAAAGGGAGATCCCTGCACAAGCTCTCTTCTCTTGTCTGCCACCATGTCAGATGTGCCTTTCACCTTCCACCATGATTGTGAGGCCTTTCCAGTCATGTGGAAGTGTAAGTCCAATAAAACTCTTTCTATTGTAAACTTCCAAGTCTCTGGTATGTCTTTATCAGCAGCATGAAAACAGACTAATAGTCAGACATGATCTACTCAAGGCCTCTGCACATGGAGAAAAGCCAGTGAAAGTGGAAAATGTATTTTCTTGATTTATTGAAAAATACCTATAGAAAACACAACTGTGTGCCAGGACATCAAGCAGAATTTAAAAATTATGCAATTGGAATAAATGTGAAAATTACAATCATTTGCAGACACACATCTGTTCATATATCTTTCAATGAAATAAAGTAAATGCCAGTGTTCTGTGTAAAAATCAACAAAGAGTGTGTTGACCCTGAGAATACACCTCTCTCCCTCCCTTTAAAGGCAGGAAAATGCACATGGATCAGGTGTCAAGCTGCTGCTTTCTGACGTCTATGCTATGGCCCAGATCCTGTGGTCCACTCTAATGAAAAGAAGGACTCTTTAGTGATTCTGAGGCAGAGTCATTGCTGGAGTCACAGGGGTTCCCCCTTGGGTAATGTTGACTTGTAGTAGACTCAAATATGTTTTACACCTTCCTTGCACAGCACAGAAACCTAAGAATGTTTCACCCAATCCTCCGTCCATCTCTCCTTTACTCAGGGACAGATTTCTACCATATGCCATCAGCTTCTGCAGCCACATGTCACCCCCTGTGCATTTCCTGTCAAAAGAGTGGAAGTACTTCTTATGAAAAATGCATGAAAGCATAATCCAGTCTTGGACTTTCCATCTCAAAAGACCAATAATAACACATATATTTCAGCAAAATTATTTATCCTATGATTATGACTATATTTGGCAATTGTTTTGGCAAAAAACAAAAATCATGGTGTTGGATAATGAAGATGTAAGAAGGGCCAAGACTGTTACAACTTTTTATTGATGACCTGGGGCGTAGTAGGGGTAGGTGCTGACCTCAAGATAAGAGGACTGGAACCTCATTGCAACTGTCTGAGTGTACTCACGCAGGCCTGCCTGGGGTTCCAAGGCTTGCATGGCAAAGCTGTCAGTGCTGTCATCTATAATTCTAGCACCACATTTGAGGGAACAACATACTATAAAGTACATAATGAGAACTAGGGTAAGGAGTGCAATTCGCAGTTTTAAAAGTAAAGATTTGAACGCATTAGTTTATGGCTTTGTAGCCTACAAATAATTTAGAATTTCGTCCAAACTGCTGAAGAAAAAAAAACAAGAACAGCAAACAACAGGTGTACTATATTTTTAAAGCATAATTTTTTTCTCTCTTGTCCCCATTTTTATTTAAAACAAATCAAGATAGGACTGATTTATTTGCAAAATAAACTTTAGTCTTATTCATGGCCTTATTATTTGCATAAAGCACAATACAAATAATTATTGTTTACACAGGCTTTTAAAATTGGCTTTGGTGGAACTCTGTTCCATAAGGAATCTCAGATAAGACTTTTTTAAAGCCAAGCCCAGCCATGAGTTTTTACCATCAAATACCTGTAAGTCTGGTAAATTATTTTTCCTCTGGGGTCCCAGGAAAACATGGGGTTCTTGGGCCTGTTAGAAAGTGACATTCTTTACTTACCACTGGTCAGGAACCTTGTACAAAGACTGTGTGGACAAGGTACAGGCCAGTTTTCCCAAGGGGCTCTTATTGGCTGTATAAGTCAAGTTCGATTGCTTAAGGTGAAGCACGCCATTACAGTCAAAGCCTTGGTAAAATAACCAGTTTCTCCAATTGTGTCCTGTTGCAAAAAAAAAAAAATCTTACTGCACTTATGAAAAATCATATTGCCATAAGTTAAGGATATTCACAAAGAGTTTCCAAATTCTGGAGAAAGTGGACAGAGAGAAACAAATATTCTCCAAATTTTATGTACAGGACTATACTCAATTGTTGAAAGCTATAAATAGCTCAAAAGAAAAGTTTTCTTGGGCAACATTTTAAGTGAAAAGTCAAAAAAGATAGTCTTCTATTTGATAGTTTTATCTCTATACTATTGTAACCATCTTCAGAGTTTTTAATCAGAAATCTGCATGTAAGAGCACCTGTTAGAGTTTCATAGATGGTTATAAAACCATCACTTAAAGAGAAACAAAACAAGTCGATAAGGTCAAAACTCAAAGGGAGGAATTGAAGCCACCACTGCAAAGCTGCAACTGAAACAGTGAAAGAGCTGTGACCTAACCTGCTCCATCTTGCCTCAAACCTCCAGGTTGTCCTTGTGCATTCCTGGGTGTAGGCTTACCTAACATTGGGAGGAACTTAGTTTAGTTTATAGTTTAAAACAGAGACAATAACTGCCCTTTCCCAAAACAAATCTCCTTCGTCCTGGGGACTAGACTGCCTTTGGGGGACTAACGAATTAGCCAAAATATTAGAAATTATGTTTTAAGAGTCATGCAGCTGGTGGCTACAAATTCTAACCCTTCCTAGTTTGCTCCTGGGGATAAAATGACTATTATAAAGCCTAAGATCAATGCTTTAGATATTTTACAGACTCTGCACTTGATGGATCAGCTGGCATCACCCAGATCAATAAACTGGCTCATCCGATCTTGTGGCCCCCTCCTAGGAACTGACTCAGCACAAGACACCTTCAGCTCCCTATGATTTTATCTCTGACCTGATCAATCAGTACTCATGACTCACTGGCTGCCCCCAACCCACCAAGCTATCCTTAAAAAATCCCATTCTTGAATGCTTGGCGAGACTCATTTCAGTAACAATAAAACTCTGGTTTCCAATAAATAAATAAATAAATAAATAAATAAATGTCATGGCAACAATCAATTTTATGTGTCCCCTTGACTCATAGAGTCATTTATTCAGTTACACACTAACCTAGGTGTTGTACTGATCCTATAATATAAGTGTTAGTAAAGCCTGCCATCATTTTTTTCCTAAGTCAGGAAGATTGTCCTAGATAACCTAGGTGGGGCTGATTCCATCAGAGCATAAGAGATGACGATGGGACTCCATGGAGGATGACAGTGTAGGTCTTCCCAGAAATTCCAACTCCATTGACCTGAAACCCTGTAGGATTTGCCTAGCCAGACCCTCCAATTGCTGTCACCCAGAGCTCACAGCACAATAGAGTGTCCATCCTTAGCTTTCCCCAAAGTCACAGATGAAGGAGGAAATTCTGTGACAGTGTGAGAAACAGAAGATCAGCTCTACATCAGTATCTCATTTGAGAAAGCTACCATTATCCCCTCAGTGACTAATGTCCACTTCATTTCCCAAATGCCTCCATGCACAGAAGACAGCAGGCGGGTCCAGGCAATGGTGAGTGGGAAAGTCCCCTCAGCCTCCCCAGGTCTCACAGGAGCCACAGCCTGGGCCACACCTGAGTTCCAGGTAACAGGCCTGAGCCCTGAGATTTAGACCACAGAAAACACACTCTCTGTTTTCTGGGAAGGGAAGAAAAGGGAACTATGAGAATGAAGTGTAGAGAGAAGAAAAATTGATTAGCAAGTAAGGGCCAGCTGGATCAGTTCTGAGTCAGATGTGCACAGTTTTGCCAGAGGAGGGAGAACAGCTGTAAAAACTGTCAGGATTTAAGGACCCTCCCATGGGTGAGACTCCCTCTTGGCCCAAGTCTGAATCCCAAACCTATTCTAATCAGAGATTTCCACGGAGGTCTCTGCCCTGAGCCTGACTGGAAAACACTCCCCAGGTTCCACTGGGCTTCCTCAGGACACTGATCAATGTGACCAAGGCAGGGTCATTTCTGCCCCCAAGGTGACACTCGGGCTTCTGTAGGGGTGAGGATGGGTCTTCCTGTTACAAAAAACAAAACAAAACAAACAAACAAAAAACAAATATGTGAGGGAAGTTTAGCAGTCACAGACATCAAATGTTAGTACAGAATTGCAAATCTAGAGAAGTTCCCTCGGGTAATTTGGTAACAACGCAGCCCCAGATCAAGACAGGAAACCCAGCCCTTGTAGCACCTGCACTTGCCCCTGGGGTCAGCACAGTGCACAGTGTCCCAGGCTTTCCCTGGTTGTCCCAGGTACCCTGAAGGGAGGTTTGTGTCTGGGCTCACACTGACTTCTCCTTACCGTATCTCTCACAGAGTCATATGCAGCTGCATCCTCTGCCCTCAGTCTGTTCATTTGCAGATACAGTGAGTTTTTCGTATTGTCTCTGGAAATGGTGAATCGGCCCTTCACAGAGTCTGCGTAGTACATGGTACTACCACTACCACTAATAACTGGGACCCACTGCAGACCCTTCCCTGGAGCCTGGGGGACCCAGTGCGTGCTATGGCTACTGAAGGTGAATCCAGAGGCTGCACAGGAGAGTCTCTGGGACACCCAGGCTTTGTCAAGTTTGCTCCAGACTCTACCAGCTGCATCTCACACTGGACACCTGCAAACACAGAGACATCCTGGTAAGAAACTGCCACACATATCCACTGTTTCGCTCACTTATGTCCATTCACACTCAATAGCTCTAGTTCTCCATAAATCACCTTTTAAAATAGCAGCAAGGAAAACCCACCTCAGCCCCAACTCCATGGTGAATCCTGTATGTTCAGTGTTGACCAAGCAGAAACACCTGGGAATCCCGGGGCTGAGGCTCCTCTGCCAGAGCTGCAGGGTCAGGGTTTAGCTGGTTTTCATCAGCATGGGGAGGGCCCTATTTGCGTGTCTCCTGCTACACAGAGAGCTCTGGGGTGGGAACCCTGAGGAGACGGCAGACCCCAGATAAAATGACAGGGCCCCGCAGGAGTTGGGTGACAATTATGGTATTTGGGAAATACACTGTCTTATTATGAAAATGTGTTGTGATAAACATTTTGCACTATTATATTTTTACATATTTGTGCAAATTATGTTCTGTAGAAGTCAATGGTTTCTCCATTTACAGATGTGAAATAAACCCACACATGGAGGAGGGGCTGTGTGTGTCTCATGTCTGAGATGAATGAGCCCTGGTAGCTTGGCCTGTGCTCCACATCAGTGGCCCCAGTTACTCCCTGAACCAACTCCAGGTAAGAATTGGACATGCCTAGTGTGCTTTGTGGAACCCACTTCCTGTATTGAGAACTTGAGTGATTTTTGTGGCACTCTAGCATTCACCTAAAAATAAGGAGAGAACTAGGGTTCAGGAGGTAAATTCTCAGATATTTCTGACTTTTAATGGATATTTTGTATCTTTATACCACCGCTTTTGGTCTAATTTTTCATTTGTTTGCTTGCAATAAATTTTGTGAGTGTTAATTGGCAGATAATACACTTCACGTATTTAAAGTGTAGAATTGAAAACATGATGTAAGCGTCATCATTACTGAGGTGGACAAGTGAGTTCCCCTCAACATTTTCTCTTGTTCTTCTGTATGTTTCCACATTTCCCCTTCCTTTATTCTACCCTTTTCCCAGGTAACTACTCATCTTTTGTATATTACTTTAGATTTTTTTCATTTGAAATAAATTACATAAATGGAGTAATATAGTACATATTCTTATTTGTCTGGCTTATTTTACTCAGCATAAATACTTAGATACTTTTCCTTGTTGTTCTGTGTACCAGAAATATATTTATTATAAATGTTGAGTAGTATTCCAGTGAAAAAATTTACCAGAATTTGTTTCTCTATTAGGCAGCTGAAAAATGTTTGGATTCTTTTATTATTCTGGATCTCACTAAAAAATATGCTGCTAAGCTTAAAAATGTACATAGATGAGAAATATATATATATACACACATATTTATTTATTTATTTATTTATTTATTTTTAGAGACAGAGTCTCACTCTGTCACCCAGGCTGGAGTGCAGTGGCGCGATCTCAGCTCACTGCAAGCTCCACCTCCCGGGTTCACGCCATTCGCCTGCCTCAGCCTCCCAAGTAGCTGGGACTACTGGTGCGCACCACCACACCTGGCTAATTTTTTGTATTTTTAGTAGAGATGGGGTTTCACCGTGTTAGCCAAGATGGTCTCGATCTCCTGACCTCGTGATCCACCCACCTCGGCCTCACAAAGTGCTGGGATTACAGGCATGAGCCACCGCACCGGGCCCATATATTCATTCTTACAACAATAGTATCAACAATAACAGATAAACAGAAAAGATGGAAGTTTGCAAATTTTACTTAATGCTTCAGATAATTGAGGGTTGAAAACAAACAAAATATTTGAAATCTAGGGAGAGGCAAGTTCCTGTAGAGAGTAATGAAGCCAGAGTATGAAATTCCCTGAGGCAGAGGCTGTCATATAAAATGTAGGCTATTACAAGATGAAGAACAAATATACACTGGATTGCTTGAAGTCGAGTGTGTTAGGCATGTTATAGTGAGAAATTCTAAGGGACCTCATACTGGAGAGTTGCCCTAATCTCTTGAATCATTTACCCCTGCAAAACATCTTCCTTTCCCATAGTATCTGTCTGGGAGAGAATGAGCTCACACTTCTGAAATGCATCCAGACCCAGTTCTCTGATCCCCACTACAAAACTAAGATATTACCCTGCAGGAGCAAGCCATGAAAATCAGCATCCTAGGGCACTGGTGCAGCCCCTTAAGAATTGAGGTATGAACAGAGGTTCCCATCAAAGCTCTATTGAGAAGCAGCTCCCCTCACTTTCTTACGGAATCAGAGCTTTAATCTGCAGGTCATGGCAGCAGATCTGGAAGTTGGGGACACCAACAGAGATTATGAGAGCTGTGGGAGGGAACAACTGGGGAAAACAAGAGGAATCTGCCCCAGGGGAAGGAGCAAGAACACACAGACCAGCATCTCATCTGGAGGAGGGTTGGGAACACTTGGAAAGTCAGCTCACACTCAGGATCACAATGATTTTCTGGAAATATGACCCCATGAGAGGTCAGAGACAATTCCTTTAGTATAATGTCTTCCACCAATTTCACAATTGGCAATTAAATATAACACTTTAATCCACCTTAAGAATCTGAAAGAGATTCTCTGTAGAATGGAATGATTGTGTATGAATCATGCCATGAAACTGTCTTCACGGTGACTGGATTTGCCTGTTGATTTTGACATGATGACCATGATGTTGATGACGAAGATGACATTCTCAGAAAAATAACCCAGGTTCAAAGAGCTAACTGCAGAGTCATATTTATGTTTGTTTTACTTCGGGACAGAAAGGGCGTGAGGTCTAAATAACGTAATAAATGGTCTCCTGAGGTTTGGATGCTGTTAAGCAAAATAAGACAACCCGAGGTGGCGGTCACAGGCTCCCTGGCTGGTTCCTCGCTGCCTCTGCTCCTCACTGAGGCTCTGTCTTGTGTGAGTTCTGAGCATCTCCTGCGGGTCCTCTGGTGCCCATCCAGCCCAGATAAAGGAGGGCTGGGGGTTCTGTTTCTCAGGTGCTCAGTCCTGTGCCTGGCTCCAGTTCAGGAGCTCAGCCTGTCCTGTGTGCTGAAGCTTTTAGCTCTCCCGTGCAACCTCGCCTGTACACTGAGTTTCTTCACAGCAAAGTGACAGGGTCAGCTTCACAGACATCGCTGCAGGCAATTTTCAGCAAATCTAATTTTAGTTTGACTATGTAATTCAGCAATCATGTTCATTGTGGTGTAAGTGACTGACATATCCACACACACACAAACAAACACACATGCACACACACACGCACACACACACACCCAAACTGCATGGACATTCATTTACATTTCCCCCAAACTGGACACATTTTGTATTATTCCTGATAAGTTCAGAAAGTTCTGAGGTTTTAATCATAAACTAAACATAACATTTTCCATAAACAAAATTAGTAATGAATAAGATGAGAAAATCGGGTCAGAAAAATCAAGATTGAGTTATTACCCGCAGTCTAATGGTGGTAAGTTACATAATGGAGCTGTGATGAGACAGGCTCCCAGGTGCTCTAATTCTTAACCACTCAATTACAGCTGACCAGTAATCTCCGAGAGTGAGGAAGCTAGAGGTTCCCCACATGGGAAAGCTCTCTGACTCCACAAAACTTCGCTGAGCTTCTCTGCAGGCTCAGAGGTGTGCAGACTCCTACCCCAGATTCTGCAGTCAGGCAAATCTCTGCTCTTTCCCAGGGGACACAAGAGATAGTGTGGGTAAGGGCCAGATGTGCTCTACTCAAGGTCTCTGCACATGGAGAAAAACCAGTGAATGTGGAAAATGCATCATCTCGATCCTTCGAACAATGCCTGTGAAAAACTCAACTCTGTGTCAGGACGTCATTCAGGATTAAGAAATAATGCAACTGAAGGAAATGTGAAAATTACAGTTGTTTGCAGGTGCACACTTGTTCATATATTTTCCAATAAAAATACAGCAAAAGCAGGGGTTCTCTATAAAAATTCACAAACAGTGTGCTGACCCTGAGAATGCACCTCCCTCCCTCCACATACAGGCAGCAAAATGCAGGTGGGTCAGGTTCCCAGCAGCTGCTTTCTGACATCTGTGGCATGGCGTGTGCTGAGGCCCATGTCCTGTGGTCTACTCTAATGAAAGGACTGACTCCACAGTGATTCCTAAGAAGAGCCCTTTCTTGGAGTCACAGGGATCCCCTGAGAGGTAGCACTGACTTACACGAGACTCAGTTATCTTTTGCAGCTTCCTTGCATAGCACAAAAATATAGGAACCTTCCTCCCAATCCTCCCTCCCTCTCTCCTCCAGTCAGGGACAAGCTTCCATCATACGCCATTAGCTTCCCAGCCTCATTCCACTCCCTGTGCATTTTCGCTCAAAGGGGTGAATGTACTTCTTATAAAAATGTAGGGAAACTTCATTCCATCTTGGGGTTTTCTGCTCAGAACACGAATAATAGCACAAATATTAGGAGAAAGGGGTCCCAATTTGGGGAAAATCCACAGATTAAAATGAAAACAAGTTTCTTATGCAAGTAAAATAATGAGACTGGCTACACCAGAGGTGGAGCAGCAGTATGGGCTGCTGGTTGTCCATTTTATGGTTATTTCTTGATTATATGTTAAACAATGGATGGATTATTCATGAGTCCTCCAGGCAATTCCTGAAGTTGAGTGTTCCTCCCCTCCTTTTTAAACCACACAAGGAAACTTCATGATGTTGCCTTGACAACTGTAAACTGTCTTGGGGCTGGAGGGAGTGTTTTTTAGCATGTTAATGCATTATAATTAGAGTATAATGAACAGTGAGGACAAACTGAGGTCATTTTAGCCACTGTCTCGGTTTTGGAGGGCTTTGCCCAGCTTCTTTACTGTAAGATTTATCTGCAAGGCCTTTATGACCTGGATCTTGTGCAGACCTCCTATCTCATCCTGTGACTAACTTACTGCATCAACTTACTAGGAATCCAGCCCAGCAGGTCTCGGTCTTATTTTTCCTAGCCCCTATTCAAGATGGAGTTGTTCCAGTTCCAAAGCCTCTGACACACTCAAAAAATGTAGCAAAAGTATTTATAATATGAGCATGATTATATTGCCAAATATAAAATATCATAATGACAACAATCAATTTTACCTGTCGTCTTGACTAGACCACAGTCTCATCTACTCAATCACACACTAGCTTAGGTGTTGCTCCCATGGCATGATACAGGTGTTAGGAGAGCTTGCCATTATGTTTTCCTAAGTCATGAAGAGTGTTCTAGATAAACTAGGTGGGGCTGATTCAATCACAGCATAACAGAAGATGATGGGACTCCACGGTGGATGGCAGATGCAGGTCTTCCCAGGAATTCCAGCCTGTCTTTCCTGAGGTCCAGAAGTATTGACCTTAGGCTGCCTAGCCAGACCCTACAATTACTGTTACCCAGAGCTCACCCACAATGGACTATCCATCATCAACTCTCCTCAAAGTTATAGGTGAGGGTCCAAACTCTGTGACAGTGTGAGAAGCACAAGTTCAGCTCTACATCAATATCCAATTGGAGAAAACTAGTATTATTCCCTTAATGACTAATGTCCACTTCATTTCCCAAATGCCTCCATGCACAGAAGACAACAGGAGTGTCCAGACAATGGTGAGTGAGAAAGTCTCCTCAGCCTACCCAGGTCCTGCAGACCTGAGCCCTGGGATTTTCCCTGAAAACAGAAAACACATCGTTTGTTCTCAGGGAAGAGAAGAAGAAAGCGAACTGTGAGAATCAAACCTACAGAGAAGCAAAATGGATTAGCAGAAAAAGGGTCAACTGAATCAGTCTGAGTTTACAAGACGAGGGGGGATAGCTGTGAAAACCATCAGGCTTTAAGGACCCCGACCCTGGGTGAGCCTGTCTCTTGGCTCCCATCAGAGCTCAAAGCCCGTTCTAATCAGAAATTCCCATGGAGGTCTCTGCCCTGAGTCTAATTGGAAAACACTCTCCAGGTTTCCCTGGGATTCCTCAGGACTCTCATCCTGTTGACCACGAAAGGATTATTTCTGCCCCCAAAGTGACACCCTGGCTTCTGTGGAGCTGAGGATATGTACTCCTGTTGCAAAAAAACAAAGAAACAAAAAGGACAAAAAAAGTATTGCATTTAGAGACATGAAATGTCAGTACAGAATTGTAAATCTGGAGAAGTTCCTGGGGAAATTTGACAACGAGGCAGCCCCAGACCGCGACAGGAAGCCAGCCCTCAGCAGCACCTGCACCTGCCCTGGAGACAGCCCCGTGCTCAATGCCCTGTCGCCCCCTGGTGGTCCCAAGGGACCCCTGCAGGGAGGTTTGTGTCTGGGCTCACACTGACTTCCCCTCACTGTGTCTCTCGCACAGTAATACACGGCCGTGTCCTCGGCTCTCAGGCTGTTCATTTGCAGATACAGTGAGTTCTTGGCGTTGTCTCTGGAGATGGTGAATCGGCCCTTCACAGAGTCCACATAGTATTTCTCACTTCCATCTTGCTTTATGTTGGCCACCCACTCCAGCCCCTTCCCTGGAGCCTGGCGGACCCAGCTCATCCAATAGCTACTAAAGGTGAATCCAGAGGCTGCACAGGAGAGTCTCAGGGACCCCCCAGGCTGGACCAAGCCTCCCCCAGACTCCACCAGCTGCACCTCACACTGGACACCTGCAAACAAAGAGACACCAAGGTCAGAAACTGCCACACAAATCCACTGTTTCTCACACTCATATCCACACACACTCAATCTTCCTAGTTTTCCATGAATCACCTTCTAAAATAGCAACAAGGAAAACCCAGCTCAGCCCCAACTCCATGGTGAGTCCTCTGTGCTCAGTGCTGATCACCAAGTGGAAAGGCCTTGGAGTCCAGGGCTAAGGCTCCTCTCTGAGACCTGCAGGGTCAGGGTTGGGTTGGTTTTCATCAGTAGAGGGAGGGCCCTATTTGCATGTCTCCTACTATATAAGAAGCTCTAGTGGGATGCTGGAGGAATAGGCTGTACCCATATAAGAAGACGGTGCTCTGCAGAAGTTTGCTGACAATGATGGTATTTGGAAAATATGCTGTCTTATGAAATTGTGCTGTGATAAACACTTTGCCCTGATCACCCTATTACATTTTTTAAAAAATGTGTAAATTATGCTCTGTAGGAGTCAGTATTTTCTCCTTTTACAGAAGTGGAAGTAAACCCACACATGGGGGGGCTCTGTATGCACCCAGGAGCTCATGTCTGGGATGAGTGAACGCTGCCATCTGGCCCTGTGCTTCTCGTCACTGGCTCTGACATCCCCCTAAACCAACTCCAGGACAAAGCTGTACATGCCCGGTGTGGTTTTCAGAAGCCACTTTCTGTAATAAGAGCATGTGTGGTTTTGCTGCTGTTCTGTGTGTCAGGCATTTATTTATTATAAATCATGGGTAGTATTCCAGTGAACACATTTACCATAATTTGTTTTTCTATTAAGCAGCTTAACAATATTTGAATTCTCTGTGACTCTGGGTCTTACCAAAAAACCTGCAACTCAGCTTCAAAATGTACATAGATGAGGAGTATATTTTACTTACTGTTTTACAGCATCAACATAACAGATAAACACAGGAGATGGAATTTTGCCAATTTTAAAATATACTTTAAATACTGGAGGTTTTAAGATAATCATCAAATCCGAAATTTAGGGAGAGACAAGTTCTTGCAGAGAGTAAAAAGGCATGGGTACGAGTTGAACTGAGGCAGAGTCTGGCATATAAAAATGTAGGCTATTATAAGAGAAAAAAATACATAGATACTGAATTGGTGAAGTCAAGTGTGGTAAATGTGTTGTAGCGTGAATTTCTCAGGGACCACATACTGAAGAGCTTTCCTATACCTTGAAACCTTTTTCCCAAAAATGGGGACAGTCACAAAAATCTTTTGTCCCAATGTGTCTGTCTGGGAGAGAAAAAGAGCCCACACTCTGAAATGCATTCAGACCCACCTCCTTAATCCCCATTGCAGAACTAAGAAATTACTCTGCAGGAGCAAGCCACCAAAGCCAGGATCTTAGGGGCACTGGGGCCATCCCTTAGGAACTGAGATGGAAAAAGAGGTCTTCACCTAAGTTCCATTGAGAAGTATCTCCCCTCCTTCTTATTTAATCAGAGCCTTAATCTCTAGGTCAGGTCATCAACTCTGGAAGCTGATAACACCAAAAGAGAACATTGGAGCTGTGGGAGGGAACAACTGGGGAAAACAAGAGGACTCCACAGCAGGGAAAACAGCAAGAACACACAGACCAACATCTCATCTGGCAGAAGTTCAGAAACACCGGCAATGTCACACCCAGACTCAGGGTCACAATGCCTTCGTAGAAATATAGACCCATGAAAGGTCAGAAAATCTCCCTTTATTCTATTGCCTTCCACCAATTTCACAATTGTCAGTTCAATATAATATCTTAACCCACCTGAAGGAGCTGAAAGAGATTCTCTGGAGGAAGGAACAGGGTGAAGAGACAAAGCCAAGCAGGAAAGAAAAACAAGGTATCACTGGAGGATCTGAAGTCTCTGGTGGACACAGAAGAACAGACTTCAACTATGACGTCTACTGCAAAAGTAAACGTCAAATGTAGCTCTGAGAAGATTCAAACATTTCCACATTAAAGGCCTGGCAAAAATAAAGTATGGTCAAATACAGGCAGAAAATGCATAAAATGAAGTAATAAGCCAATATCAACTGTCCAACCTAAAATATCTGGCTATCAACAAAGATTACATATATTAATGAGAAATACCAAAGTCATAATAAACAAATGATCAGAATGAGACTTCTATATGATATGGATCTTAGAACTATCTAATTAAACAAGATATATAAAGTAACTATAATTCATATGTAAAAATCTATTAAGGAAACTGTATACATAATGAAGGACTAGATAGGGAACTGAGAGTTGAAAATACTAAGAAAAAATCAAATGGAAATGCATAAGAAATCAAAAGCAATGCAGTATAAACATTGAGTAAGCTTTGGGCACACCCTTCAGTAGAGCTGGCTCACCTTTTAAATGAAACCACTCACTTAAAATACCACTAGAAATTTTACAGAGTAAAGTGCAAGGAAAAGAGAGTGAAGAAAGTAAACATTAATATTAAAAAGTATTGTATATGTACATTTTAAATCTGAAAGGAGAAATTGTAGATACAGAGACAGTATTTGAAAGAAATAATGGCTAAGAACGTTCCCAGTTTTGTGAAAGACACTGAACTACAGATCCTAGAATCACAGAGAACCTCAAGCAGAGTAAACAGAAATAGACACAGACACCCACACCACACATCCACCATGGACAGAGTGGTGCGCAAGGAAAAAGTCACACATCACACACCACGTACACATTTCCTCAACTTTATAGTTTTTACTTAGTTGTTTTAAAATTATTTGAATTTATGGTATTAAGTAGAAGTCTAAAATTAAAATATATCATTCTATGCATAAGCCTGTCTATTCTTACCATGATCAAATACACGGTTTGGTTCAAATGAATGTAACTACGTTGTTAGGAAATTCACATTTCAAAGAAAAATGGTATTTATTCCTGGCTCTGTGTTGAAGCATTTGTAATGTATGCAAATAAAATCTGTTTTAATTAAAGGATTTTTTAAAGTTAGCACATAATAACTGTATGGGGTACAGTGTGATATTTCTATGCATGTGTGCCATGTGGTATGATTAAATCAGAACAATGAACAAATTCATCAGCTTAGACACTAACATTTCTTTTTGTTGGTAACATACAAATTTCTGTCTTCTGGCTACTTGTAAACATAAAATGTGCACTATATTGTTAACAGCAGTCACCCTACTGCACTGTAGATCACTGGAGCACATCCCTCCTATCTGCCTGTAAATTATACGTTTGTTAACAAACCTCTTATTGTCTCTCAGTCTCCTCCCATTCCCGGCGTCTCATAACCACTACTCTATTATTTACTTCTAGAAGATCAACTTTTTAAAATTTCCACATAACACTGAGAAAATGCTGTATTTATTTTTCTGTGTCTGTCTTGTTTCACTCAACATGATGGTGTCCAGTTCCATCCATGTTGCTTCTAACAGCAGAATTTCATTTTTAAGACTGAACAATATTCCATTGTGTAAATATAACACATTTTATTTATCCATTCATCTGTTGATGGACACATATGTTGATTTCATATGTTAGCTATGGTGGATAGTGCTGCAATAAACATGGGTGTACATGTATCTCTTCAATATTAGTTTTTTACTTTAATGATTTAAATAGATACATACTCAGCAGTTGGATTGTGAATTATATGGTAGTTCTATTTTTTCCCATGATGGCTTCACTAATTTCCATTTCCACCAATGGTCTATAAGAGTTTCCCTTTCTATGAATCCTGGCCAGCTCCTGTTTTATTTATTTATTTATTTATTTAGATTTTCTGACTCTCAAGCAAAGATGAAGGATGAAAAGACATCTCATTGTGAATGTGCATTTTCCTGAATATTAGTGTTTTCTAGCGATATATGTATGTATACATACCAATATATCTATTTATCTATCTATCATCTATCTGCCCTTTTTCTTTTCTTCTTTTGAGAAATATGTATTAATGTTATTCCTCCATTATTAGCCACATTATTATTTGCAGTTGGGTTGAGTTTATTTTATATGCTTGATAGTAATCCCTTGTCATATGAATGGTTTTCAATATTGTCTATCTTCTGCAGGTTCCCTCTTAACTCAATTGTTTCCTTCACTGTGAAGGAGCTAAACTCTCTTGATAGAACCTGGACAGGTGGGCTGAGGTCCCAATGCTGTGGGACATTGGAGGGGAAGAGCTTGACCCAATATCCAGAACCAAGTGAGCTTTTACTCACCATGTGGTTTCTGAGTTTATGGTTTGAACAGATGCAGAAGAGTTTGTCATGGCATTCTGGGGGATAAAGAATTTGAAGAGAGAATGACATAATTTATTAGTCAAGTAAATAAAAATGTCATGATTTTCCATATGTTCTTGTGAGTGGGGGTAGCTCAGCAGTGTGTGTTCATCTCCAGAAAAGAGAAAATTATGTCTGCTGTGAAAAGAATGCATAGCTTTTGACATATGTGGTTGTTATATAACAACTGAGCCTGGATATTAGGTCATGTTATAATGCTAGTGGGAAGACTCAGTAGAAGAAAAAGTGTCATAGCAACAAAAAATGAAGCATCAAAGATTTAAATAAAAAGGGTTTTTGAATATCACTAGTAATGAATATGCTGAGAAAAATCAATTACCATAATCAGAATAATAATTCGTGACCGCCCATAGGATTCATGCTGAGATGATATAAAATTTCCATTAAATGGCTCATCACCACCCTCATAAAATGGTTCAGACAAGAAATTCAGAACAGTGTGACCTTACAGCCAGTGGAGGCCAAACCTTTGAGGAGAGGGAGAGTCTGTGTTAGAATTGTGAGAAATAGAAACCTGAACTCTGCGGAGAAGCAACAGTGATCAAAGGCAGTGCCGAGTCCACTTGAGTTTAGTGGTGAACACAGTAAAGATGGGTTTCTCTGCCCTCATTCAGTTTTTGTTCTCGACACTCTCTTGGAAGCTCAGTTGTGAACATTGGGAATCTTCCTAAAACTCAATTACAGCAAAAGCAATTTTTCACTGAAGAAAGAGGTAACAACATGGGGGTAAGTAAATTTGGGTTATAAAAATTAGTTATTGAAACCTCAATGTAAGTCTCTAGTAATTTAAATCATAAAATGTTCAGCCTCATCAATGGAGTCCTCTTATCTTGTCAGAGATGAGTGTCCATGTGGGCACGTCGCGCAGTCATGGAGGCCGGGGAGATGGTCTGTCCAGGCTTTCCTGGTCCTTCAGAGGAGAAGTGCAGAGTCGTCTCCTCTCCTGCTCCCACCTGTTTTCATATCTGTGTGTGACCCTTGAGCATGTCATTTCCATGCGCTTGCATAATAGGAGTCAAATGGGGCATGAAGCTGACATGCTGGGTGTATCATTGTATAATTGGGGAAAGAAACTGCCTGCATACATGAACTCTTGCATTATCCAGGCCTGGAGCCTCTCACATCTACACTTTGCATTTTATTAATGATTTCCTGTGTTGTTTAGTCAGTTAAAATGTTCTTTTTAACTTTCTTCTGAAATAGCTTTACACAATAATCTAGAGGCATAAAGATTATGTCTCACATAATAATCTAGAGGCTTAAAGATTAAAGACAAACTTAAAACTTATTAAAGAATAACTCACCAAGTTCCAGTTGTGGTCATAGTTAGTTTGTGGTGATTGTGAGACAGGGAGAAGCATGGCTGGAAACTATGACTGTGCTCGTAAATGCTTCATGTTAACGGGGAAGACACTGTACACCCAAGAGATTTAGACACTGCCACTGAGAACCTCTACCTAATATTATATGTTATGAATCACACCTCAATAATAAAACTCTAGGTTAATGACAAAATTGCTCTTACTAATATAAGATTTCCTTTAGAACACAGTCCTCTATCTGATGTAAAATCAGCACAGATGGCAGAAGAGATTGCATTTATTAGAAGTGCCAATTTGTTAAACTAGGAAATAAACATGTTTCAGGGCAGTGCATGGGTTCGGGATGCTTTGAAAAAAAAAAAAAAGCATCTCACACATTCTGGAAAACCCACCAAAATGGGCAAGTTAGGGAACGTTTACAGGCACTCCTTTTCCCCAGATTCCTGGCAGATATAAAGGTAGAAGTCAATGCAAAAAGAGGTAACATTGAAGCTAAGAAAACTGCCATACCAGATCATATCCTCAAAAGGTAAAGCTGCTGAGTCACAGATATTATCAAAAATATCAATGCTGAGCCGCTGATCTTAAATAAAAATGAGTGAAAATACATAGTTACCATATTTGCTTAATTTGTGCCAGATCATTTCAAATATGTATTTGTTGCATTTCAACTCTACAATTTATAGAAAAATTGGTTACCAGATTAAATAAACAGTTTGCCACTTGGACACATTTATGTAAACTTTCCTCAATTTCCACACTTAATGGGATATGAATGTATTTTATTTATCATCTATCTGTGTTCTCTGTGTCTTCCAATAATTCCTTGACAAAGGCTACAGCTCTTTCAGTTGATTAAAAGCTTCTATATTTTCTGTTTTTAGCCTGTGACCTGCCAGGTTTTTGCATGAACCGAGTGAAGCACACTCATGAAAGGAACTATTATAAAATGATTCTGTGAGGCAGGGCTGATACTAAAATATGGCATTGTTATAACCTCCCACAGTCTTCCACATAAGTTTAAAAGAATGGTATTCTTACATTAAAATTATCAGTTTTAAGAAACCCTTGAACTCCCTTGTCTACATGTACTCCTACCAGCATTGTGGCATTATGGTCCTCTGTCTCAAGGATGTATCTGTTATTTTCCTATGACTTGGTAGCTGGAAAAATACACACTTGGAAATTTTACCTCCAGTACTAGCCTTTGACCTATTGTATTTGGATGAAGCAGAGCACTCAAAGAGATTCATGTATTATGCTCACTCCTATCAGCAAAAGATTAAAGCTGCCATTCCAGTTGTGTTTTTAACAGCCTTTTACTATCTTTAGCCAGGAAAATTTATACATTGGAAAAAATTTAGAGAAAAACTTCCCTTGAAACACTGGAAGGAAGCTTGTTAGATATTTTTGTCAACACAGCAGTAAAACTCCACGGAGTCAGTCCCAGGGATTATGTTTTATAACGTGAATAAGGAGTTAAAAATTCCACACAATTGGAACGCTACTCCATAGAGGGGATTTTGACCTATTTAATTTATATACCAACCTTCACTTAAAGGCACTCTCCTATGGTTTTCCAAACTTAAGCAAATCTCTGTAACCTGCTGAAGTCTCCTCAGTGCACTTTGTCTCTAGATAGCCACACGTGAAAAAGCAAATTTTGTGTATTTGTGCATGAGTGATCTGGACACACCCTTGGTATTTTAACTGAATTTCATGGAAACATGATTACTGACTGTGAACTCATATTTAATGGCATTCAAAAATGCATCACCCTTGTGATGTGGTGGAAATTGGTGCCTGTGAGAAATATGCTGATGCTTCACTTGAACAAGTTCTAGACCCCTCCCTTGACTTCATGGTTCCTCACTCGGTACAGATGTGTCTATGAGCAAAACCCAACACTGATACAGATATCCAGCACTTTCTCCTGTTGAGAAAATTATTTTTTCTCTTTCTAGGCCTGACTCTCTCTCTCTCCCTCTCTCTCTGTCTTGCCTTTTCATTATGTTTTTTGCCATATCATTCTGAAACCTCCCAACAGTATGCATCATGAATCATGCCAATTTCAAGCCTCAGAAAGAAAAAGGTGCAAACTCATAATTTCCTGAACAAGGTTAGAAAACTTCCTGCATTTCCACCAGATCCATTAGAGACTCCCAATGAGAATCATGGTCAAACATTATTTGTTTCTGGATTATACATCAAAACCGAAACTGCTTTTTTAATGTTTACTCCATTTGTGTTTCCACTATGTGCAAAGTAGTATGAAGATTCCAAAATAAATTAAAAACAGAAATACCTTATGACTTGGCAAATCCTCTTCTGGGTATGTTCTAAAGAAGATAAAACCACCACCACCTCATGAAGGCATGTGCACTCCCATGTTCTTTGCAGCTCTTTCACAATAGCCCAGATGTGAAAGCACCTCAGTGTCTGTAGGTGGACAAATGGATAGAGTAAATGTAATCTATGTATGCGATAGGATATTATTCAGCCATGAAACCCAATATTCTGTCATTTGCTATAATATGAATGGAACTGGAAGTCATTATGTTAAGATAAATAAGCCAAGAAAAGAGAGACAAATATTGCATCTTCTTATTTTACGTCAAAACTAAAATACTGGATCGCCTGAAGATAGAATAGACTGTTGCTTACCAGAATCCTGGATGGATAGAAGAGAGAAGGAGATAAGGAGAGGTTGATTACTGTATACAAATATACATTTATAGAGGAGAAATAAGACCTAAATGTTTGATAGATCAGTAAGGTCACTATAGTTAATAATAATCTAATGCACAACATTAAAATAGTGAAAGGAGTCATTCAAATGTGCTCAGCACAAGGAAAGGGTACATTTTTAATGTGACAGATATGTAAATCTTACACTAATCTTTACACATTTATAAATGTATCAATATATTACATGTTCCCATAAAATAGGTATATCTACTATATGCCAATAAAATAAATAAATAATCTCCATGGCATGATTTTACAAAATGTTTTTAAAAAGCTCCAATTTATATAAAAATATAAAAGACTTCAAATAGCCAAATTAATTTTGGGCATAAATAACAAAGCTGAATATATCATAATCTATAATTTCAAAATCGAATCTATATAAATCAAAATGTTATAATGCTGGCATTTAAACAGACATATAATCCAATGAAACATTAAACACAACCTGGCAACCAACCCATTTCTTCCCAATAAACTGATCTTTGTCAAGTTCCCAAGACACACAGTAGAGAAAGGACAGTCTCTTCAACGAGTGGTGTGAAAAACGGGTATCCATATGCAGAAGAAATAGATAGAACTCACCTCACACAATACACAGAAATCAGCTAAAAATGGATTCAAGAGTTACACAAAGACCTGAATATGTGGTACAAAGGTATCCATGTATGGTTTGGAACAAAATGTGAATTATTACAGCCAGTATGAAAAACAACATGAAGATTACTCAGTGAACTGGACATAGAGCATCCCCACTTCTGAGCATACATCTAGAGAAAATAAACTGAGTGTGACAAATCTATGTCCATTGTGAGATTATTCATAATAGTCTAGATAAGGAAAACGAGTCAATGTCCATCTACGAATGAACAGATAAAATGTGGCTTATACCTACATAAAACTGAGTATTATTCAGCCTTTAAAAACAAAGAAATTCTTATATTTGCAACAAATAGAGAACATTATGCTAAGTGGAATAAGCCAGACACAGAAAGACAAAAGCTGCATGATCTCATTTATATATAGAATTATATATTGAATATTTTATATTCAAGCTCTTGGAAGCAGAGTAGAATAGTAGGTCGCAGGGGCTGGGAGGAGGAAAAAATTGGGTATTGTTGGTCAAAGGGTAAAAACTTCCCGTTATGAAGGTTAATGTGGTTTGGCTCCGTGTTCCGACTCAAATCTCATGCCAGATTGTAGACCCTGCATGTTGAAGGAAGGGCCTAAGATAAAGTGATCAGGTCATGGGATTGTCTTCCTCTTCGCTGTTCTCGTGATAAAGTTCTCAAGAGATCCGATGGTTTAAAAGTGTGGCACCTCCCCGCTCACTTGCTCTCTCTCTCCTGCCACCATGTGAAGAAGGTTCTTGCTTCCCGTTCACCTTCCACCATCATTGTTCGTCCTGATGCCTCCCAATAATGCTTCCCATTTAGCCTGCAGAACTGAGAGTTAACTAAAACTCTTCTCTTCATAAATTACCCAGTCTGAGGTAGTCTTTATAGCAATGTGAAAATGGACTAATACAGAAAACTTGCACCAGGAGTGGGATACTGCTATTAAGATACTTGAAAATGTGGAAGTGACTTTGTAACTGGGTAATGGGCAGAGGTTGGAAAAGCTTGGAGTGCTCACAAGAAGACAGGAAGATGTGGAAAAGTTTGAAACTGCCTAGAGGCTCGTTGAATGGGTTTTATCAAAATGCTGATAGTGATATGGGCAATGAAGTCCAGTCTGAGGTGGTGTCAGATGAAGGTGAAGAACTTATTGTGAACTGGAGTGACGGTCACACTTGCTATGATTTAGCAAAAAGACTAGTGGCATTTTCCCCCTGCCCTAGAGATCGGTGAAATGTTGAGCTACAGAGACATAATTTAAGGTATATCTGGCAGAAGAAATTTCTAAGCACCAAAGCATTGAAGAGTTGACCTGGCTGTTTCTGAAAACAGAAGCCATGTGCATTCATAAAGAGATGGTCTGAAATTGGAACTTATGTTTAAAAGGGAAGCAGAGCATAAAAGTTTGATAAAATATTGCAGCCTGTCCAAGTGGTAGACAAGAAAAACTCATTTTCTGGGGAGAAATTCAAGCTGGCTGCAGAAATTTGCATAAGTAACAAGGACCCCAGTGGGAAAAAATGTCCCCAGGGCATTTCAGAGATCTTTATGGCAGCCCCTCCCATCACAGGTCCAGAAGCCCAGGGGAGAAAAATGGTTTCATTGTCCAAGCCCAGGATGCCACTGCTCTGTGCAGCCTTGGGACATGGCGCCTTGCATCCCTGTCTGTCCTGTGCCAGCCATGGCTAAAAGGGGTCAAGGTCCAGCTCAGGCCATTGCTCCAGAGGGTGCAAGCCCTAAGCTTTGGTTGCTTCCACGTGGTGTTGAGCCTGCTGGTGCACATGAGGCAAGAGTTGAGGTTTGGGAACCTCCTCCTAGATTTCAGATGATGTATGATAATGCCTGGATATCCAGGCAGAAGTCTCATGCAGGGGCTGAGCTCTAATGGAGTACCTCTACTAGGCCAGTGTAGAAGGAAAATATGGTGTTGGATCCCCCACACAGAGTCCCCACTTGGGCACTGTCTAGTGGATCTGTGAGAAGAGGACCACTGTCCTTCAGACCCCAGAATGGTAGAACCACCAGCAGCTTGTATGGTGTGCCTGGAAAAGACATAGCAACTCAATGCCAGCCTATGAAAGCAGCTATGGGGAGTCTAACATGCAGAGCCACAAGGGTGGAGCTTCCCAAGGCCTTGGGAGATCACCTCTTACATCAGCGTGTCCTGGATGTGAGACATGGAGTAAAAGGAAATTTTTTTGGAGCTTTAAGATTTAATGACTGCCCTGCTAGTGTTTGGACTTGCATGGGGCCTGTAGCCCATTTGTAGTGGCCAATTTCTCCCATTTAGAATGGGAACATTTACCCAGTGCATTCATCTCATAGTATCTTGGAAGTAACTAACTTGTTTTTTATTTTACAGGGTTATACATCCAAGAAACTTACCTTGTCTCAGAGGAGACTTTGGACTGTAGAAGTTTGTGTTAATGCTGAATTGAGTGAAAACTGGGAGACTGTTGAGAAGGGATAATTATATTTTGCAATGTGAGAGGGATATGAGATTTGTGAGTGGCCGGGTATAATGATACTGTTTGGCTCAGCGTTTCCATCCAAATCTCATGTCAAATTTTCATCCTCAAGTGTTGTAGGAGGGGTCTGATGAAGAGTGACTGAATCATGGAGGCGGCTTTCCCCTTTGCTCTTCTTGTGTTAGAGTTCTCACAAGATCTCGAGGTTTAAAAGTGCGGCGCATCTCCCCTTGCTCTTTCTCTCTTTCCCCTGCCAGCATGTGAAGACGGTCCTTGCTTCCCCTTCACTTTCCACAATTATCGTAATTTTCCTGATGCCTCCCTATAAGGCTTCCTGCTAAGCCTGCAGAACTGTGAGTCATCTAATTCACTTCTCTTCATGTATTTCCCAGTCTCAGGTAGTTCTCTAAAGTAGTTTGAGAATGGACTGATACACAGGTTGAAGGAGTTCTGGAGATGAAACATACAGCAATGCAACTATACTAATGAATATTATATTATAAACTTATCTGTTTCCAGAAGAGTAGATCTTAGGTGTTTTTATCACAGACTCACAATAAATTAAAGGCATAAAATGATATTCTCTGAGATGATAGGCATGCCAATTACCTTGATCACGATGAACATGTGCCCAAGTATATCAATACCTTAAGTGGTGTACCTTAAATACATACAATTTTGTTTGTCAGTTATAGCTCCTTAAAGCTGAAAAGTTATAATGCATACTTATATTTCTACATATTTTATCAATAAAAATGGGAGAATATAAGCAAAAGAACTTGTACGACGATATTTATAACAGGTTTGTTTACAATATTTATTTTGGAAACAAATTTAAATTCCATCAACAGGAAAATAGATATATGTACTGACACTTATTCACTTAATGAACTGATTTCCTTACTTAATAAACTGTCGTTTATTAACGTAATGGACTGATTGAGATATGAAATAGCTAGATGTGCATGAGTACATACATATGTATATATATGATGACAAAACCTAGATAGATGCAAATACATGAATGAACCTCACAAATACCAAAAGTAGCCCCTTACAAAAAATGAACTATAATATTGATTCCATTTATGTGATGCTCAAAACAGGAAAAAATGGACCTATAGTGACAGAAACCAGAACATTTTTCTATTTGCATTCCTCTGATGATTAGTGATGCTAAATATTTTTAAAATACATTTGCTGGCCACTTGTATATATTCTTTTGAGAAGTGTCTGTTTGTGTTATTTTCCCAGGTATCAGTCTGTTTTCAAACTGCTAGTAAGGACATACTGAAATCTGGGAACAAAAACAGGTTTCATTGGAATTACAGTTCTGCATGGCTGGGAGGACCTCAGAATCATGGTGGGAGGTGAAAGGCACTCTTTACATGGTGGTGGCAAGAGGAAATGAGGAAGAAGCAAAAGCGGGAACATCTGATAAACCCATCAGATCTCATGAGAGTTATTCACTATCACGAGAATTGCATGAGAAAGACTGGCCCCCATGATTCAATTACTTCCCCCTAGATCCTTCCTACAACATGTAGGAATTCTGGGATATAAAATGCAAATTGAGATTTTGGTGGGGACACAGCCAAACCATATCAGCCCATTTTTAAAGGGGTTATTTGTGTTTTGCCTCTGATTTGTTTAAGTTCCCTATAGATTCTGGATATTAGTGCTATGTTGGATGCAATGTTTGTGAATATCTTCTCACATTTTGCAGGTTGTCTGCTTATCTGCTGAAGTTTTGGTTGCTTGTGTGTTTGTTTTGCTGTGCAGTAACTCCTTAATTAATTAGGTCCCACTTGCCTATTTTTGTTTTTCTTGAAATTGCTTTTGGATACTTAGCCAAAAATTCTTTGTCAAAGCTGGTGTCAAGAAGAGTATTTCCTAGGTTGTCTTAAAAGATTTTTATGGTTTGTGGTCTTACATTTAAAATTGTGGTCAATTTTGAGTTAATTTTATGTGTGTTGAAAGTAGACGTCCAGCTTCAATCTTCATCATACGGATAGCCAGTTGCCCCAGCACCATTTATTGAACAGGGAGTCCCTTCCTCATTGCTTGTTTTTGTCAGTCTTATCAAAGATGAGATGACTGTAGGTGAGAAGCCACACACCACTCAGAATGGCTATCACTAAAAAGTCGAAAAACGATGGATGCTGGTGGGGCTGTGGAGAAAACAGAACACTTATACACTGTTGATTGGAATATGAATTAGTCTTACCACTTTGAGAACCAGACTGGAGATTTCTCAAAGAACTTAAAACAGAGATATCATTTTACCCAGCAATCCCACTACTGGGTGTACACTAAAAAGTAAGCAAACAATTCTACCAAAAAGACACATGCACATCTATGTTCATTGCTGTGCTATCCATAGTGGCAAAGACAACCCAGATACACACCAATGGTAGACTGAATATACAAAATGTGTTACATCTACAATATATAACACTACACAGCCATGAAAAATAATATAGTCATGTCCTTTCCAGCAAAATGATTGGAGCTGGGGGCCTGAAACCTAAATAAATCAATGCAGGAGTAGAAAACCGAATACCACATAATCTAAGTGGGACCTCAGCATTGAGCATTCATGGACATAAATGTGCGAATGATAGACACTGTGGACTGCTGGAGAGTGGAGGGAGGGGGTGATGGAATCTGGATTCCAAACCTCAGCATCACTCAATAATCCCATGTGACAAGTCCACACATATGCCCTCTGTATCTGAATGAAAACTTGAAATTAAATAAAAATCCTTATGTGAGAGCTGACTGGAAGCACCAAAGAGGACACTTGTTGTGGAGATTGACCTGCTCCTCATCCTAACTTAGGTGCTGGAGACAAATGTGTGCACATATGTCAGACACCTGAAACTGTACATTGAAGATGTATGCAATTTTGTATACATTAATTTTATCTCATAAAAATAGAAAAGACAATTGTAAGAAAATATTTTATATCAAAATCAAAATCTTAATGAAATGGATATGAAAATTCAAATATAAAATGTGAGATTATTACAATAATTATTAAAATACCTTCAGCTATATCTACTAGAATAAAATCCCAGAAACAAGAAAGATAAAAGTGACATCTTAAAATGAAAAATTAATAAACACACATTTCACAAATAAGTAAAACATGGCTAAAAATATGTGGAACATTTTATATTATTAGTCATACAAAGTTATTCAGCTGAAGTTGCTTATCAGCTTAAGGAGATTTTGGGCTGAGACTATGGGGTTTTCTATATATACAATCATGTCATCTGCAAACAGGGACAATTTGACTTCCTCTTTTCCTAATTGAATACCCTTTATTTCTTTCTCTTGCCTGATTGCCCTGGACAGAACTTCCAATGCTATGTTGAATAGGAGTGGTGAGAGAGGGCATCCCTGTCTTGTGCCAGTTTTCAAAGAGAATTCTTCCAGTTTTTGCCCATTCAGTATTATATTGGCTGTGGGTTTGTCATAAATAGCTCTTATTATCTTTAGGTACATCCCATCAATACCTAATTTATTGAGAGTTTTTAGCATGAAGTGTTGTTGAATTTTGTCAAAGGCCTTTTCTACATCTATTGAGATAATCATGTGGTTTTTGTCGTTGGTTCTGTTTATATGCTGGATTACGTTTATTGGTTTGCGTATGTTGAACCAGCCTTGCATTCCAGGGATGAAGCCCACTTGATCATGGTGGATAAGCTTTTTGATGTGCTGCTGGATTCAGTTTGCCAGTATTTTATTGAGGATTTTTGCATTGATGTTCATCAGGGATATTGGTCTAAAATTCTCTTTTTTTGTTTTGTCTCTGCCAGGCTTCGGTATCACGATGATGCTGGCCTCATAAAATGAGTTAGGGAGGATTCCCTCTTTTTCTATTGATTGGAATAGTTTCAGAAGGAATGGTACCAGCTCCTCCTTGTACCTCTGGTAGAATTCGGCTGTGAATCCGTCTTGTCCTGGACTTTTTTTGGTTGGTTAGTTACTAATTATTGCCTCAATTTCAAAGCCTATTATTGGTCTATGCAGAGATTCAAATTCTTCCTGGTTTAGTCTTGGGAGGGTGTATGTGTCCAGGAATTTATCCATTTCTTCTAGATTTTGTAGTTTATTTGCATAGAGGTGTTTATAGTATTCTCTGATGGTAGTTTGTATTTCTGTGGGATCGGTGGTGATATCCCCTTTATCATTTTTTATTATGTCTATTTGATTCTTCTCTCTTTTCTTCGTTAGTCTTGCTAGTGGTCTATCAAGTTTGTTGATCTTTTCAAAAAAACAGCTCCTGGACTCATTGATTTTTTGAAGGATTTTTTGTGTCTCTATCTCCTTCAGTTCTGCTCTGATCTTAGTTATTTCTTGCCTTCTGCTAGCTTTTGAATGTGTTTGCACTTGCTTTTTTAGTTCTTTTAATTGTGATGTTAGGGTGTCAATTTTAGATCTTTCCTTTGAATAAAGTAGGAAAATATAAAAAAAATAAAAAATGGAAATAGACATTTTTAAATAGAAATTATAAAAAACTTCCTTGGCCACGTGTTCTCCTGCTAGCATGTGTGGCATCACATTTCACTCCTTGGGGCACGTCAGTTATTAGCCTATGAATTGTATCTGGGAGGCCCATACATTCAGAGATTTGACTCTCATCACTCACCTTTTTCCTGCTGCATGCATGTGTTACAAAATATAGAAAGTGATTCCTGTATTATATACACTCGAATCACCAACAGTTTACGGCTGCCTTTTTACTGTATCTTTTTAACAGTTTCTTGTGAACTTCAACCAGAAAATCATTTCTATTGGAAGAAACATTAGGGAAAAACACTGCTCTTCAGCCACATTGGAAGGAATCTTATAAGGTACTTTTAACCACAGCACTGCAGAAAAAATCCAGGGAATCAATTATTGGATTCATACTTTATAACAAAAAAATCAGTGCAGACTACTGGATGAGGTGGCTTACACTTGTAATCCCAACACTTTGATGGGCCAAGCCTGGAGAATTGCATGAGACCAGGTGTTCAAAAGCAGGTTGGGCAACATAGAGAGACCCTGTTTCTATGAAAAAATGAATAAAAAGGAATCAGCCAGGTGTAGATGAAGGGCCCTCTAGACCTAGCTACTTGCTACTCAGGAGGCTGAGGTGGAAGGATTCTATGAGCCAGGAATTTAAAATCAGAGAGCTATGATCACACCACTGCAGTCCAACCTGTGCTACAGAGTGAGAACTCATCTTAAAAAAAAGAATTAAGAATTTTACACAATTGTAAAGCTACTCAAATAGAGGAAGTTAAACTGTGCATCCTCACATATCCTCTGGAACTTCTGATATTTTGAAGAAGACAGGTGACCTAAGACCTTCAGAATAAGCTGATGATCTCGAATCATGAAAAGCTTCCACACAAGATATTGGACCAGAATCCTTCTCATATCCTCCTTCTACTCATTATTCTTTGCTTATAAACAGTCTTCTCATTTTCTGCAGACCTGGTTGTTGTCCACCCATATTGGAATCTTGTCTCTTTTCTTCCTCATTATTTTTATACTTGCTATTTAGAGTAAGTCATCAGGTTCTATTTTTATGCCTGATTGCTAATAGCATAAGGCTCTTTCCTCCATCATCTCTCTTTCTTTTAAAGCACACAGGATAAATCTAGTTAGAAATCACAGGAGCTCCCTTATTTGATGCCAAATTGACCTTGAAACCCCACAAAACCCTTCCTGCCAGTAGGATGCCCACACCACAAAATCATGATAACAACCCTGAGCCAGTCTCCTTCCCTGCTTTATCAAGCCACTTTGGACCTTAATGAGAGACCTGCCCTGCTCTCAGCAGACACCTTAAGGATGCAGGTAACTATCCTTACCATACTCACTTGGTGTGAGTGTGTGGCATAATCAGACTCAACATCCACAGAAAATTTTAGTTGAGATCTCTTGGCATTTGCATGGTGTCAGCTACAATGGATGCTGGGAGCTTGGTGTCATGGCTCCTTCCAAAGGACATGCCTGCTCCCTGAGTTAACTCCAGGACGCAGTTGGACATGCCTCCTGGGGTTTGAGAAGCTCCTTTCATGAACTGTAATCCTGTCATTATGTTTTTGTATTCTAGTGTCTCCCTAAAAGTAGAGCGAGACCCAGGGTTCATTCATGTGTGTATTCAGGAGTCTCTGACTTTTACGTATTTTATTAATCTCTCTCTAGCACCTTTTCTAACAAATTATACATTTTAAAATTTGCAATGTTTTAATGAGGTGAAATTAGCAAATAATAATCTTTACGTAAAGTGGACAATTTTACAAATATTGACATAATCCTCACTTTTACTAACACAGAAAAAAATCAGTTACCCTAGAAATTTCCTTTTGCTCTTCTGTAGTTTCTCTTTTCCACACCTTCTCTTCTTGTACCACATCCACAGTCAACTACAGACCTTTTTATTTAAGTTCATTTTTACTTCAGAGAAATTATAGAAGTGGAATTGTATGTATGCACTTTTATTTGTTTGACTTATTTTACTTATTCAGGTACTTGTTATTTTAAGCATGGTGTTGAGTGTATCCAACAGTACTTGATTGTAACAGTGGGTATTATTCCAGTAAATGAATTTTCCACAACTTGTTGACCTCTTAAGCTGCTGACTAACACCTGGATTACTTTTGCTCTCTGGTTGTAATAAACAAAGCTGCTACTTAACTTAGAGAAGTGCCCAGCTGAGAAACACATGGTTCTTATTTTCACCACAACATAAATGGGAGGCAAAGCAGAAAAGCTGCATATTAATCAGTTTGCTTCAATACATCAGATAATTAAAGTTGGGAAGCTCTGTGTGTGTGTCAGTTCATGTGTGTTTGTGTGACAGAGAGAGAAGGGAGGAGGAGAGACCAAGAAAAAGGGAAACCTTACATGTTTGGACTGTAATGTTTGAGGTACTCAAGTGAATACAGGGACTTATTGCTTGATGGACAAGGGCCACATGAGATGGCGAGGACCACTCAATGCACCTTCATATGGGTATATATTAGTATTTACATAAATGCCATTTTATAATCATATAAACACTCAGATACATTAGAAGAGATGTAGTGGAGGGTGTCTGTTGGTGAAATATGATGACGAAAACAACCCACATCTACAGCCCCTTTTCTGCCCTCTTGCACCTGTCCCAATGCTGAGCCTTGATCCTGCTCATCCTGATCCCCGACAATTATCCTAAGTCCCCATGCTGCCCCGAGTGCCCCCTGCTGGTCCTATGCACCCCTGCAGGGAGATTTGTGTCTAGGCTCATAATGAAGTCCCCTCATTGTGTCTTTTGCTTAAAAATGCGTAGTTGTGTGTTCACTGGGCACAGAGCTCAGCTGTAAGAACTGTTTCTTGGATCTGGATATGGACTCTTGAGAAGTGGTTGTAATTTGTCCTCCCTTCACAACCCATGCACCTGATCCACTCCTGTCCATCTAGGGGCAAGCAGATATAATTTAGCAGGAAGCACTGGTTATGATGGGGAATCCAGAGACAGTGCAAGTGAGGGAGAGGGTCTGCAAGGACGTCTCAAGCCAGAAGTGTGCTGAGAAACATAGTTGTTGATGTTAACAGGTTCTGGGCAACACAGTGAAATTCCCAAAACCACACATTTTTATGAGAATAAAGAGCTCACTTTGTCCAATTTGTGAGTCTCCTAGAACAATTCAGTAGATTTCGAGGTTAGGTTAAAAAGTATTATCAGATGTTCCTTTCCTCAAACTTGTAACCAAATAAAAAAGAGAAACTGCCGTTAGAAAAATGAACCTTGAATTGTTACCATGGTGTGTGATAACGATGATTTTTAGAATATGATTGACCTGTGATAACCTGAAGACTGTCCTAATTCCGAGCCACAATTAGACCTGAGCAGCAATCACAGGGAGTGAAACACCTGACTCAGTGAAGCTGCACCTGGGGGTCTCCGCAGGCCCTGAGTGGTACAGGAACAGCTCCTCCCTCAGACTCAGTCTAAGGAGAACTTCTGCTCTTTATCTGGGGAGGTGAGGGTGAGTGCGTGGAAAGTACCAAACTTGCTCTAATCAAGATCTCTGCACATGGGGAGAACCAAAGTATACGAGAAACAACTGGTTTCAGTTTAGGTCGAACAATTTCTCATGAGAAGGGCAGTACCATGTCTGGATCCTGCACAGAATTCAGAAACAATGAATTTGGGCTAAAGCTGAAAATTACAATTGTTTGCAGATTGTGTTATTAATTATCTATGTCATCTGAGAAAATGAAGTAAAATCATGGTTTTCATACAAAAATCCAGTGTGCTGGCCCTGAGAATCCACCTCTAATCCCTCCAACATCAGGGAGCCCAATAGACCAGGCAGCCAGCTGCTGCACTACACTCTAACACCCATCACCTGTGTGTGCCAAAGACACCCATCCTGGGAGCTCCTCCCAGACTATGGCTGTGCACAATAGAGATACTGAGGCATGGCTGCTGCTGGGACATATGGGAGGTCCCTGATGGCACCAATGGCCTCGCTGGAGTTAGCTTGGACCACAAGATAGGTAGGAAGCTCCATTGAACTCCCACTATTCTCCAGTGCTAGTTGTGAGACTGGCATTGTGGGTTGGCAGTGTCTACAGCCTCATCCAACTGCCTGTGCATTTTTACACCTCCAATACTTACATCGGTTTTTGGGACATATAAGAATGTTTCCTCTTTCAAATTAAAGTTTTGTAATCCAGGGACCTCATGGTAGGCACAGAAACATAAAAGTGCAGAGGATTCGAGGGCACCTGCTATATGCAGAGGAAGGCACAGATCCTGAAGGACAGCAGCCCTTGACTGCTTTTCTGTACCTGCCCTAGGCCTCCACCCGTTTTGTGAGTGCTGAGTGTCCCCTTCGGCCCAGACTCCTTTCTTCTTTCTTCTTTCAAAATTTCCAGACACAGGAAATTTTGTGTCTGGACTCACACCTATGTTTCCTCACTTGGAACCTTATGTACAGCCATGCATGGCCATGTCCTCAGGTTCTCAGACAGTTCATTTGCAGATACAGCGAGTTCTTAGCATTGTCTTTGGAGATGGTGAATCTGCGCTTCACAGAGTCTGCATGTTATATCTGACTTCCATCATATTTTATATCTATTACTCACTCCAGCCCCTTCCCTGGAGTCTTGTTGACCCAGCTCATTCAGTAGCTACTGAAGGTGAATCCAGAGGCTAAACAGGAGAGTCTCAGGAACTTCCCAGATTGTCTCAGGTCCTCTATGGACTCAATCAGCTGCACCTCACACTGAACACCTGAAAATGCATGGACATCCTGGTCAGAAACTGCCGAACATATCCACTGTTTCTCTGACTCATATCCACTCACTCTAGTTGTCTATGAGTCACCTTTTTAAATACAAACAAGAAAAAATCAGCTTAACTCACACCCCATAGTGAGTCCTCTGTGTTCAATCCTGATCACCAAAATGGAAACCCCTGGGAATCCCAGGGCTGTGGCTCTTCTCCCAGAGCTGCAGGGTTGGGTCTGGGATTGTTTTCACCAGGAGAGGGAGTGTCCTGTTTTCATGCCTCCTCGTCTATAGTAAGCTCCAGTGTGGGATGCCTGAGAAGAAGGCAGTGCCCAGAGGAGATATGAGACTCCTGGAGGAGCAGAATTGAACAAGTGGAACTAGATTAACAAAAAAAGATTCTGCAAAGCAACGAAATAATTCCAGCTCACAGAATTGGATAATATACCATGTATCTGGAGGAGTTAGTGGAATGGCAGCGTTTGGGAAAATATGATTATTCATAATGTGACTGTGCCATGAAACTCACTAGGCAATTACTATTTTATTTTTTACACATGTGTACAAATACAAATATAAATGCATTAAGCAAACTTTAATATATATATGCATATATAGAGAAATAGAAAACAATATAAAAATATGGGAAAACCTTAATACCTCACTTAACAATAATGTATAGCAAATTCAGAAAGAGAATTGTTAACAAGCCTCTGAACTTGAACAACACTGTTGAACAAATTTTCCTGAAAGACATTTACAGAACCTTCCAACCAAGAGCCATGTAATACACATCCTTCTCAAGCACCCATTGAACATTCTCCGTGATAGGTTATATGTTAAATCATAAAATGAGTCTTAACATTTAAAGAAGTAATGGCAACCCTTCCGTAACTCTTTCAAAAATTGGTGAGGAGTCCACCTTCCAAACTCTTTTTTTTATATATAGTAAATAAACTTTATCTGTTTCTCAGAGATGACACTGCCAACAGTCACAGATTTGCATACAATACTGTTATGTATTGGCTATTTACAATTTACAGTAGTGTTTTTTCCTCTGAAAAATATAAGCACAAAAGCTAAATAAACAATGACTTACTGCCATTTGGGATGTATTACATGCCATAGCGTAAATAACTGGTCTGCAGCAAATATTCAACAAATCAACCTGAATAAAATAGTCGGTTAGGGATTTAGTACATGGCACAGCTTAAAGAACTGGCCTTTAGCAAATATTCAACAAATCAACCTTAATACAATAGTCAATTAAGTGATTTATTATTTCTAATTCATTAGAAAAAATCCACTAAGTTTCACCTCAAAATGTATTGCACAATCTTTATGAAAAAAATCACCCTAAAAATAATTAGGAAAGGTAAGCAGTTCTTTAAAAAGCATGGAAGAAAGGAATATTATGTAAGCCCTTTAAGCAGGTTAAGTCATTCAAAATATCTTTTAAAATACATAAAACTATTCCCAACAGAAAACTGAAGAAAAAAACTATCACCGTTTCTCCACTGATAAAATCTATTTTAAAGGCAGTCTGCAACAAACCCTCCAAACTCTTTCTATGAGGCTACCGTTACAGTATTACCAGTAATAGACAAAGGAACCACAATTAAATAAAACCATAGATCAATATCATTAATAGACATAAATTAACCGTCCAACAACAGTAAAATAAATTCTAAAGATTTTATAGAAGACCATACACCATGACCAACTCAAATTTCTTCCTGAGATGCACAGATGATTCAACATTCTCAAATCAATCAATTTGGTACACCACATTAAAAAACTAAAGAAAAAATATCTCAGTAACATTTCATCAGACACAAAAACATTTGAAAAAAAATTCAGAGTTTCATTATAAAAACTCTGAACAAAGTATGAAGACAAGCAAACAACTTGTACATAATAAAAGCCATTAAGAAAAGTCTCAGCTATTGTTATACTCAATAGTAAAAGGTTAGAATATTTTGGTCTAATATCTGAAACAAGGCAAGAAGAAAGCTTGAGGTATTTCACTTCCAGGCCTCAACATTTATTAGAAACACAGAGTAATAAATCAGAATGGTATTGGCATAAATGCATACAGGGCTGAGATATAAACCCACATACTGATGGCCAGCTGATTTTCAGCATGAGAACAATCGATATACAATTGCTAAATTATAGTGACTTCCAAAGAGCAGGTTATGAAAATTGGATTTTCACATGCAAAGAATTAAGAATTTTAGGTTAGAATAAACAAAAAAAATTAACTCTAAATGAATTCAATATTTAAATGAAATACCTGCAATTGTAAAACTCCCAACCCTCAAAAAATTAGCAATCTTTTTCTGGCTTTTACATTCAAAGGACATAAAAAAAAAAACAGAATTGGACAAGTGGGACTAGATTTAAAAAAGGATTCTGCAAAGCAACGAAATAATTCCAACTCACAGAATTGGATAATATACCATGTATCTAAAGAAGTGTTAACATCCAAAACGTAAATGAAACTTCTACAACTCGATAAAATAAAAATAGCGTAATTTAAAAATAATCGGTTTTACACCTTTAACAATATAAGAACCTAGAACTCATGTTAAATGTTTTTCTACATGGGTAATGGTCTGTCTTATGGTGTACTTGGCTGGCCAATACTTTGTAGTTATTTGACCAAACACTAATCCAGGTGGTAGTGTGGATTTTTAATAGACTTTATTAAAACTGTAATCAGTTGACTCTATGATAGGTAGATTATCTTTGATAACCAGCTTGGCCTTGATTCCATCAGAACAGATCTGGAGAAGGTAAAACTCCATGGTGATTAAGGACCTTGAGCTCTTTCTAAGACATCCAGCCTGCATTTACTGATGGCCGGCCCTGAGAGTATTGGATGTTTCCAGCCACCCCCAAAAATTGTCATTCCCTACATCTCACAGGAAAGTGGTCTGCATCTTGTCAAACCTAAATATCAGACAGAAAGAGATTCTCCAAAATCAAATCGTATTTATTTGAAAATGAGCATTGCAATGGGATTATCCATGGTCACATTTAGGTTGGTAAAGGAAGACAAGTATTCTAAAGGATAAATGAGAAGATTACATGAGCTATTTTGAGACAATTATCCTGGGGTAGAAGAATCAATAACAAGGGTAGAATCAGTTTAAGGCTGAACAGGGAGTTGCAGGGCAGATATCCCCACAGTATTAATTCTCTTATTGTTGTGGTAGCCTTTGTTCAAGGTTGTGGTTGTGCAGAGTATTTTTAGGGTAGTTCTTGTTATCAGGGATGTGTGCATGAGAACCCTCTATTCATGACCTCCTCCAGCTTCACCTGTAAAGATTATAACACACGTGGCTCCATTTTTATTCTGACAACGTTCACACCCACTTCCTCCTCCACTAGTGAAGAACGTTACTGTGTGAAGGTTTTTCAGAACAGGATTAGAAACACATCCACATCCCACGTTAACCAAACAAGCTTGTCCCCTGTGTTCTCACTGGCAACTTGTATTTCGACATGAGTCTCCATGCAACACAGTGGAGGGTCCTGAGTGACGAGGAGTGAAGAAAGTCCCACCAGCCTCTCCCACGTGACTGCAGCAGCCACAGCCTGAGACCCACCTGAGCTCCAGGAAAAGGGCTTGAGGCCTGGAATTTTGACCACAGCAAAAACATCTTTGTTTCTCAGAAAGCAGGAAAAGCAAATGGAAAAATGAGAACAACAACTAAAAAAGAAAGTAAATGAATCAGGAACAAAAGAAGCACCAGATCAGTGCTGATGCTGATTTGCATACTTCGGTGTCAGGAGAAGGGTCCCACAAGAAAGCTGTGAGGTTCTACATGACACTGACCCTGGCCCAGCCTCTCTTTTTTCTGTAATCAGAATCCCCAAAGACTGTTCTTGCTGGGATTCATTCAGGATGGTGGCAGAAATATTAAAGGGAAATATTAACGAAAGTTATAGGAAATAGTCACAAACTTTTTTGGAAGGCCGGAAGTTTACATAGCTTGCAATAACTGAACAGGCTGAAGATGGCCGGTTCTTACCTTAGAGCATTAGGTTGTAGGGTAAATACTAGGGACAACAGAGGCTTCCCCAGTTAAGTCTGGTTACCCTACCCCATTAACTAACCTTTAAGCCAGAAGACCCTCTCAGCGGGAGGTCGACCAAGAATATTGCCCCCTAATGGTATTTACTTCAGACCACAGTCCCTGAGCTTTACTCATTCGTAGAACTACTCTCTTAACCATGTTAATTATCCACAAGTGTGTTGACTCAGAGCTTCTGTTGTTAATTCTATACTAAATACACGCCTGGAGTGCGAGCTGCTCAGGGCCACTGCTGCCATTCTTTACAGGATTCTTCTTGGAGTCTGTAAGTGGCCTCGGACCCTCAGCTGCACTGGAAAAACAGAGTATCTGTGTGTCAGTGTACATTTTATTCATACACCACCGAATCAGGGGTCTGCAGGAACAGACCCCCCGGAGCTAGAGCTCTCTTGTGAGGAGCAATACCTCAGTTCTAGTCAGGAATCTTTCTGAGGTTCCTGTCCTGAATTTGATTGGAGAAGACTCACCAGGAAGCCCCTAGTTTCCTCAGAACTCTGATCATGGTGACCATGGTTGAGGAGTTTTCATCTCCTCTGTAAGGATCAATCCGCATTTTGTACACAGGAGAATAGGTTTTCATATTAAAATAATCATTTTAAAAAATATGTACAGATGACATTAGTAAGCACAGAGTTCTGAACTTAGAGAGGTTCACTAGAGAAACTGTAAAGAGATGAAGTCCCACATCGTGACAGGAAATCAGCCTCCTTGTGCACCTGCCTCTGAGGTTGACGCTGATCAGTGGGTCCTGAGCGCCCACTGCAGCTGTTTTTCTCCAGCGTTCCTGCAGGGAGGTTTGTGTCTGGGCTCACACTGACTTCCCCTCACTGTGTCTTTCACACAGTAATACACAGCCGTGTCCTCAGCTCTCAGACTGCTCATTTGAAGATACAGCGTGTTCTTGGAATTGTCTCTGGAGATGGTGAATCTGCCCTTCACGGAGTCTGCGTAGTATGTGCTACCCCCATTACTACTAATAGCTGAAACATATTCCAGTCCCTTCCCTGGAGCCTGGCGGACCCAGTGCATAGCATAGCTACTGAAGGTGAATCCAGAGGCTGAACAGGAGAGTCTCAGGGACCCCCCAGGCTGGACCAAGCCTCCCCCAGACTCCACCAGCTGCACCTCACACTGGACATCTGCAAACAAAGAGACACCAAGGTCAGAAACTGCCACACATATCCACTGTTTCTCTCACTCACGTCCACTCACACTATCTCTAGTTCTCCATGAATTACCTTTTAAAATGGCAACAAGGAGAACCCAGCTCAGCCAGAACTCCATGATGAGTCTTCTGTCTTCAGTGCTGATCACTGAATGGAAACACCTGGGAATCCCGGGCCTGGGGCTCCTCTCCCAGAGCTGCGGAGTCAGGGCTGGGCTGGTTTTCATCAGGAGAAGGAGGGACCTATTTGCATGTCTCCTACTATATAGCAAGCTCTGGGGTGGGACGCCTGAGGAGAGGGCAGGGCCCAGGGCAGATGAGAGTGTCCTTGGGGATTTCGATGACAATGATTGTATTTGGGAAAATGCTGACTTATTGTGAAATTGTTCCATGATAAACATTTAATAACTATCACATTTTTAATTATGTTTACCTATGTGTATAAATTATGTTATTTAGGAATCAGTGGTTTCTTCATGTACAGACGTAAAAGTGAACCCACACATGGAGGGGCTATGTATGTGTCTAAGGGCTTATATCTGGCATGAGTGAGTCCTAGTACCTGGGCCTATGCTCCTCACAACTGGCCTCAGTTGCTCTGAACCAACTACAGGACAGAGATAAACGGGCCAAGTGTGGTTTGCAGAATCCACTTCCTGTCACGAGAACCTGTCTGATTTTGCTGTGTTTACTTACAAATGTGGAGACAAGATTCAGGTAGATAAATATTTAGGTATATCTGACATTTAACATATTTATTTGTTCCTTGCTGTATTTCCTATTTTGTCTAAAATGTCAATTGTTTACTTGTAATAAATTTCATACGTTTTAATTGACAGATAACAAAATTCACATATTTAACCTGTACAATAGTAAACATTGAAAAAAAATCTCTATTTTCAAGAAGGTGACAAGTCAACTTCCCTCAGGATTCCTCTTGCTCTCTTATTTTTTTTGTTTTTTCTCCTTCCTTTCTTCTACCATTTCTTTATAAAACTACTGATGTTTTCATATTTCTTTCAACTAGCTTTTATTTTCTAGAATTTATAAGAATGAAGTAATATAGTATATATCTTAACTATTTGGCTTATTTTTCTCAATAGAAATGCTGAGAGTTAAACCTTTTTGTTGTGTGTGTTTATATTTTATAAATGGGTAGCATTTCAGCAAACAAATGTAGCATAATTTCTTTTTCTATTAAGCTGATAATTGATCCTGGAATTTTTTATTACTCTAGATCTTATTAATAATTCTGCTACTCAGCTTCATAATGTACATAAATTATAAATTATACATAAATTATATAAATATATTTCCCTTTATAAAAACAATAACAGATTAAACAAGAGAATGTGTAGTTTGGCAAATTTTCTTTAATATTTCAGATAATACAAGTTATAAGATAAAAAATAAACCTGTAAACCAAAGAGTATCTGAGACTAATCTCAATAGATTTAGGAAGTTCATTTTCCAAGATTAAGGACATGCCTGTGACACCACCTCAGGGAGTCCTGACGACATGTGCCCAAGGTTGTGGGGCACAGCTTGGTTTTATACAATTTAGAGAGACATGGGACATTAATTAATATATGTAAGATGTACATTGGTTTGGTTCAGAAAGGCAGGACAACTCGAAGTGGGGAGAGAGCTTCAAGATCATAGGTAGATATGAGACAAATGGTTGCATTCTTTTGAGTTTCTGATTAGCCATTAACTGAATGCACAATTTACAGGAATAGTCACGTAGGCCTATTTTTCACGCAGCGAAACAATAGAGCAAAGGTAGCAATCAGATATGCATTTGACTTACGTGAGCAGAGAAATTATTCTGTCTGTCCTTGGTTCATAAGGATTTTCCTTGTGGTCAAATCGGGAAGGAGGTATGCAGCTTTTAAAAACCTTAGTAGCTATCATTTTAGGGAAAGAATGGGAGGTGGGTTTGCCCCAGTTTTCAGCTTCACTTTCACATTTGGCTTAGTGATTTGGGGGTCCCAAAGGTATATTTTCCTTTCACGAACACGGAAATCTTGGGAGAAACAAGTTCTTGTTTCTCCAAGAGAGAAACAAAGCCATGGTGTTAACTAAACTGAGGCAGAGGCTGCCATATGAAATATAGCCTATTACAAGATAAAGACAAATACGTGTTGGATTGCTTAAATTCCAGTGTGGAAAACGTGTTGTCGTGTGAAATTCTCAGGAACCACATACTGAAGGGCACTGAAAAAGTGAATTAAATATGGCCTGAGAAGGACTCCGTACTTCTATGATTGAGTCCTTGTGGACAAACCGTAACCTACCTGAATGTGTGGACAAGATTGAAACCCTAATTTAGGAGTATGCACCTGTAACAATAGCTGAGCCTTGGTCAATTCCAGTAGCCATACCTTAACCACTCATACACCCTTGAGTGTTCAGACTGTGTTTAAATAAGACAAACACCAACCTGTAACCAATCCAGTCATTCCTGTACCTCACTTCTAATTTCTGTACATCATTTTTTTTTCATCTATAAATCTTCTTCCACCATGTGGCTACATTCAAGCCTCTTCGAATCTATTCTGGGGGCTGCCTGATTCATGAATCATCCATTACTCAATTAAACTCTTTTAAATTTAATTTGCCTGAAGGTTTTCTTTGATCAGCATTCCTATCCTAGTGAATCCCTTTACCCTAGAATGGGGACAGTGAGAAAAATCTTTATTTCCCAAAGTGTCTTTCTAAGACAGAGGGAGGCCACATACTTCTAAAATGCATTCAGACACAATCCCTCCTTAGCACTATAGAAATAAGGAATTATCTACCCTGCAGGGGCAAGCCACTGAAACCATTATTCCAGAGGTACTGATGGAGCCCTAAAGGACATGGGATAAAAACCGAGGTTCTCATCAAAGTTCCATCAAGTTGCACCTCCACTCTGTCATGGAATAAAATCCTTAATCTGCAGGGCATGGCAGCAGATCTAGAAGGTGATTGATTGTAACAGTGGAGAATATTGAAGCTGTAGAAGGGAACAACTGGTACAAAAATATCATTATCTGAGTTAGAATCTGATGATATAAAATTATTATTGCAAACCTTGTGGTAGCCAACAAAACATTAATAAAAATAAATTAAGTCATAAGTAAGTTAATAGGATAAACTTTACAATAAAATGCCAAAATAAAGCAAGAATTAACAGGCTGGGCACAGTGGCTCACGCCTGTAATCCCAGCACTTTGGGAGGCCGAGGCAGGCGGATCACCTGAGGTCAGGAGTTCGAGACCAGACTGACCAACATGGAGAAACCCTGTTTCTATTAAAAATACAAAATTTGCTGTGCATGGTGGTGCATGCCTGTAATCCCAACTACTTGGGAGGCTGAGGCAGGAGAATCGCTTGAGCCCAGGAGGCAGAGGTTGCAGTAAGCTGAGATCTCACCATTGCACTCCAGCCTGGGCAATGATAGCGAGATTCCATCTCAAAAAAAAAAAAATTAACCGGAAAAAGAGATAAAAGTTTAAAAGGATAATTTGTCATAGCTTCTTAAAAAAAAGATTCAACTTTTAGGTTTTTACAAGAAAGTTACTCTGTATTTTTACAAATAGAAAGTTGAAGATGTGATGACATGTTCCATGAAAGTATGAATGAAAAGAATTATTGAGAAGCTATTTTAATTTCAGAATAAGTGGTCATTAGAAAATATACTGTTAAGACTGAAGAAAAATATTACACAGAATAAAGGGTTTACTTTTCTAGAAGACATCAAAAAAGATTTAACAAATGTTTCAGAAAATAAACTAACATTTATAGTAAATGTAAAATTCAGTACCAATTGTGATTGAAAGAACAGACAGTGAAAAAATATGAAAAGATTTAAGTTACCTAAATGGCAGTAAAAACCTACTTGGCTAATTTTCATGTATAAAATGTTCAACTGGAAAACAGTAGGAATGCAGACTCCAATTAACCCAAAAAGATTAGAGGTAAAGAGTGATTGAATTCAATATGGTGACCCAGGTTGAGCCTTGGAACAAAGAAACAAACAAAAGCAAGAGTGGAGTCAGACCTCATATTTAAAAAAAAAAGGAAAACAAACAAGAAAAATATTGGGAAATTGTTGAAGCTCAAATAATGTCTGGAGTCTAATAAATATAAATCCATAGGTATAAATGTGTTAGTAGAATGTGCCATGTTTATGTAAAAGTTAACCTTAGAAGAAACTTGGAGATGGAAGGGAACACACTATGTATTTCTTCTAAAATTGTTCTGGTCATCTATACTTATTACAAATCAAAAGTGTGTAAACTGCAAAAGCACTATGATAAAAATAAAAACCATAAGAACTTATGGAATAGGTTGTTGAAAATGATACTATCACAAACATTATGCAAATTATTTTTTAAAATAATTTTGAAATGTCTAAGACATTGACAAATGTTTATTTGTATCAGGAAAATATTAGAAGTATCTAATACTAAATTCTAGTAATGGAAGTGGCATTTATATAGTTATTTTATTCTCTACAATAGGATGGACTACAGGTATTATTATCATAAGCATTTATTTGGCCAGTAGTGAGACTGATTGTATGATGTTTTTCTCAACTGCATAGCAATATTCTATTAATTCAATTTGACATATCTTATTACATGTGTCTTTTTCAAAACCTTGAACTAGTATGTTCATTATTGATATGACTTCTGTGGAAGTCTGAGGCATTTGAAATACACTATGATTTTTTACTTGTGTGTTCTTTATTATCTTTTAACATGGCAAAACTTAGATTGTTATAACCCTATAAGTTAATAATGTATTTCCTACTTCATAGTCACACACACACACACCAAAAAAACCACACATGCTCAACAATGATACACATATGTGCAAAACCAAAAATAAATGCATATTCAAACACAAAAAGAAGGCACACTTTTTGCATAATATTTTAATTATTGGATTGAATTGAAATTATTGTGTTTATAGTAATTGAGATTGTAGTCTAAAATAATGTTCTTCTATATATATATTTCTGTCTATTCCAATGTCAATAAACAAATGTATTTCAATGCATGTTCTGGTAAAAGTTAACATAAATGCCATTCTTGAAAATTATATTACTTTAATGTACAATGGTATTTATTTATGAACTTTGTGTTGGTTTATTTCTCATTTGTGTTAGCAGCATCCTTTTTGAATATCAGTCATTCACAAATTGAATAAGTAATAAACATTACTATTAAAATTTTATTACATTATTGATTGTATTATCATTGTATTTTCATAAAAGTCAGATTAAAATATTTCTATTTAAAAGTATTCCTTTAAATTTTTTTGCATCCAATTTCACTCTGGTAGTTATTTGCTAATACTCCTGAATGCTAGAGAACATCCAGCAATGTGGAACTGAAATCTGCCCAGGATTCTCAGGATTCATTCACAACAGCAGCTTGCTAGAGGGTGGTCTGAGAGTGCGCAAATACTTTAGAGATGTGGACTTCATCATCAAAGCCCTAGTGAGCCCCAGGGCTGAGCACACAGAGGGCAGCAGGAGCTGCAGAGCCCACTCTGTTAATTAGGGAAGGGAGGAGATGGGGTGTGGGTGATGTCTGCAGGACCCTAGAAAGGGGTGAGGTGGGCAGTGAGTCTGAATGAACATATTCTAAGAACATTTACCTGCCCATACTTGATTGGCTTCGGTGATCATGAAGGAAAGTGAACTGATTCACCAGACACGGATGAGGCAATGTAAACGGACTTGCTGGTTCCTTGAATGGAAATTGAGGAATATGAAAGGTTTGGACAGAAAAAGGGAAGGTGGGGAAACAGCCTGAGGGGTCACAATCAGAGGATGAAAGAGAAAGAAACTCAGCACCATGCATATGCTGAGTTATTGTTAGAAACCCTTTATGATAGTGTGACTGACACAGCACAGAAACGAAAAGCTGTTTGTGGAAATAATTTGAAGTAAGCATACACAATTTCTTCATTTTAAAATTGTACTGAGATATTATTACTAGTATTATTACAACAATATTAAGAATTAATAGTTTAATTGAACTCCTGTTCTAAGTTAAGGTTTTGTAGGTGAGAGAAACCATGGATTCTAAAGAAGAAATAGTAAAAGACCCTGGGAAGACGTTTGCTTCACCAGGTCAGGAATCACAAGACCTAAATAAAGAAACTCACCCTCCCCAGGGACCTGATGAGGAGCTGCCTGCTAAGAGAACCCTGGTTTCCTGAAGGCCCTCTGGTGTTCTCATTGCCCCCTGGTGGTTCTGAGCTCCCCAGGGTGTCCTGAGCGCCCCCTGGTGGTTCTGAGTGCCCCATGTGGTTCCTAAGCGACCCTTGGTGGTTCCTGGGCACCCCCTCACTTCCTGAGCGCCCCCTGGTGGATCTGAGCACCACTTGGTTGTTGCTGAGCACCCTCTGGGGTCCTGAGCAACCCCTGGGGTCCTGAGCAACCCCTGGTGTCCTGAGCGCCCCCTGGTGGTTCTGACTGTCCTCTGACGGTTCTGAGCGCCCTCTGGTGGTTCCTGAACGTCTCCTGGTTAGTCCTGAGTGTCCCATAGTGGTTAATGAGCGCCCCCTGGTGGTTCCGAGCATCTCCTGGTGGTTCCTGAGAACCCCCTTGTGTCGTGAGTGCCCCCCGGTGGTTCTGTGTGGCCCCTGGTGTCCTGAGCTTCCCCCAGCATTCTAAGTGCCTCCTGGTTGTTCTGAGAGCCCCCTGCTGGATTCTGAGCACTCCTGTGTGTCCCCATCGCCCACTGGTGGGTCTGAGCATGCCTACTTTGCAGTCCCCTCCTGTTTCCCTGCAGGGAAGTTTGCGTCTGGACTCACCACACTGGTGTCTGCTGACTGTGTCTCTCACAGTAACACGTGACCTTGTTCTCGGCTCTCAGGTTGGTCATTTTGAGGGAGACTGTGCTGACAAGGGTGTCCCTGAGGATTATGATTCTTCTTTGTATTGATGGAGGGTACCACTAACAAATTCCACTCAAATCACTCACTGTTGCCCCCCAACACCAGCCCCTGGCCTGAAGACTACTGGGCTGAGCTAATGATGGAGTCAATGAAGGTAAATTCAGAGGCTTTGTAAAAAAGTATCTGAGATTCCACCAATGAACTTCATGTAGGACTATTACGAATACAGAGGGAACAGGCTGAGGAGCAGCCACAGCTGTATTTGATCCACAGAAGCCCTACCTCTGAGAGTGATAAAAAGTGAAGCACAGATTAGCACACACTCTATGTTGTAGACACTAAGGAAGGGCACAGACATCAGTTGACGTTCCCTTTATGGACAGGGAGCATGGGAAGGACACATTTACACCTCTTTCTCCTCTTTCTCCCTGGACAAGTGTGCTCTGCTCAGCATGGCTCATCCCTCTGCTTCTAGATTTCAGGGAGGGCAGGATCAAAGAATCACTGGAACTGGATGCTCTGGCTTAATCTTCCTGTCACTCTCTTCTTTTTCTCTAATGTGAACCCTGTTTAGATATTTTTATGGTATCAACTTTCATCAACAAATAAGTCAAAGAAGTACATGAAAAAGAAGTGCTAGGAAGTGTTAGTACATGAACAGGAACCTGTTTGCATGTCTCCTGTTGTAGAGTCAGTTCTGGGGTGAAATACCTGAGGAGAGAGCAATGTTCATAGTAGATGAGAGTGTTATTTTTAGCATTTGAAAAAATATAATTTTCCACTCTGTCCCTAAGCAACTACTGATCTTTTTTGTTACTTTAGATTCATGTTCATTTTTTGTGGTTTGTAGAAATAGATTTATACTTTATGCACTTTTACTTGTTGGCTTATTTTAGTTAGCATACATTTTTGTGAGTACAACAATGTTGTTTTGTGTATCAAAGTTGTATTACTCAGGGTTCTCCAGAAAAATAGAACTAATATGACATATGTATATATATAAATATTTTATTAGAAAGAATTTTCTCACAAAATTGCAAGATGAAAGTTCCATGATAGGCTTTCTAAAAGCACGGAAAGAGACAAACTGGTAGTGGCTCAGTCTAAATCCAAAAGTCTCAAAACTAGAAAAGCCAACAGTGCACCCTTGAGTCTCTGACAAAGGGCCCAGGAGCCCTCAGGAAGCCCCTCCTTCAAGCCCTGGCATCCAACCACCAAAGAGCCTGAAGTCTCATGTCCAAGGGCAGGAGGAAACAAAAAGGCAGCCAGCAAGGAAAACAAAACAAAAACATAAAGCACAGCAACCAATGCTATCTCATCTTCTTCCACCTGCTTTATTCTAGCTGTGCTGGCAGCTGATTGGATGGTGCCCATCCACATTGAGGGTGGGTTTTCTCTTCCAGTCCACTGACTCAAATATCAACCTCCTCTGGCAAAACCCCAAGAGATACACCAAGAAACAATATTTTCCCAGCCATCTAGGCATCCCTTAATCCAATCAAGTTGACACCTAGTATTAACCATCAAAAGCCCACCTCTTGTCAACTTAGCACCCCTACACATCTAGCTGCAATCATGCTTGATCTCCAAATAAAGACAATAATAAGGTCATAATTATGCCTAACATAATACAGCTATCCTTCATACAACTGAAAGTGCACTAATCCTTAACCTAAATGCCACTACATCCGTTTAACAACATTTAAATGCTGATATGAAATCAATAAATCTTATGATACATGATAAAAAGAAAACAAATTCAATGAAAACAATGAATATATTTTTGTTCGTTTGTTTGTTTTTGAGACGGAGTCTCAGTCTGTCATCCAGGCTGGAGTGCAGTGGCATGATCTCGGTTCACTGCAACCTCTGCCTCTTGGGTTAAGGGTTCAAGCTATTCTCCTGTTTCAGCCTCCCAAGAAGCTGGGACTAAAGGCACCTGCCAGCACGCCCAGCTAATTTTTGTATTTTTGGTAGAGACAGGGTTTCATCATACTGGTCAAGCTGGTCTCGAACTCCAGACTTCAGGTGATCCACCCACCTTGGCCTTCCAAAGTGCTGGGATTACAGGTATGAGCCACCACATCCGCCACGGTGAAGATATTTTCTTAGCACAGTTATATACATGCAGAAATATATTCTTAACAAGATAAGGAGGAAATACTCATAACAATTAGAGTCCTCACTTCTGGTAGCATGCTTGTTCCTGGTATTGATAACTACCTTCTTCTAGCACGCATTCTGTATTTTTTTTTTTTTTTTTGCCTTCAATAAGTACCTTGGCTAGTCAGGTTTTTTTTACCTGGTTGAGTGACCCAAACTTTTATTTCTGAAGTACCTGGGCCATTTGTGTTCCTGCCTGAATTAGGTTGTTGTAGTTTCCCATTGACCTTAATCCCATGGTAAAGTAATACTAAGAGATGCCCTAAGAAATCTCCTGTATTCCAGACATACTGTTTCTTACCTCCATTGTGGAGTAGTAGTCTGATTTCAACTTGATAGTCAGGGTCAGTCACCCCAGAAATACAAATTAGAGAATTTTTTTTTCAATTTATGTGAATGAATGTCTTTGAAATTTTGAATGGGATTGCATTGAATCTGTAAATGCTTAGGTTAGGGTGGACATATTAACAATGTATGTTCCAGTAACACAAGAACACAAGATAGCCTTCCATTTATTTGTGTTTTCTTCCATTTTAATCAATATATTATAATTTTTAATGTGCAGATGTTTTGTATCCTTGTTAAATTTATTTTGGTAAAATTTATTTTATGAATTTTAAGCTGTTGTATTTAGATTTATTTTCTTGATTTTAATTTTGAATAATCATTTTTTAGTGTATACGGAAGATACTTATTTTTGTAGGTTGACTTTTGTTTAATTTCAATAGCTTTAGGGGTAAAGATTTTTTTTGTTAGATGGATGAATTACATAGCAATAAATTCTGAGATTTTAGTACACTCGTCACCTGAATAGTGTACACTGTACCTAAAGTGCATTTATTTTCTCTCTAGTGTCCCTCCTATTATTTCCCTTCTAAGTCTCTAAAGTCCCTTATATCACGCTGTATGTCTGTGCAAGTTCATAGCCCAGCTCCCACTTATAAGTGAGAACATAGAGTTTTTACTTTTCCACTCTGCTGTAACTTCACTTATAATAGTTGCCTCAAGCTTCATCAAAGTTGTTGCAAAAGACATTATGTCATTCCCTTTAATGGTTTATTAGTATTCCATGGTGTAAGTATGTCACATTTTCTTTTCTTTTTCTTTTTTTTGAGACAGTGTCTTCCTCTGTCACCCAGGCTGGAGTGCAGTGGCCTGATCTCGGCTCACTGCAGCCTCTGCCTCCCAGGTTCAAGCAATTATCCTGGCTCAGCCTCCTTAGTAGCCGGGACTACGGGCGTGCGCCACCATGCCCTGCTAACTTTTTGTATTTTCAGCAGAGATGGAGTTTCACCATGTTGGCCAGGATTGTCTCGATCTCCTGACCTTGTGATCCGCCCTCCTCAGCCTCCCAAAGTGCTGGGATTACAGGCGATGTCACATTTTCTTTATGAACTCATTAGTCAATAGGCACTTAAATTGGTTCAACATCTTTTCAATGTTAAATTCTGCTGCTATAAACATACATGTACACATCTTTTTCATATAATGACTTTATTTCCTTTGAAATAAAGAGTACTGAGATTGCTGGATCAAACAGTAGATCTGGCCGGGCACAGTGGTTCACACCTGTGATTTCCGCACTTTAGGGGGCCGAGGGGGAAGGATCACCTGAGGTCAGGAGTTATAGACCAGCTTGGCCAACATGGTGAAACCCCATCGCTACAAAAATACAAAAAAAAAAAAAAAAAAATAGCCAGGCATGATGGTGGGTGCCTGTAATCCCAATTACTTGGGAGGCTGAGGCGGGTGAATCTCTTGAACCTGGGAGGCGGAGGTGGCAGTGAGCCGAGATTGCGCCACTGCACTCCAGCCCGTGTGACTGAGCGAGACTCCATCTTAAAAAAGAAAAAACAAAACAAAACAGTAGATCTACTTTTTTGCTTTTCAGGAAATCTCAACAGTGTTTTCCACAGTGGTTATACTAAATTACATTTTCACCAGCGGTGTATAAGCATTCCCTTTTGTTTTTTGACTTTTTATAGTGGCCATTCTTGCAGGATTAGGTGTTATTAGATTGTGGTTTTAATTTGTATTTTCCTGATCATTAGTGATGCTACACAGTTTTTTATATGTTTGTTGGCCATTTGTATATCTTCTTCTGAGAACTATCTATTTATGTCCCTTGTCCTCTTTTGAATGGGATTATTTGTTTTTTTCTTGGCGACTTGTTTTAATATTTTGTAGATTCTGGATACTAATCTTCTGTCAGATGTGAAGTTTGCACATAATTTCTCCCGTTCTGTGAGTTGTCTTTTTACTCTGTTGACTATTATTTGTGCTGTGCAGAAACACTTTCGTTTAAATAGGTTCCATAAATTTATTTTTGTTTTTGTTGCGTTTGCTTTTGGGGTCTTATTTATAAGTTCTTTACCTACCCTGATGTGTAAAAGTGATTTCTAATATTGTTTTCTAGAACTTTTAGAGTTTCATGTCTTATATTTAAGAATTTGATTCATCTTGAGTTGGTCTTTTATATGGTGACAGATAGAAATCCAGTTTTATTCTTTTCCATGTGGCTTGCTAGTTTTCCCTGTACCATTTATTAAATGCAGTGTATATTTTCCAATTCATATTTTGGTATGTTTTGCAAAACAACAGTTGGCTTTACATATGTGGCTTTATTTCTGGGTTCTCTATTTTGTTCCAGTGGTCTATAAGCCTACATTTATATCAGTACCATGTTGTTTTGGTAACTGCAGCCTTGTGGTATAATTTGAAGTTCAGTAATGTGATGGCTCCAATTTTTTATCTTATTAGGATTTCTTTGGCTATTTGGGCTTTTTTTCTGGTTTTATATAAATTTTAGCATTATTGTTTTTTAATTCTGTAGAAAGTAATGTGGGTATTTTCCTAAGAATTGCTTTGAATCTGTAGATTGCTTTGGGCAGTATGGTCATTTTCACAATACTAATTCTTCCAATCCATGATCAGGGGATGCATTTCCATTTGTTTGTGTCATCTATGATTTCTTTCAGCAGTGTTTTGTAGTTCTCCTTGTAGAGATCTTTTACCCTTTTAGTTAAGTATATTGCTAAATATTCTATGTTTTTACAGCTTCTGTAAACTGGATGGAGTTCTTGGTTGAATTCTCAGCTTTGTTGTTGTTAATGTACAGTGGTGCTACTAATTTGTGTACATTTATTTTGTAACCTGAGAATTAGCTGAATTCATTTACTAAAACTAACACTATTTAGGAGGAGTCTAGGATTTTCTAAGGATATAATCACTTGATCTGTAAACAGTGATAGTTTGACTTTCTCTTTTTTAATTTGGATACTTTTTTTTCTCCTGACTAATTGCTCTGGCTAGAACTTCCAGAACTATGTTGAATAAAATTGGTGAACGTGGGCATCCTTGTATTGTTTGTGTTCTCAGGGGAAATGCTTTTAACTTTTTTGCATTCAGTATGACGTTGGCTGTGGGTTTTTCATATGTAACTTTTATTAGTTTGAGTCAGGTTTCTTCTATGCCTCGTTTATTTAGAGGTTTTTATCATGAAAAATGCTGAATTTTGTTCAATGCTTTTTCTACATCTATTGAGACAATCATAAGGTTTTTGTTTGCAATTCTGTTTATGTGATGTACTACATTTATTGACTTGTGTATGTTCAAATAATTGTGCATTTCTGAGATGAAACCCGCTTGATCATGAGGAATTGTATTTTTGATGTGCTGTTGAACTCAGATAGCTATTATTTTTTGTGTATTTTTGCATCTATATTTATCAGGGAAATTCATCTGTAGAGAGAGAGAGAGTGTGTGTGTGTGTGTGTATGTGTGTTTTCCTGGTTTTGGTATCTTGGTTATACTAGCTTCATGGAATAATTTAGGGAGGATTCTTTTTTTCTAAATTAAAAAAATTGTTTCAGCAAAATTGGTAGCAATTCTTCTGTAAATTTTTGATAACATTCAACTGTGAATTCACCTGGCCCTATTTGTTGTTGTTTTTATTGTTGGCAATTCTCGAATTACTGATACAATCTCACTCTTTGTTATTTATATATTCAAAGTAACTATTTCTTATTGATTTAATCTATGAGACTTGTAGATTTCTAGAAATTTGACCATTTCCTCTAAGTCTTCTACATTGTGTACATGAACATGTACTTGGTGGTTCTAAATTATTTTTTATATTAGTTATGTAGATTGTAATGTCCGTTTCACTTCTAATTGAGCTTATTTGTATCTTTGCTCTTCTTTTCTTGGTTAATCTAGCTGATGATCCATGAATTTGTTTATTTTTTCAAATAACCAGCTTTTATTTCATTGAATTTTTTTGTATTTTTTTGTTTGAATTTCATTTAGTTCTGCTCTCATCTTTGTTCTTTCTTTTCTTCTTCTGCCTCCAGGTTTGGTTTGCTCTTGTTTCTCCACTTTCTTGAGTTGTGACATGCTGTTTCAGACTTTTTGATGTAGGCAGTTGGGACTATAAACTTTCCTCTTATCACTGTTTTTGCTTTATTTTTGAAGTTTCAATAACTTGTCTCATTATTATCATTTAATTAAGATAATTTTTAAATTTTCTTCTTGATGTCATTGTTAACCTAGATATTATTCAGAAGCAGATTTCTTCATTTCTATGTATTTGTTCAGTTTTGAAAGTTCTTTAGAAAGTTGATTTTTAGTTTTATTCTGCTATGGTCTAAGAAGATACTTGATATGATTTCATTGTTTTAAATTTTATTAAGACTTGTTTTGTGGCCTATTACATGCTCTACCTTGGAGAATGTTGCGTGTGCTGATTAGAAGAATGTATATTCTGCAGATCTTGGATAGAGTGTTCTGTAAATATCTGCTGCATCCATTTCTTCCAGTGAGTCATTTAAGGACATTGTTTATCTCTTGACTTTCTGTCCCGAAGATCTCTCTATTGCTGTCATTATTGTATAGAAGTCTCCCACTATGATTGATTTGCTATCTAACTCAGTTTTTGAGGTCTAGTAGTACTTATTTCATGAATCTAGTTCCGCCGGTGTTTGGTGCATATAAATGTATAATTGTAATTTTTTGTTGAATTGATCCTTTTATCATTGTATAGTGATCATCTATGTCTTTTTTTTTATTGTTGTTGCTTTGAAGTCCATTTTGTCTGATATCAGAATAGTTATTCCTGCTCAGTCTTGGTTTCTATTTTTGTTGAAATCCTTTTGCCACCATTTTACCTTGAGTTTACATAAATCTTTGCGTGTTAGGTAAGTCTCTTAAAGACATCAGGTATTTCCATTGTGACTTTTTAAATCTAGTACGCAGTTGCATATTTTTTTTGTGGAGCATTTAGGCCATTTACATTCAATGTGAATATTTAGATATGAGTTACTATTTTCTTTGTCATGTTAATTGTTACCTAGTTTTTGTTTTCTTTTATATTGTGTCATTGTTTAATGGGCCCTGTGAGTTTTTAATTTTTAAGAGGTTCCATTTTTTGTGCGTATTGGGCTTTTGTTTCAAGGTTTAGGACTCCTTTTAGCATTTCTTGTAGTGCTGGTTTGCTAGTGACGAATTTGCTCAGCATTTTTTTTTCTGAAAATGACTATTTCTTTTTTTATTTATAAAACTGTTTGACAGGATAAAAAAAAATTCTTGGTTGAAAGTTGTTCTGTTTAAGGAGTTTGAAGATAGAACCTTAATCTGTCTGGCTTGTGAAGTTTCTGCTGAGAAGTCTGCCATTAGTCTGATGGATTTCTTTGTTTTGTTTTGTCTTGTTTTACTGCTCTTAGATTATTTCCTTCATGTAGACTTTAGGTAGCCTAATGACTGTATGGTTGGTGAAGGTATTTTTGCAATGAGTTTTCCAGGAGTTCCTTGAACTTCTTGGATTTGGACATCTAGGTCTTTAGTCAGCCCAGGGGAGTAGTTCTCAATTATTCCATCAAAGAAGTTTTCCAAACTTATTATTATTTTTTTCTTCTTCAGCAACATCAATTATTCTTAGGTTTATTTGTTTTACATAATCCCATATTTCCTGGAGACTTTGCTCACTTCTTTTGGCTCTTTTTATATTTATTTTTATCTGATTGGGTTATTTCAAAAATAGTCTAGTCTTTCTACTTTTTTCTTCTTTTTTTCTTCTACTGTTTCCTTTTTCTTTTTCTCCTAATATTTTACTTTTTTTCTAGTCTATTTTTAAAACTTTTCATGGCATTTTGTAGTTCCCTTACTAATTCTCTGCATTTTTTTTTTTATTTTCAGAAGTTCTGATTGGTTTCTCTTTAGGATATCTATCTCTCTATAAAAATTTATATTTATATTCTGAACTGCTTATATAAATTTATTTATGATGATTTTCACCTTTTTTGATATCTTCTTGAGTAGCTTATTAATCAACATTCTGATTTTCCTTTCTGGTATTTTAAAGACTTCATTTTGGTTAAGGTTTATTGCTGGAGAGGTAGTGTGACCTTTTTGCGCTGTTATACCACCCTGTTTTCTCATATTTCCCAAGTTATTTTTCTCATTTCTTCTTGTTTTGGTAGATTTTCTAGTTTGATTTGACTGTTTGTTTGTTTTTAAATGTATTTTTCCCTTAAGAATGAGATTTTTTATGCTTATAATTAATTACAGCCTGATTTGATTTTTGGTCCTTAGGGGAATGAAGACTCTGTAGGAGCTCCCTGGTTATACAGAGTCTTTGCGTGATCGCTTTCCTATGTGGTGGTTGCAGTAGAAATCAACTCAGTGTGTGAGCAAGTTCATTGTCTTCTATGGGGTTATAATGGTTGAGGTCTCTTAAATCTTATCTCATTCATCTGTGGCATGCCCGTGTTTATTTGCTTTTCCCCAGTGATTTGTTTACTTGTTTGTTGGTTCAGGCTTCAGACCAATGGGGGACTTGTCCCTGGGTAGAAAGCAGTTGTGGCTAAAACAGGTGGGTAAATTAAGTCCCAGCCTTGACAGGGGTGGCTGGAGGAGCTTTTAGTGAGTCACACTGAGGTCTTATCACGGGGAAGGGTTGGAGCAACCTCAGCTCTCTTGCCAGATCAGTAGGAAATCTATCCACTTTTCAGACAGTATTCCAGCTATTCAGATAAGACAGGCATGTCTTTTCATCTGTACAAATGTTGATGTGCCGAATAGAGGGGAATTGTGACTCTGTGTCTCTTGCAAGCCAGAACGTGGAGAGTGCGCCTTCTGAGGAATGCAGTCACCATGATGTATTCCAGAAAGGCTGTCTATAAGCTGGTGTTGGCAAATATCTGTAAGTGATCCGGTGATGTGAACTGTCCTCACATTTTTCAACAGTGAGCAGCAGAACCGGGTCTGATGGGAGTGGCAGGGGAGTGAAGGAGACTCTGTGAAATTCCTTGGATATTGATGGCCTTCTTATGCTGGCTTTCTTGAATGCTGGTTACAGTAGTGATGAACTGGTCACATGGACAGACTCGGGACCCCCGTTCATCCAGAGTGGTGCAGACCATGGTGACAGCTGAGATCGCACAGTCATTTTCTCCTTCTGGGATGCAGTGTTACTCTACCAGGAGATACTGTAATGCATGGTTGGTTGGCCTCCAGCTAAGAGGTGGTGTTTGTGAAAGAGCACCAGCTGCATTATTAGCAGTGGGATTTTTGCAAGCCTTATGTTGCCCAGGAATGGGGGCTACTATGGATTCTCAGGCAGTGGGTGTGGCTATGTAGCTCCCAAAAGATGCTGTCCTTTGTGTTAAATTGCCAGGGCAGGTGGCTGCACAAAGCAAGGTGAGGGCTAGGTCAGGTGGGTTTCTGCTCTGAGTCTCTGTGTGCAGGGCAAGCAGCAGCCCCTGTGGGTGTGGGGGACAGGGGTGGTTCTCAGGCCACTGGGTTGATGTTCCAGAGGTCAGCACATCTGCTTCTGCTGCATAGAAGTTTGTGCAGGGAGTGGTGAGAGCCAGGTGACGGTAAGCCCCATACAGTTCCCACACACTTGGTGAGGCAGAGCCACTCCTGTGGTGTTCCATTGGCAGCAGTGAGATGAGTTCCAGTCAGCCTGTGATCAATATCTGCAAATGCCAGGAGTTATAAGCTGTCCCCATAGAGACTGCAGCCATGGGTTTCATGCCATGCTCCTTCCTGTCTGCTGCAAAGCCAGGCACCAGCTCCTGCACCCATGGCTCCTGAACTTGCAGCCCACTTTTCACTCTTCACTTGTCAGACTCTGGCCAAGGGAGTTCGTCCCCTCTAGGTTATATCACACACCCCTGTTGAGAGCTTCTTTCAACCTGTGACCCCTGCCTGAAATTTTTGGCAGTTCTTCCCAGGGTCCTCTGTGAAGAACCTTAAGAAATGGCAGCTCTCAGACCGCACTGAGATCTGAGAGTTTATGCAAGGGTCTTCCTGCTGTTCCTACTTTTATATTCCACAACCCTGCACAGTGGGTCCTTGCACTGGGTGAGGTTGGGGCCTTCTCCTTTGGCCTGGACTTTCAGGATCCCAGGTGTGGATGTGTATCCCAGAGGCAAACTCTTCCCTCAAACTCTGGGGACTCGCAGCCCTTCACCTGACTCACAGTGTAGGCTGCAGCTTCCTGCTTTTTTCGGAAAGTTTGTAGATTATTTCAGTGTTTTTGTTCAGTTCCTGCATTGCTTCTTGAAAATAAATCCACAATGTTCATCTCTCCATATCAGTTTGTCCTTCCAAGAGGAAGAGGTATACTAGCAATGCCTCTAACCTGCCATCTTGAAATGTAAGTTTGATTTTGTATTCTGCAACTTTATTGAATCTCTTCATTACATCCAGCCTTTTTTGGTGGAGTCTTTAGGGCTTTGCATAAAGAAGAGCATATAATATGTAAAACATATATTTAAAATTTATTCATTACTATATGGATGACTTCTATTTTTTTCTTCTGGCCTATTTTGTCTAGACCACCCAGTGCTGTGTTTAATAATATTGGTGATAGTGAGCATCTTGTCTAGTTTCTAGTCTTAGAGGAAAATAAAATTTTCATCATTGAGGATAATGTTAGATGTGCACTTCTGATATGTGGTGTTTATTATGTTGAGCTGTATATCTTTTATGCATAATATGTTCAGATTTTTTATAATGAGAGTGTGGTGGATTTTGTCAGAGGCTCTTTCTGCATCTATTGACATGGACATATGGTGCATATGGTTTTAGTCCTTCAATATTTTCATTTGATATATCACATTTATTTCTGCAGGTTGAAACTTCATTGCATCCTAGAGATAAACCACACCTGACCATAGTGAATTATACTGTCAATGTGCTGTTGAATTTTGTTTGTCATCACTCTTGAGAGTTTTTGAAACTATGATAATCAGGGATATTAGCCTGTAGTTTCATTTACTTGTAGTGTCTTTCCCTTGCTTTGGAAATAGGGCCTTCCAAAATAAGTTTGAATGTATTTCTTCCTCTTTATTTTGTTGGAAATTTGAGTAGTGATTCTAGTTATTTTGTTTTAATTTTTGATAAAATTCAGTAGTGGAGCCATGAAATTTTTGACTTTTCTTTGATTTGAGATGTTTGAAAAATCACTGACTCAATCTCTTTACTCATTGGTCTGTTCAGATTTTTTTGTTGTTGTTGTTGAGATGGAGTCTCACTCTGTTTCCCAGTCTGGAGTGCAGTGGCTCAATTTCAGCTTACTGCAACCTCTGCCTCTCAGGTTCAAGCCATTCTCCTGCCTCAGCATCCCGAGTGGCTGGGACTACAGGTGAACACAACCACACCCAGCTAATTTTTATATTTTTAGTAGAGACTTGGTGTCACCATGTCGGCCAGGCTGATCTTGAACTCCTGACCACAGATTCACATAGAACTCCTGATCTACCTGCTTCAGCCTCCAAAACTGCTGGGATTACAGGCATGACCCACCACAACCAGCCCAGATTTTTTATTTCTTAATGGTTCAGTTTTGATAGGTTGTATGTTTTTTAAAATTTATTTATTTTAATTTATCTAATTTTTATGAGAGAAGTATTTATTATACCCAAGAACTTATGAATTGGCACAAAGATGAATTATTCAGTACATATTATTGAAAGGAAAACAACAACAAAAACAACAGAACCTAGTAATAGTTCACAAAGGGATCAAATGATTTTGAAAAATTAAGTAGAAAATAATAGATGTAGGGAGCAAGAGAAGATAGGAGGGAGGAAAGCATGCCAGCAATGATTAACTGTGTAGACTTTTCACTAATTAAAAGACTGTCATGCTTAAGAGGTGCATATTAGACAGCTTTTTTATTTTAACCATGTAATATACACCATGAACAACCTTGTAGAACAAGAGCCCCCTCAGAGAATCCACCTCCCAGGAGCAGGTGCCCCATCTAGTTGCCTTAGGGACTGGGAACCCTCCCACGTTGTTCTCTGGTTCTCACTCCTCAGGACACAGCCAGTGTTTCCTCCCTGGATGAATAGAGAGGCCCCTGGGGAGTGTGTCTCTGGCAGCTTCCTCTGCACCTGTGCTGTGGAGGGTTTTAGACGGGCTCAGTGCTGGTTTCTCTCACTGTGTGTCTCGCACAGTAATACATGGCGGTGTCCGAGGCCTTCAGGCTGCTCCACTGCAGGTAGGCAGTGCTGATGGACTTGTCAGCTGAGATGGTGACGTGGCCTTGGAAGGACGGGCTGTAGTTGGTATAAGAGTCACTAGGATCAATCCTCCCCATCCACTCCAGGCCTTTCCCGGGCATCTGGCGCACCCAGCTGATCCAGTAGCTGGTAAAGCTGTATCCAGAACCCTTACAGGAGATCCTCAGAGACTCCCCGGGCTTTTTCACCTCTGCTCCGGACTGCACCAGCTGCACTTCGGCACAGACTCCTGTATGGAAGACACAAAATTTGAATCAGGAGTTGCTTTCCACCCGTTCTCCTCTGTGACCTCAAGCCCTCGGCAGGACTGACCTTGGAGAACAGCCAGGAGGAGGGCGAGGATGGCGGTTGACCCCATCCTGGAGGAGGACAGAAAAGGAAGCCCTGAGATCCCAGCTGGGTGGTGAAGGAGACTCACTGTGGAGGGGAGCCCTGGGTTTAAGTGGAGAGGCCCCCACTTGCATTTGCATAGTTGCCGCCCTGACCTGAAGGGAAGAGTCTACAGGGTTTATAACCCAGAACCTCAGTTGCAGAGAAAAGGCTGAACTGAGCCTCCTGGGAGGGGCAGAATAGGTCTCAATAATTCCTTACAACCTCTTCTTGCCCCTCCCCACTCTTGTCTGTGGTCCTGCAAGACCCAAACCAGGGCATCCCTCCTTCCACCCTTCTCTGTGACCCTGTGAAAGTTGACAAATCTAGATAAAATCATGTCTGTTAAAAAAATGAGAAATAGAGCCAGGAAAGGCCGTGAACAGAAAATTCAAATGCACTTATGCCTGATAACAAGAACTACCACAAAAAACTACTCTTTATTCCATGGCAATTTCCCATGAATGTGACTATGGCCTGGGCACCCAGAAAGGGCAGGACCACCCCAGGCCTTTAACAACCCTCAATTTGATTAACCTGCCAGACCTTCACCCATGCAAAATCAAGGACAAATGTTTCCTGGCCATTTCATCTTCTAGATTTTACACTCTGCCAATTCAACCTAAATAGGAAATATTTGTTTAGGTCTCTGTATTGCTGATGGACCTGAAGGGATCCCCATTGCTGCACCCAACTCCTGGTAGTGCTGTTTTAATTCCACCCCAGCACAATCTGTTTAGTTCTTTTATTCTTATTTTTTTTATTTTATGATATCCACATTGCTCGGAGGGGGCTTTTTACTGTCCCCTGTATTTGCCCCATTTTCCTGTGAACCACTCTCATTTCCTTAACATCTAAAAGATCCAAATGAAAAGCCAAGGCAACAGAAACTACACAGTTTCTAAAATATTTGCCAGATTACCCACAGGAATTGTATACCTGGGGTGCAGAAGCAAAATGACTTCTCTTTATCACAGCACAGGCTATGACCTGGGTAAGGTGCATGCTAAGCAATGACCATTACCATCAACATAAACACACAACACAGGCTATGACCTAGGTAATTTGCATGCTATGCAATGACTGTCAGCATCAACATAAACACACAGCACAGGCTATGACCTGGGTAAGGTGCATGCTAAGCAGTGACTGTCAGCATCAACATAAACACACAGCAGCAGGGCTTCCGTGTGCAGCATTAGCCTCCCTATCTGGAGAGCCCACTTTGCATTTCAAAGAGAGGAAGGGCAGTCTCATTCTCAGGGTAGAGAAATTTTACACAATCTGGAATCCAGTGCACCAGGAAAGCTGACCCATCAGGAACATCTTATTTGAGGTTGCAATCAGCTAGAGCCATCTGTGATGTGTCTGTTGTGAGCTGTGGGTCCAGCATCCTCCCAAACATACTCCTCCTTTCTGCAGCACATGAAGCCAAAGACAAGCTGCTACATCAGTCACTCTCATAGTCCATTGGCTAATATTGTTCACAATCCGATGATATCAGTTAATGATATCAATCATATCACAGAATGATGCCACTTTCCACACTGTCCTCCTTGTTCTAGTTGTCTAGTGGATTCTCTGCCCCAGCCCAGCCCCTGGGCTACCTTCTGTGTGGCTGTTGTGTATTGTGTGTTGTTTCTGGACAACTGTCCCCTTTGGTGGTGAATGGGAGTCTAGTAGCCTCAGCTCATAGGGCACAGTGCAAGGCTGGATGTGCATCTTTTTACTATTATTTTAGCTATCACAGATATGACTTGAATATTTGGGTTGTTCCTCATTATTTTTACTTTTTGTTATTCAGGGAACAACTCCTAGGGAGCTGTGTCTGCCATTTCCAAATTCCATTGATTACTTTCACTTCCTCCTCTTTACTGGAGCACACACGCCATCTCCTGCCATGTGATTCTGCAGACATCCAGGTATTGAATGTCTTTTATCCCACACTTTCTCATCCTTTGATACTATAAACAATGCTCTAGCCATGTGTCAGTAGTCAGGGTCTTTCTAGCAATTTCCACCTCTGATGTAATTGTGTTGAGCATCCCAAGACCATCCTCAGGCCACATAATAGAAGTAAAGGACTCAAGACGAGCTGTTATTCTCATGGGTGCAGCTTTATTATTGCAAATGAATATGAATTAAAATGAACAAAGGCAGCAAGGGGAAGGCCCTGAGAATCCAGGAACAAGCTCTCAGATGTTCTTTCCCTGGGGAGTCTCTTGTCCCCAGTTCTCCCAGCAGTGATGCATGACAACATGTGTGAAGCATTGTCCACCAGGGAAGCTCACCTGAGTGCTGGTGCCCAGTGCTGTTTATTGGGGCCCATCACAGATGTGTGTGGCACCTGTACAACTGACCTCCAGTGCTCAGACGCCGGCCTCTTGAGCAATAATAGGCATTCACCATAAGTCATTATGAAAACACCTAGTATAGTGTGCACCCAGGCTACACACAGAGAGACACAGACAAACACAAACAAAAATACATTTTAGCTAATAATAATAGTAATAGAGATAAGAGGAATGTTTTGGAAGTGAGTGCTATGGGTATGACCTTGATTGTGGTGACAGCTTTGCAGATGTATACTTCAAACTCAATGAATTAAGTATGTTAAATAATCTATACTTTTACATATATAAACCTTACTTTAATAAAGTGGTTTAAAAATACTACCGGGAGGTCTATGCCCAAAAAACAGATATCATCTCCCAGGAGCTGAATATGGACCTGGCTTGAGAAAGCACTTTTTCAGTAATGTTCAGGGTTTCCACAACCCAAGCCTGCTCGGTAAACCCCATCCTGTACACAAGTCCAGGTGAGATGGAAACAGGCTGTTGGAATCAAAGGCAAGGCTCAGAAGAAAAGAGAGAGGAAGTGGTGGACAAGGTATGACCCCATGTAGGGTCAGTGTGGATGGGAGGCACCACTGAGAGCCTGTGGATGGAGAAGGATGTGGACCAGGGACAGCAGGAAAACAAGGCAAGGGGGGTTCTTCCTGAGCCAAACCAGATGTTTCACGGAGGCTGTGATCAGGGGCCATGCACAGGCACAGGTGGGTGCCATGGAGTAGGGGAGCCACTGGGGTATAGACCCAGGACAGAGCATAAGAAATTCAGACATTCCCAAGGCAGCAGGCACAGAAATAATGACTGACAAGCCTCTATCTTGGGCTCCCATCCATATATCAAAGATAAAGTTAACTGATTTTTCCACCTGGGAAGAAATGACTGAATCTCTGAGTGAGGAAGGACATGAGTGGTGCAGCCAGGGGAAGCAATGCTGGACCTGCCAGCAACCCTCCTCCCCTCACACTGCCCTGCATGTCCTCCCATCCCCAAAGCATGGAGGTTCTCATCCTTGTCCAGTGGTGGGAGCCACAGTCAGTTCCTAGAACCCTCAGGGGGCTTCCTGACATGATCAGCTGAGTCTAACAAAAACATGGCATTTACGATCAAATTCTCTATCTACATGTCACCAATGTGTTTATGAGGCTTTAGAGTAAATGAAATAAGTAAGTGAAAAATGGACTTTACAAGCAATAGAAAAATCAACAAATCAAAGAGATTTTTTCTAAAAAAATAGACAAATTCTTAGCTCAATTAACTAAGAGAAAAAGAGAGAATCCTTTAATAGCTAAAATCAGAAATAATTCAGAGAGCATAAGAATTGATAAAACTGAAGTTTAGAAGCAATTAGAGATGATTGCTCTGACATTGTTCAAAGTTGTCTCAATCCTTCAGGTAGTAATGGCATTTCTTGTCTCAGAACCCAAGAAGAGTCTTGAAACACACAGTTATTGGTACTCACAGATTCTGGACAAAATGTTGACATCCCAAAATACACCAGTATAGAAAAAAAATAAGAATCTGCTTCTATCCAGTTTGTAAGTGTTCAAGACCCATTCAGGAGATTCTGACATTACATTTATGCAAATATATGGTAACAATTTTGTCTCTCCAAACTTATACTCCAATAATAATAAGTAATAAGTGACAATGATTAGCATTGTATTATTATTTTTCTCTATAATGATGGTAATTTTTGAGGCGTGATAACCTAAGTGTCCTAATTCCGAACCCACAATTAGAACTGAGCAGCAATCACTGGCAGCAGAAGTCCCCCACATGGAGACACACCTGACTCAATGAAGCTGCACTTAGGGGTCTCTGCAAGCTCCAAGGTGTGGAGAAGCAGCTCCCACCTCAGACAAAGTTGGATGAATCTCTGCTCTTCCTCTGAGGAAGGTGAGGCTTAGTGTGTGGAAAGGACCAAATTTCTACTCAAGACATATGCTCCTAAATGAAAACCAAAGAATGTGATAACCATGTGATAACCATCAATGATAGACTGGATAAAGAAAATGTGGCATATATACACCATGGAATTCTATGCAGCCACAAAAAAGAATGATGTCATGTCCTTTGCAGGGACATGGATGAAGCTGGAAATCATCATCCTCAACAAACTAACACAGGAACAGAAAACCAAACACCGCATGTTTTCACTCAAAAGTGGGAGTTGAACAATGAGAACACATGGACACAGGGAGGGGAACGTCACACACTAGGATGCATCAGGGGTGGGAGGAAGGGGGAGGGAGAGCATTAGGACAAATACCTAATGCCTGAGGCGCTTCAAACATAGATGACTGGTTGATATGTGCAGCAAACCGCCACGGCACATGTATACTTATGTAACAAACCTGCACGTTCAGCACATGTATCCCAGAACTTAAAGTAAAATTTAAAATATAAATAAATAATAATCAAAAATAAAAAAATAAAGAAATACATACTTCATATTTTCTCAATAAAAATGAGACAACATAGGAAAACCTACACTAATATATTTGTAACAGCTTTGCCTATAATATTCATAAAATGGAAACAAATTTAAAGTACATCGACAAGAAAATAAATCAAAATATTCTCATTTATTTACTTAATGGACTGACTCAGATATAAAATCTTTCTCCTTCCTCTCCCTGTCTCCATATATACATGAAAACTTTGAGGTTTCATATCAGAGTCAGTCCATGAATTAAATAAATGACAATATGTTGATCTAATTTTACACATTAAATAGCATGAATTAATCTCAAAAATAGCAAAGCTCCTTTCCAAAAAAAGGTCTATAATGTTTGATTCCATTTATATAAAGTTCAAAACAGAAAAAAATGGATCTGTAGTGTGAGAAATCAAAACATTTCCCCATGCAGGAGCTGACCTCAGGCACAGGGAAAGACCCGCGATGTGGGAATGGACTTGCTCTTCAGCTACCTTAGGTGCTGGGGACAACAAGGGTATTCACATTTGCCAGAAACTCTCTAGTGATACATTCCAGATCTATGCATATTTTCTTATATGTAAATTTTATCTCATAAAAACAAAAAAAGTGTAGAATAGTTTAAAATTCAGTAATAATAAAATTAATATTAAAACCCTATCCAAAATATGAACATTATTATATGAATTAATACAATGCATTCAAGTATATGTACTAAAATTAAATCCCAGAAATCAAAAAGACAAGGGTAACGTCTTAAACTTAATAATTAATAAGCATGCATCTCATAGAGAAGAAAAAAAGTCAAGATATGAGGAACATCTATTCCTTTTTTCCAATCAAATGTAATTTAATTATTTATACAGCATTTTAACCTGTCATTAGCATAAATTACTAATATTTTGTGTGATATTACAACTGACAACAACTTTTAAAGAAGAAAAGATGCTTGAGAGCACGTGAACTAAATTGAATGTATTCTCAAAGTTGGTCCAACTATTACACGTCAAAGTTCTAATAATACCCTGGTTTGAGTGGGACTTTGAAAAAATTAATTTTAAGAGATAAATTTGAAAAATAAACTGATAATCTATAATAAAGAGAAATCAGCATTCCATATCAGAAAAAAATGAAAATTTGCAATACATATAAAGTCCTGAGAAGAAACCTTGAAGCACAGAAAGGGTCTCATGCACAGTAGGTTGTAATACGTCTATTGGTAAAATTATCACCTTTATGTTGTTTTGAAAAATTAAAGCTAAGCATAATGAAATTAATGTGTTTGTGCTCATCTGGTATAACAACATGTTGAGAAAATGGAAGAGCCCTGTAAGCCTGAGGAGGTGGCTTAATCCAAGGAGAGGCATCAGATTTAAAAATATATAATTAAAATTTCATTGAAAATTGAGAAATTTTGGTTGTATATATTTATGGGGCACAAAGGTATGTTATGGTTTGTGAATGCAATACGGAATAATTGAATCGAGTTAATTGACATATATATTACCTCAAATCATCAAATCCTTATCTTTTTTTGTGACAAGAACATTTGTAATTTTTTCTTGACTATTTTAAAATGACGAATACACTATGTTAAGGCTTAGAAATAGACATCCATTTATGCAAACTATAGAGAATGATCGAAATCAATTATAGATTACTCTAATTTATATTTAGCTCATCATTAAGTTTAATTCTTTAGAAAATATTTTAGAATTATTTTATTATAATGTTAAATATAAATGGCTACACATGTATGTATAGGCTTGTGTATTTACACATATGTCTGCAGATGTAAATTAATGTCCCCATAGGTATGTAGTTGCTGGTATGGGCAGACATTAATAAAACTAGGCCAGGTGTGGTGGCTCATGCCTGTAATCCCAGCACTTTGGGAGGCCGAGGTGTGCAGATCACGAGGTCAGGAAATCGAGACCACACTGGCCCACATGGTGAAACCCTGTCGATACTAAAAATACAAAAATTAGCCAGGCATGGTGGCGTGCACCTGTAATCCCAGTTTCTCGGGAGGCTGAGGCAGGAGAACTGCTTGAACCTGGGAGGTGGAAGAGGTTGCAGTGAGCCGAGATCGTGCTGCTGCACTCTCCAGGCTGGCAACAGAGCAAGACTCCGTCTCAAAGAATATTTATAATAGGAGCATGACTATATTGCCAAATATAAAATAAAATATCATAATGGCAACAATCAATTTTACCTGTCACCTTGACTAGACCACAGTCTCATCTACTCATTCACACACTAGCTTAGGTGTTGCTCCCATGGCATAACACAGGTGTTAGTGGAGCCTGCCATTATTTTTCCTAAGTCAGGAAGAGTGTTCTAGATAATCTAGGTGGGACTGATTCAAAGAGAGCATAACAGAAGACGATGGGACTCCATGGTGGACGGCAGATGCAGATCTTCCCAGGAATTCCAGCTGTCTTTCCTGATGACGAGTAGTATTGACCTTAGACTGCCTAGGCAGATTCTACAATTATCGTTACCCAGAGCTCACAGCACAATGGAGTGCCCATCCCCAGCTCTTCTCAAAGTCACAGGTGAGAGTCCAAACTCTGAGACAGTGTGAGAAGCACAAGATCAGCTCTACATCAATATCCTATTGGAGAAAACTAGTATTATTCCCTTCATGGCTAATGTCCACTTCATTTTCCAAATGCCTCCATGCACAGAAGACAAGAGTGTCCGGACAATGGTGAGTGAGAAAGTCCCCGTAGCCTACCCAGGTCCTGCAGACCTGAGCCCTGGGATTTTGACTACAGAAAACACATCGTCTGTTTTCAGGGAAGAGAAGAAGAAAGCGAACTGTGAGAATCAAACCTACAGAGAAGGAAATGGATTAGCAGAAAGAGGGTCAACTGAATCAGTCTGAGTTTACAAGACGAGGGGGGATAGCTGTGAAAACCATCAGGTTTTAAGGACTCTGACCCTGGGCGAGCCTCTCTCTTGGCTCCCGTCAGAGCTCAAGGCCTGTTCTAATCAGAGATTCCCATGGAGGTCTCTGCCCTGAGTCTAACTGGAAAACACTCTCCAGGTTTCCCTGGGATTCCTCAGGACTCTTATCCTGGTAACCATGAAAGGATTATTTCTGCCCCCAAAGTGACACCCTGGCTTCTGTGGAGCTGAGGATATGTACTCCTGTTGCAAAAAAACAAAGAAACAAAAAGGACAAAAAAAGTATTGCATTTAGAGACATCAAATGTTAGTACAGAATTGTAAATCTGGAGAAGTTCCTGGGGAAATTTGACAATGAGGCAGCCCCAGGCCATGACAGGAAGCCAGCCCTCAGCAGCACCTGCACCTGCCCTGGAGACAGCCCCGTGCACAGTGTCCCGGGCGCCCCCTGGTGGTCCTGGGGACCCCTGCAGGGAGGTTTGTGTCTGGGCTCACACTGACCTCCCCTCACTGTGTCTCTCGCACAGTAATACACAGCCGTGTCCTCGGCTCTCAGGCTGTTCATTTGCAGATACAGTGAGTTCTTGGCGTTGTCTCTGGAGATGGTGAATCGGCCCTTCACAGAGTCTGCGTAGTTTGTGTAACTACTACTACTACTAATGTATGAAACCCACTCCAGCCCCTTCCCTGGAGCCTGGCGGATCCAGCTCATGTAGTAGTCACTGAAGGTGAATCCAGAGGCTGCACAGGAGAGTCTCAGGGACCCTCCAGGCTTGACCAAGCCTCCCCCAGACTCCACCAGCTGCACCTGACACTGGACACCTGCAAACACAGAGACAACCTGGTCAGAAACTGCCACATATATTCACTGCTTATCTCACTCACGTCCACTCAATGTCTCTAGTTCTCCATAAATCACCTTTTATAATAGCAACAAGGAAAACCCAGCTCAGCCCAAACTCCATGGTGAGTCCTCTGTGTTCAGTGCTGATCACCGAATGGAAACTCCTGGGAATTCTGGGGCTGGGGCTCTTCTCCCAGAGCTGCAGGGTCTGGGCTCGGCTGGTTTTTATCAGCAGAGGGAGGGCCCTATTTGCATGTCTCCTACTATATAGCAAGCTCTAGTGGGACGCTGGAGGAGAGGGCAGTGCCCAGAGCAGATGAGAGGGTCCCGGAAAACACTGGAGGTAATCCTATCTCTCAGGAAAATATAACTTCAGATTATGTGATTGTGACTTGATGATCAATTAGCAGTCATCATCTTATTTAATGTTTACATATTTGCAGAATATATTCAGTGCAAGTGTCAATGTTACATTTTTAGAGAAGATGAATTACATACATAACAGAGCAGTTGTGCAATGTGTCCAATATCACACATCTGGACAGCGTCAGCCCTATTATCCGTGCCTGTGCCTCTAAACACTGGAGGAGACTGCTCCCCTGAGACAGCTCCAGGGCAGTGTGGGACATGCCTAGTGTGATTTGCAGGGTATCCCACCTGTCATAACGACTTTATGTGACTTTGCTTTTTCTAGTATTTACCTGAAATATGCAATCAGTGTTCACATGTGTGTATTTTCAGGAGTCCGTGATTATTCAAGTGTCAATATTCATCTCTTTCTTGCTCTTCCTCAGCCAATATACTCATTTTTGTTACTGCTTTATTCAAAAATTCAATCAATAGTGAATTCAAATTTATAGTGTACGATATGGAAAATGTTGGTATATGTGTGCAGCCTTTGAATCAGCACTTCAATCGTGCTATTAGCAATTAAATTAACCTCCAAATTTTTTTCTCTCACTTCTCTGTAATTTTATTTCACCATCTTGTTACCTCACCACACTTTTCTCAGAAAAATTCAGATCTTCTCCATGTTAATTTAGAATAGTTGCATTTTCTACAATTTATACAAAAGAAATCACAGGAGATTTACTGTGAATTCTTTAGCTTCCTTCACTCAGCACAATTATTTGATAATGTCCTCACATTCTTATGTGACTGAGGCATGCCTTGATTTCAATTGTTCATTGTATTTCAGTACATGAATATTTCTCAAATAGTTTAACAATGCACCAAATAGTGGATATTTGATATTTTGTCTTAGTTTCCGAATTTTATTTAGAAAGCAGATACTAAGCACGGGAATGTAAAAAAAAAAATGAGAAAATGATCTTCTTCTGACCTCATTAACAAGAAATTTGAAGAACTACAAAAAATGAACCCTTCAACATATCTGAGTTGATGTTGCAGAGAAAAAAACCCTGAAATCTGAGAAAATGGGGAGCCTGCAGAGAAAACTAGGTCCATTTATTAGAGTACCTGGGGCAGGTGCCACTCATTGTATGGTATTGAAGATAGGAAAAAGCTAACCTGGAAATGTTTCATGAGTTGTTGAGGATGTGTGTGCTAACGCTGTGAGAGTGTGAAACTACTGGCACTTGCGGGCTTTTCCTACAGAATTGGGGAAATCCCCAGACAACTCAGCCACCTGCTGTCCTGTGGTGTTGACTGGGGAGGAAGAACAGTAGCTCCGTTCAATGCTGAATCCCTCTTCACGATATGTGGGAGACATTTATTAAATCTTGTGTCCTTCAGGCACTGGTAGAATCAACTAGAACAGAAGGAAACAGAGGACACCAAGGAGACTCTACCCAGAAACACCTCCCGTCTCTTTCCTGAGGAATGAAACCCTGAGTCTGTGGAGTAAGGACAGTGGGTCAGAAGCTGAGGACACTGATGGAAGACCACTGTGGCTAGAAAGAGACACTCTGACTTGGGGAAGGGAAGGAACAGGAACGCTTGGAAGACCATGCTTCAGAGCCACTCTCACCACCCATAGCTAAGAAGGATGCTTGGTCAGAAGGTTGGAGAACATCCCCCTGTGTCCAAGCCCCTTCACCCCACAAACAATCACCAAGTAAAAGTGTCAGCAGGATGCACCTGCCACAGATGAAAGAGACAGGCTCTCTCTGGGGAGAAAGAAATGGGAAGAGCCAAACCGGGACACAAAAGTGGGTATCACTGGAGGAACCTGAACTTTTTGTGAACAGGAGAAGCTGACTTCAACTCTGATAGCCGTGGCAACCATACACTTGAAACCCAACCCTGACTAGGTTCATAGAAATGTGGTTAATAAAGGCCCAGCAGAATGTAATGTGTGATCATCTCCATGAACAAAATAATAAACACAAGAAAATAAATTACAAGTGAAATGCAAACTGGAATTCTACGTGCATTACATTTTCATTAAAAGTGAAAGGCAAATAAAATTCTGTCATTACAAAAAGATCTTGAGACAATTTATTGTCAGCACATTCATGCTTCAGTGCACATTTTAACAAACTTTCTCTGCTAGTAGCCGTGTGATATACATTCAAAACATAAATCTATACGAAGAAATTAAGACTGTACAAAATGGGAAAATCAAGATGAAGTGCAGTTTTTATCTTTGTAATTGCTATATTATATAACTATGAAAGGAATAAAAAATTTATATATTATGTTTTATAGTATATGTAAGTGCAAACTGGGAATAAACAAGAAAGAGCAGTGAGAAGGAGGAATTCAAAGCACACAGTTACACTGTCTCTGTTCTTCATATCAAGGCCATCACAGTATCTGCATTAGAATCCAATTATATACAATTCTTATAGAATCTAATTATATACAATTCTTATTGTAAAACTTATGGTAACCAATATAATATTTATAAAAGTGAATTAGATTATATGTTAGTAGAGAAATAAACATCATTGTGAAATGCTAATTTAAACAATATAACAGAAAAATAATATTAGTTTAAAAATAGAGCTTATTATAGTTGATTTTAAAAAGCAAGCCCCAACTAGAAGCTATGTATTAGAAAATTACTGTACGTATTCACAAATGTAAAAACTAAAGATGAGAAAACATGGATTACAAAAATATGAACCAAAATAAATCTATAGTAGCTGTGTAAAGTTAAGAAAAAATAGACATCAAAAAAGACTTTTAGGACTTAACAGGGATATTACACAGGATAAAGTTACCAGTTTTTTAAAAGATGCCAAAAAAAGACTTAACAAGTGTATAATAGATGAAGAATGCACCATTCGTTGTGATTTACAGAACAAACGTGATAAAGGAAGTAAAGATCTCAGTGAGACCGTGCACGTAAGGGTGCATGTAAGAACTTCCTCTTGAATTTCTCCCTGTTGCTGCCCACGCCAACTCTGGTCCTGGAGCCTGCTGGACCAAGCTTATGCTGCAATCAGTGAAGGTGATCCAGAGTCTTTGCAGGAGTGGCTGAGTGAACCGCTGGGCTGTACAATCTTTCTCCCTCTGACTCCATCAGTAAACTTCACACAGGACTTCTGCAAACACAGAGAGAGCAGACTGAGAGCAGCCCCATGAGCAGCAGCCACAGCTGGACCTGATTCACAAGGGCCACTAATACGAGGGTGATGAGAAGGGAAGCCCAGATCAGTGCAGACCCCACAGTGTGGACACTGAGGAAGGGAAGAGACATGGGGTGGCTCCTCGCCCGGGCCTGAGGGAACAGGGGATGAGCTGCCTTTCTTGAGGAGGGGAGGGGACATATTTCCATGTCTTTCTTTTTGTGGTCTTGGGTGCACCGCTCAGCATTGCTCATCCATCCTCTGTGTCTCCGTTTCAGGGAGGGCAGGATCAGAGGATTCCTGGGTCTGGATGCACAGGGTTAATCTGCCCATTACTCTTTCTTACTCTCTAGTGCGGACACTGTTCAGGTATCTTCATAGTAGAAAACATTATCAACAAATACATCCAGTAAGAACTTAAAAATACATTTCCAGGGAAAACGGACATCTCGCTGTAATCAGTACATTTAGAGCTGGAAACCACTGTTCCTGACCATGAGGCAAAGTTGAGTTACAATGAAAAAAAAATGCAGATCTACACCTTGTTAGGGAGGGGGTTGATAATTACCATTATCTTGAGATCACTTTTCGCAACATAGTTCAACATTGGATATATGGACATGACATGATTCATATAAACATGCACATTTGCTAGAACAGAAGGTTGAGAGGTCCCAGAAGTACTTATACCACATTAACAACACACATACCCATTATCACAATATTTTATTTTAACACTACTCTTTAAAATCAGAAACAAGCAATCTTTATATAAATGGCTAATTCTATGTATGAAAAAGGTGATAAAGAAACAAGCTTAGAATCTATCGTAATATCAGGAAACAGGGAAGTGTTCAAAAACAAAAGGATGAGCTTTGCTGTAAGGATGCAGGATCCAAACTAAATGAGGTCCCAGCACCTAATAAAGCTGTGGAGATTTGAACAAGAAAATGAATAATGTAGCATGGATCTTCTTCAGAGTATGAAATAGATGTCCATAAACCAATACGGATGTTAATAGATGATTAAATAAAGAAATGATGGGAAGAAGAACACATCTCCTCATGGAAGTATTCCAAATATCTCAGGTGGATAGTCCTCCAATCAATAGGTGAAGGCTAAGCACTCATGAGTTGATTGTGGCCTGAGATTAGCAACATGGAATAAATAATCACTATTAGTGTATTTTATAATGAGACTTCAGATATAATGCCAAATACATGATCTATGAATGAATAATTTTTTATGTTTTTTGTCTAAATCTGTGCACACACACACACACAGACACACAGACACACATATATTTTTTGAAATACCCACTGATAAGAGAGAAAAAGACAACCACAGACTGGGAGAAAATACTTCCAAGTCATCTATTTGTTAAATCAATTCTTTGGATTTGTTAAGTGACTTTTATAATCAATATGCAAGTAAACTTACAACTAATGAAAAGAAAACAATGCAGATAAAAATGAACCACATATCAGGAAAGGCATCCCAGCAAAAATTATATAAAAATTGTTTAATACGAATTTTTTATTTGGGACATGTGCATTTAAATAAAAATTAGATGCCATTACTCACCTATCAGCATGGCTAAAACTCACAATTCTCATGATGATAAATGGTAACATGAATGTGGAAAAACAAGAAATGTCATGCATTGATGGTGGGCATTCAAAACGTTACATGCACAAAATGAGATTTTTTGATATTTTTTAAATAGAGATAAAAGTAGAGTTAAAATGTGAATTTGTGCTTGTGTTCTGAAATATTTACAACATTGATTCAGAAATTGATGTTTACAAAGATTGATTCAGAGGAAGTTCTGTGTCAGATTTGTTAATATGATTCATTCTACAATCCCTGAAATTTGCTTACAGAATAAATGTTGTATGAAAAATCTCTCAAATAACTAAAATCCTGTCCATTCAAGCCCTTGTCCAGGGGCCTGTCATACCCAGTGCAAGTAGCAGTAGGTGAAGGTGTATCCAGAAGCCTTGCAGGAGACCTTCACTGAGGCCCCAGGCTTCTTCACCTCAGCCCCAGATTGCACCAGCTGCACCTGGGAGTGGGCACCTGTGGGGAGGACACAGGAGTGGATGAAAGCCCCCTTGACTGGACTCAATCCCCTCCTCATTACTTGGACCTGGGAACTGCTTACCTGTGGCTGCTGCCACCAAGAAGAGGATCTTGCAGGTCCAGCCCATGAGGAGATGTGCTCTCAGGGGATTCTCTCAGGTGATTCTCTCAGGGCACAGAACATATTTACCTCAGTGGATATCAGTATATTTGCATATTCATAAGACAAAGCCTTTCTTAGCTCAAAGCCCAATCCATGATAAGAAAGGGAAGATAAATGACACATCAGCCTAACAAGAGTGAGATGCAGACGGTCGAAGCCCTAATCCTGCTTGAGGAAATGCATGCCCTGCTCCATTTACAAACATTTGTGGACAGACGTCCTTTCACTGAAGAATAAGCCCATATAGAACAGGCTCCTCACTGTGAGCCTACATTTGATTAGCATAGAGACCACCTGGATCATTTTTGGAACCATCACTCTCCATCACACTGAGCAGGTGCCTTGGTCTTTTCCTGGACCCATCAGCCACCAGCACAGCTCATTGGTGACTCTGAGAAAGTGATGCTTATGTCCCACATGAGTGTCCAGGAGGGACCTCTGAGATCTACTGGGTGCTCCTGAGACACTGTCTCCAGCACCTGCCTCATGTCCTGATCCCCCAGGGTCTTCAATTCTATTGAACACTCTTGATTTACAGATTTGCCCTGTGATGCATAATTAGAGCTGATTTTCTCATCTCACAGACAATGGGAATCAGAAGATAAAGCAGGAGTTTGGAGTCCATTATGAACTCTCTACTCCCAAAGTAATTGTCAAGGAATTTGTGTTTAGAACAATTTTGGGTTATTTTGAACTCCATTTATTAGTATTTTGTCAAGTATTTACATACTTTCAGTTCATATCCACAGACCCTCACCTTTCCATATTGATTTCTGACTCACTTGGTCTGTGCACCTGCCACACTCTCAGATCCACCACTGCCCTGTCACTCACACAATGTAAGCAACATTACTTAACACTGAAATCTGAATTTCTTATTCATAGGAATGTAGTTTCTTCAACTAATCTGTACCCATAGAATTAGTAAAAACATGCCTATCCTTCATATTCTCACTATTAAGATATTATAGTTCTAGAAACCCACTTTAAAAAATAGTTCCCAGTGCCTTAAGTTATATGAATGGTTTTGATGTGATAGAATATTTAAAGCACATCAGCGACTTTTTGAACAGTTATTTTAGATTGTTTTTTCCTGACAAACGAAAACCCAGGCACTGAGAGGAAACCTCCTCCCCAGCTGTGCACCTGCTCCAGGGCTGGAACCTGCGCTTGGTGGCTCCCAAGTGCCCCCTTCCACAGAAGCTCTTGCCTTGCAATGAGGTTTCTGTCGGGGCTCACAAATATTTTCCTTCAGAGTCTCTAGCCCAGCATGAAGTGGCTGTGTCCTGGTTTAGAATTCTCCATCAGTGACACCACATGCTGCTGACACCATGTCTTTTAACAATTGATTAGCCTTACTAAACCTACAGAGGGAGACCCACAGACAAGATTCTGTGACACAGAAGGGACCCCCTTTTCTGAAGCTTCACATTTCCTGAGTCAGTGGACACACAATGAACACAAAAACTTGAAGGATTTGGGGAGTGCCTAGTTTCTTCGCTGGGCTCTTGCAGTTGAATGTTGCACCTGAGAATATCTGCAGGTACAGATAAATTCAGAATAAAGACACCTTTGTATATGCTATTCCAATAACACATATTCTCCTTTCTTACTATTTTCTAGCCTATAAAAAGTGCCTCCTACACACACACTAGGCCTAGGTTTATGGCTTTTTTTCACTTAGCGATCTGAGGCAAACAGAATACAAGTGGAGACTTGGGAAGTGCATGCATTTTTTTTCTCAGCTAGGAACCCTGCAAATGCCCCATGATAAAAGAATCTGAGGTCAATGGATTTGCCAAGACCTTGTCTTCAAAAAATTTATGTCAGAGGCTTCAGATTTTCCTACTGTCCTTGTCTTATTCTCTGCCATTGTCTTTCAGTTTCCCTATGTTCTCCTCCTCACATAGAGTCTGTGCATTTCCACACTTTCATCTTTAACCCAGATTATACTGGTGAGAAAACAAAGTGTGCATCCTGGAAGTATTATATGTTCTTACAATTGATTCTTAATAATTCAGTCATCCTTTCTTTCTCTGGGTTGTGACCTATACGCAGAGTCTCCAGAAATGAAACTGTTGCTTTCCCTTTTCTGGCTATAACATTATAGGATTATTTCTCTATTGGCTAATTTTATCCACTTTCATGATAAAGGAAGGCTGCTGGGAGGGTCTGTAATGGAGATGGACTACCTTACCCAACACAGATAAGGTTCTAGATATGTCTTTCCCCTGGATGGTCTATCCGGAGAAATGTGCATGTGTATTTCTCAGAGATTAGATATTTGGATGATTTATCCAGGAAAGGATCTATGTTGATTTTCACTCAAAGAACCTGGAGGTTCCTGGAGCAAATAAGCACAAGAGTGTGAGGTGTGGGGCCTCTAAGATCTCTCACCCTCACACTAGTTCCGACATGCCCTTTATGTTTACATAGTTCAGATTTACATATAACATACCACACAGCCAGGCTCATCTGAATTGCCACATGCTCATTTAAACTCACTGGAGCAGCAGCTGAGTGTAATCATCACATTGAACTCAGAGAAACCTGGGTCCAATACACGGTTTATTGTAGCTCAGAGAAGCATCACTGACTCCCTTGAGTGGACGTTTCTTCCCTGAAACAGCTTCACTACCAAGTATACTAAAGAGATGCTATGGAGCCGCTGTGGGGTTGGATTTCTTCCTGTCAGCCTGTCATGCAGGGTGTTTGGAATGATGTAGACCTTTAAACTTAGATGCTAATCTTTCCCAGTCTTGTTGAAATGGCTGGCCACCCCCAGTCCTGTTTCTCCCCTCCACTCACCTGAATGTCTCCAAAAACCCCATGAACCTAAAGACTCTCTTTTTCATGGATGACTCTGAGGATTCTCAATCTGGTCAGTGCCACAGTCAGAGGCAGCTAATGGAGGATTCTCAGTCCACTGATATGTTGAGCCCATAACATAGGACACATATCCAAGAGTGGACAATTCATGTCAGTGCCAATCAACATTTAATTCAAGGGGCATGATTTTCAGTGCATTGAAGTTTAAAAGCTTCATAATTCTTAATAGAGGCACAAACTGAATGGTTTGCTGAAGAAGTGAGCTCATGGTTAGAAGAAAGCTGACTGCACCCAGGAAGAGTCTCTTTAAGTAAAACACCTGAAACGTGATGTCCTGAAACCTTGTGAAAATTCATTTCCTTGAGTAAAAAAACAGGAAAGCTATTCTCAAATCATTGGAAGAAAACTTATCAGAAATTTTATCAACACAGCACTCGAATTCCAGTAAGTCAATCCTTGGGTTTATGTTTCACAACTCAAGAAGCAATAAAGAAATCTACATAATTGGAAGGCTGCTCCAACAGAGGGAATTTTGTCCTATTTAATTAATAGAATAGTATTCATTCAAAGACACTCTCCTGTGGAATCTATAACTTAAACAGATCTCTGCAACCTGGAAAAATTTTCTCACTTATTTTTCTCTAGACACCCATAAATGCAAAAACACATTTTGTGTGTATGTGCATGAGTGATCTATAGAAATACTTTGCATATTAATGAAAGTTTGGAAAAATGATAACTTCATCACTTATTGTGAACTCCCACTTCACTGGTTTCCGAAATTCTCTGCCTGTGTCATGGGACAATGGGTGCCTCTGAGAATATGCTGATTTTCAGACTGAACATGTTCTCCACTCCTCACTTGACTTCATGGTTTCTTGCTGACACTGATGTCTCTATGAATGAAAACCCAACACTGATATCCAGCAGATTTTCCTCTTATGAGATTCATATTCTCTCTATCTCTTTCTTTCTCTGCATGTCTCTAACTCCCTGTTTTTCTGTGCCATTACTATTTATGGCTGAATCATCCTGAATCCTGCCGACATACTCCATCTCACATTCTGCAAATATTCTGCCTCAAAGACAATTAGGGGCAAACTCATCCTTGCCCAAGGTGGGAAAACTTTCTGGACTTCCACTAGATTTATTAGAGCCTCATATGAGAACCATGATCAAACATTATTTGCTTTTGGATTATACCTCAAATCTAAAACTGTTCTTCGTAGCGGCTATGACATTCTACATTCCCATCATTACCATTATGCAAAACAGTGTGGTGGCTTCTAAATAAATTAAAACTGAAATACCATATGACCAGCGATCCAGCTTATGGAAATACACCTAAATGGGATGAAATTACCACCCTGTGAAGATACCTGCTCTCCTGTGCTTACTGCAGCGCTATTCACAACAGCCAAGATATGGAAACTAAGTGTCTGTCGATGGACAAATGGATAAAGACAATGTGGTATGTGTACACAATATAACATTATTCTGCCTTATAAAATAAAGAGATGCTGCCATTTTCCACAAGACAAACGGATTCCCACCACCACTAGCAATGCATTGTATCCATTGCAGCCCCTCCCTGAGAGCTGGCAGATCCAGGTCCAGTAGTAAGGACTGGTTGTGATGGAGTGGCCAGAAATGGTGTAGGTGAAGCAGAGGGTAAGTGTGTGCTCTTCAGGTCCAGGGCTGACTCCTGCAGCTGCTCCTGGGACAGGGCATGTGAATACATGGGGAATCAGTCCCCGTCAGTCACATGTACCTACACTCACCCCATAGACCCACATCTGACATCTGAGACACTCACCCTGGGGGAGCCATCACCAGGCACAGGAGAAGACACAGTAATGCCATCTTCTTCATGAACACAACTCTGCATTCCCCAGATGCCTTATCCCTGTCTGAGGGGAGAGCTGTTAGCTTCACAGTCCAAAAGCATTTTATACCCTGGAGCCTAAAGGATATTTTGGATGTGGCAAAGCCTTGTACTTATAAGAGAGAGGGACATAGGTCTGACTCCCTTTGGATTTGAATATGTTTTATTGTTGTCTGTCTATTTTCAGGTTGACATGAAGCACTTCCTTGCCAAAAACTACAGTCGTGACATTTAATAAAATTTGCTTTATTCCTATTTTCCCGCCTGTGACATTTGAACTTCTGTATCAAGTGAGCAATGTGCATACCTTACAGGAGAAATTACAAAATAACTCTCTAAGTCATCAGTATCACACGAATGCTACCCTGTCCTTACTGCCAAATATCTTCTGGAAAGATTTAAGTAAAAATAAATGATAAGTTGCATTCTTAAATTAAAAGTAGCATAACGTTCAGAAACTCATGAAATCCCTTTGCCAAAGGTACTCCCACTAGAACTTACAGCCCAAGGTCTCCTTCCTCAAGGACACAGACATTCTCACCCTATGACTTGATTCATCAAAAGCCCATGTATTTCCCATTTTACCTTCAGCATTATACTCTGATTCATCACATGCCAATACAGCGAAGTATTTTAGGGGACCGATGTGCTATGCAGAAATATTCAACAGGATGTTAAAAATGTCCTAAATAGTTTCTTTACTGCCATCAGCTTGTAAATTATTTATTTTCCAAGAGACATCGGAGAAAAACAGTCACAAATATTGTAAAAGGGGCTAATTACCATTAACAACAAATGCAGCAGTGGCTCCAGGATGTCAATCCATAGGTTTATGAGTGAAAATGAGGTGGGTTGCATAAATTGTTTTGAGAGGATTTTCCTTGCTTGTAGAGTCAATACCAAGGTTGGCATCAGTATAGGGTTAAACCGTGATTTGCTGGGAAGATGTCCTTGTAGAAGTGATTTTTATAAGGTCATGGTGGCTTCTATCAAAGGTTGTGGTTAAGCAGAATCCATTTATGGTCGATCTTGTTATCAGGAGTATGTGCATGGGAAACCTCCTTCATGGTCATTCCTAGTTCCATTTGTCAGGGTTTTAACACAAGTGGATCTATTTTGATTCTGACAACTTTCACACCCTCTTTCTAACACTACTGGTGAGGAAGGTGACTCACTCTGTGCTACTTTGCACAGCACAGGATAAATTTCACATCCACATCCCATTTTGTCCACACAAGCTCATCCCCTTCACTACTGTTGGCCACTTCCATTCGCAGGTGAGTCTCCACGTGACACACTGGAGGGTGCTGAGCAATGGGAGAGAGGAAAGTCCCATCAGCCTCTTCCACGTGGCTGCAGGAGCCACAGCCTGAGCCCCACCTGAGCTGCAGGGAATGGGCTTGAGACCTGGAGCTTTGGCAGCAAGAGCCACATCCCCACTTTACAGGGAGCAGGAACACTACAAGGAAAAGCAAGAACAACAACAACAAATAAAAAGAAATAGAATGGGCTAAGAGCAAAAGGGGCCCCAGATCAGTGCTGACACTAAGTTGTATACTTTAGTGTCAGGAGAAGGGTCAGAAGTGAAACCTGTGAAGTTCTACATGACACTGATCCTTGCCCAGACTCTCTATTGGCTGCGATCACAATTCCTAAAGACCGTCCTAGTCAGGGAAACTCACTGAGGTTTCTGTCCTGAGTCTGAGTGGAGAAGACCCACCAGGTACCCCTGAGTTTCCTCAATACTCTGATCCTGGTGACAATGGTTGAGGGCTTTTCATCTCTGTAAGCATCAGTCTGTGTTTCGTGCATAAGAGAATAGGTTTTCATATTAAAATAATCATTTTAAAAATATGTAGGGATGGCATTGGTAAGCACAGAATTCTGAACTTAGAGAGGTTCCCTAGAGAAACTCTAAAAAGATGAAGTCCCACATCCTGACAGGAAACCAGCCTCCATCTGCACCTGCCTCTGGGGATGACTCTGATCAGTGGGTCCTGTGCGCCCCCTGCAGCTGATTTCCCCCAGGCATTCTGCAGGGAGGTTTGTGTCTGGGCTCATACTGACTTCCCCTCACTGTGTCTCTTGCACAGTAATACACAGCCGTGTCCCCGGCTCTCAGGCTGTTCATTTGAAGATACAAGGAGTTCTTGGCATTTTCTCTGGAGATGGTGAATCGGCCCTTCACGGAGCCTGGATAGTATGGGTCACCAGCAGTACCAATAGCTGAGACCCACTCCAGACCTTTTCCTGTAGCTTGGCGGACCCAGTGCATGTCGTAGCTACTGAAGGTGAATCCAGAGGCTGCACAGGAGAGTCTCAGGGACCCCCCAGGCTGTACCAAGCCTCCCCCAGACTCCACCAGCTGCACCTCACACTGGACACCTGCAAACACAGAGACACAAAAGTCAGAAATTGCCACACATACCCACTGTTTCTCTCATTCATGCCCATTCACACTCAATATCTCTAGTTCTCCATGAATCACCTTCTAATATAGCAACAAGGAAAACCCAGCTCAGCCCCAACTCCATGGTGAGTCCTGTGTGTTCAGTCCTGATCACTGAATACAAACACTTGGGAATCCCAAGGCTGGGGCTCCACTCCCAGAGCTGCAGGGTCAGGGCTGGGCTGGTTTTCATCAGGAGAGGGAGTCAACTATTTGCATGTCTGTTACTATATAGCAAGCTCTGGGGTGGGACATCTGAGGTGAAGGCAGGGCGCAGAGTAGATGAGAGCGTCCTGGGGGATTTTGATGACAATGATTGTATTTGGGAAAATGCTGCCTTATTTTGAAATTGTTCTGCGATAAACATTTAACAACTATCATATTTTTAATTTTTTTACCTATGTGTATAGATGATGTTATTTAGGAGTCAGTGGTTTCTTCATGTACAGATGTAAAAGTGAACCCACACATGGAGGGGCTATGTACGTGTCTCAGGGCTTATATCTGGCATGAGTGAGTCCTAGTACCTGGGCCTATGCGCCTCACAGCTGGCCTCAGTTGCTCTGAACCAACTACAGGACAGAGATAAACGGCCTAGTGTGGTTTGCAGAATCCACTTCCTGCCACGACAACCTGTGTGATTTTGCTGCATTTACCTAAAAATACAGAGACAACTAGGCGTCAGGCAGATACATTTTTGGTGTATCTGACATTTAATGTATTTATTTGTTCCTTCTTATCATCCCTTTTTTGTCTAAAATTTCACTTGTTTACTTGTAATAAATTTTATGAGTTTTAATTGACAGATGATAAAATTCACATATTTAACCTGTACAATAGTAAACTTTGATAAAGAAAGTCTCTATTTTCAAGAAGGTGACAAGTCAACTCACCTCAGAATTCCTCTTGCTCTTTTATAGATATATTTTTGTTTTTCTCCTTTTCTTCTACCATTTCTTTATAAAAGTACTGATGTTTTCATATTTCTTTAGACTAGTTTTTATTCTCTAGAATTTATAAGAATGAAATAATATAGTATGTACTCATCTATTTGGCTTATTTTTCTCAATAGAAATACTGAGAATTAAACCTTTTATGTTGTATTGTTTATTTTTTATAAATAATAGGTAGCATTTCAGCAAACAAATGTAGCATAATTTGTTTTTCTAAGTTGCTAATTGGTATCTGAACTTTTCATTACTTTGGGTCTTACTAATAAATCTGCTACTCAATTTGGTAATGTACATAGATGATAAATTATATATAAAATATATTATTTTTGCAACAACAATAACACATAAACAAGAGAATGCGCTATTTGGCAAATTTTCTTTAGCATGTCAAATAATTGAAGTTATGAAATAAAAACAAACCTGTAAACCAAAGAGTATCTGAGACTAATCTCAATAGATTTAGGAAGTTCAATTTCCAAGATTAAGGACATGCCTGTGACACAGCCTCAGGGAGTGCTGACGACATGTGCCCAAGCTTGTGGGCACAGCTTGGTTTTATACAATTTAGGGAGACATGAGACATTAATCAATATATATATATCAGATGTACATTGATTTAGTTCAGAAAGGCAGGACAACTTGAAGTGGGGAGAGGGCTTCTAGATCATAGGTAGGTTTGAGAGAAATGGTTGCATTATTTGAGTTTCTGATTAGCCTTTAACTGAATGCACAATTTACAGGAATAGTCACGTAGGCCTTAGTCTGACTTAGTGAAACAGTAGAGCACAGGGAGCAATCAGGTATGCGTTTGACTTACATGAGCAGAGAAATGACTCTCTCTGTCCTGGGTCCACAAGGATTTTACTTGTGGTCAAATTTTGAAGGAGGTCTGTAGCTTTTAAAAACCTTAGTAGCTCTCATTTTAGGGAAAGAATGGAGGTGGGTTTGCCCCAAACAATTTTCAGCTTGACTTCCCTTTGGCTTAGTGATATGGGGGTCCCAAAGGTTTATTTTCCTTTCAGGAACATGGAAATCTTGGAAGAAATGAGTTCTTGTAGAGAGAAATGAAGCCATAGTGTTAGCTAAACTGAGGCCGAGGCTGCCACATGAAATATAGCCCATTACAAGACAAAGCTACAAACGTGTTGGATTGCTTAAATTCCAGTGTGGTAAACGTGTTGTCATGTGAAATTCTCAGGAACCACATACTGAAGGGCACTGATAAAGTGAATTAAATATGGCCTGAAAAGGACTCCGTACTTCTGTGTTTGAGTCCTTGTGGACAAACTGTAACCTACCTGAATAGGTGGACGAGATTGAAAAGCCAACTTTGGAGCATGCGCCTGTAACAACAGCGGAGTCTTGGCCAATTCCAGCAGCCATACCTCAACCACTCGTACACTCTTGAGGGTGCACACCTTGTTTAAATAAGACAAAAGCAACCTGTAACCAATCCAGCTGTTTCTGTACCTCACTTCTGATTTCTGTACATCATTTTTCTAATCTATAAATCTTCTTCCACCCCGTGACTGCACTGAAGTCTCTTTGAATCTGCTGTGATTCTGGGGGCTGCCCAATTCATGAATCATCCATTGCTCAATTAATCTTATTAACCTTAATTTGGCTGAAGGTTTTCTATTTTCAGCATTCCTATACAATTGAATCCCTTTGTTCTAGAATGAGGACGCTCAGAAAAATTTTCCTTTCCCAAAGTGTCTGTCTGAGACAGAAGGAGAGCCCATACTACTGAAATGCGTTCAGACCCACCTCCCTCATCAGCACTACAGAATAAAGGAATGACCTACCATGCAGGGGCAAGCCACTGAAACCATGATTCCAGAGGCACTGGTGGAGCCCCAGAGGAAATGGGATAAAGACCAAGGTTTTCACCAAAGTTCCATCGAAATGCACCTCCTCTCTGTCATGGAATCAAATCCTTAATCTCCAGGGCATCGCAGAAGATCTAGAAGATGATGATAATAGTGGAGACTATTGGAGGTGTGGGAGGGAACACCTGGCAAAAACAAGAGAAAATATATGTATTTAACTCAGTAGACTTCAAGCTATTTACACGTTAATTAGCTGGAATATTTCATAGCTAAATACCTGATCTAGCATGAGAAATAATAGAGATGACACATGGAGAATGCAACAGTGGGAAGCTGAGGTTCAAGTTCTGATGTTTGTTTACTGATATTTGTCCGCTGGCATGTCCAGAACTTCATGAGTACAGAACTCCTCCAATAGGGAAACAAACACTCACAGGACATGCATTTTTGTTTGAAATAAGTGTAATTCAGGTGCTGGTAAAATTTTCTCCTCAGACTCCTCTGCAGCAGCTCCAGGGCTGACATCTGTGTTGAGTGGGTTCTGGGCCTGTCCTGCAGCTCTGCCCTCACCCTGCAGGGGAGGAAGCTGTTTGGGCTCACAGAGCATATTCTCCCAATGTCGCTCCCCCAGAATGAAGGGGCTGTCCCCTGGTTCATAATCCTCTCTCAGCAGCATCTAATGCTTTCGAAATTGTCTCTTGAAACAGTGATTTGTCATTACTATACCCAGTAAACTGCAGAGAGAGCCCAAGCACAGATTCATGAAACCACCAGAGAGTCACTTCCCTGGGACTGTCAGATGCAATGACACAGTCAAGATACATGGTGAGTCCAGAAACTTTCGGATAATTCATAGGAGCCTCTTATTTCTCTTACAATTCTCTATTCAAAGGTCATGCCAAATAGTATCTTCGCAGAGAGAACTACATGGCTTAAAGCCCACAGAAATGAAAACATGCATGTACACACACATATACACCCCCCGCCACACACACACACACTCACAGAGTGGTATGGCTGATTTTTACAGTAATTGGCTCCTAATTTGGGATCTTTCCTAGTGTAAACCGAAGGTTTCTGAGACAGATCTTAATCAAATTAAAATTAATTTTCCCAAAGGAAATTATGTCTTTCCAGGACATGCCTGGAAGAAAAATAAAAGTAATCACAGAAACTGTGTGTGGTTAGTGCCATTCCCCAAAGACAATTTTTAGGGCTTTCAATATATAAAGAGGAAAAGCTGGGTAAGGGGAAATTTGGATGGTATGAAAATTTACATGTGTAATGAAAAAGAAGCATATAGGAAAATATAAAATTATGTAGTTCTCCTGCAGTAAGTCAGCACTTTCCCATGCTGTTCTCATGATAGTGAATAAGTCCCATTAGATCTGATGGTTTTATCAAGGGGAGTTCCCCTGTGCAAGCTCTCTCTTGTCTGCCACCATGTAAGATGTCCCTTGCTTTCCTGACATGATTTTGAAGCATTCCCAGCCATGTGGAACTATAAGTCCATTAAACCTCATTGCTTTATAAATTACCCAGGCTTGGTTATGTTTTTATTAGTAGCAGGAGAACAGACTAATACATTTATTTTGCCAAAGTTAAGAACCCACCCATGACCAGCCTCAGGAAGTCCTGAGACATGTGCCCAAGGCGATTGAAGTACAGCTTGATTTTATACATTTTAGAGAGACATGAGACATCAATCAATATATGTAAAATGTACATTTTTTTTCCTTCAAGACAGGACAAATTGAAAGGGGGTTTTGCAGTTTAGAAGTAGATAAGACACAGTAGGTTGCATTATTTTAAGTCCTTTATCAGCCTACCACTGAATCCACAATTTAGTCAGACTTAGTGAATCTTCATTTTTTCATAAATGATACTGAAGAGGAAGCAATCAGATATGTATCTGTCTCGTGTGGGCCTCAGAGGAATCACTTTGAATAGAATGGGAGGCAGGTTGCCCAAAGCCCTCTCCAGTAAAGCACCTTTGTTATCTGGAATATCACCAAAGGTTCTTTGTGTCGTGGCTATGAAAATCAAGGACACAGACACACAAAGAGTGAGGTTAGAGCAGAAATTTAATGTGTAAAAGGAAAAAAAATCTCTCTGTCACAGAAAGGGTCCCAGATGGGTTGCTGTGCCGCAGTAAAATGTAAGGATTTTTATAAATGTGCTCGTGGGGAGACAGTATCTTATCAACGTAAGGATTTTTATAAATGTGCTCGTGGGGAGATGGCTTCTTATCAACATAAGGTGCAAAAGCAGGACCAGGTGTGCCATCTGCAGAGAGCGAAGTCTCTGGCAGCCCCATCTCATGCTTTTATTATGCAGGTGGGGACTTAGCTTGGTCTGCTCCACGTTCCTTATCTCCTTCCACCATGCATGTGCTGAAAAAGGGGGGAGGAGTTTCCATGCCAGGTCCCTGGTACCTCCTTGCAGCTGGAGGCATCCCAAACCCCGTGCAAGCTAACAGCTTTCCTATCTCAGTGTGACCCCAGAAAAGGAAAGGAATGTGCTCATTAAGACCCAATGTTTTTATTGGGACCCATCCTATGTATGTGAACTTTGGTGATTACACACAGAAATACCCTCTCTGCCAGAGTTGTTTATCTATGTTTTACAGCCCGATCTTTCAGGCTGCTCTTTGTTAGAAGTGATCTCTTTGAACTGTGTCTGATTAGAAAAGAAGTTATTTCTGAGCTAATTCTTGTGAGAAGAAAAGTTTTGCCAGAGACTCTTTCATCCTAACTATCTACCTAAATAATTTCTTTCTATCTCCTATTACACCAGCTGGACTCTTCTCTTTAGCTTAGTGATTTTGGGGTCTCAAGATTTATTTTCTCTTCACAATAGGCAGGTACAAAAGGAGACTTCGTATGTAGTTAAGTTGCTTGTATCAGTCCATTTTCAGGTTGCTATAAGGACATACACGAGGCTGGGTAATTTTTAAAGAAAAATAGGTTTAATTGACTCACAGTTCTGCATGGCTGGGGAGGCCACAAAAAACTTACAATCATGATGCAAGGGGTAGCAAACACATGCTATTTCACATGACTGCAGGAGAGAGAAGTGTTAAGTGAAGAGGGAAGCCCCTCATAAAATTATCAAATCTTGTGAGAACTCACTCACTAACAGGAGAAAAGCATGAAGAAAACAGCCCCTATGATTCAATTATCTCCACCTCATTCCACCCTTGCAATGTGTGAATTATTACAATACAAGGTGAGATTTGGGTAGGGACACGGAGCCAAACCATATCATTGATTTTGTTTTCTTTTAGAATTTACATTGTCTAGCTGTAAGAAAGCACAGTTTAACTTCTGCTGATTTCAAGCCAGGAAAAATATTTAAAAAGGGAAATAACTGAAAACATTATTTTGGAGACTCGTGCAAAGATACGCTTTAAAATTCAGTCCAAATTGTAGAAAATAATATAAATTGAAAAGCAAGTGGACAAGGTTAAAATCTATTAACTGATGCACTATAGTTTATTTTGAAATAATATTTCTCTCTATAATTCCCCAATTTTATTAGACACAAAATCATAGTAGGACTAATCTATTTGTAAAATCAGTTTTAGGCTTATGAGACTTGGCCTGGTTTTTTTGTATAAGATGCAGCAAAGTAATCCTTTAACATATTAGCTCTCTTTTTGTTTTCTATTTTTTGTTTGTACATAGGCAATTTTATTCATAAATTGACTTTGCTGGAAATTTTTTATAAGGAATCAAAGGGTAGAATCTTTAAAATCTTCAAGCCCAGCCAATATTTTATCTGTGCCACCAGATAGCTATGTGAATTGGGTTACTTTCTCTTTTTTCAAGTTTCCAAGAAAACCTGGGAGTCCTGGGTCTGTCAGAAATTAAATTGTTTACTTACTACAGTTCAGGGCCCTGTAAAAAAAAAAAAATGTGCATGCCAGTTTTCCCAAGGGGCTTTATCAGCTCTCCAGGTTAGATTCATTTTATAAAGTAAATCTGAAAATATATAATTCAAGTTAAAGCCTTAGTAAAATGACCATTGTCTCCAATTGTGCCCTGTTATGGAAGAAAGCAGGTTTTTATTGAACCTATGCAAATAACTATTTTGATATAAGAATACTCACAGTTTCCAAATTTTGGAGAAATTATGTAAATAAGAAGATATTATGTTTTTATTTTTTTATCAGTAAAGTATACCATACTCAATTGTTAACAACTGTGAAGAGCTTAAAAGACAAACTTTTCCTGATTCTGAAAAAACAGAACATAAGTAATTAGCAAATGCATTAAAGAATAAGCCATAAAAACAATTTCAGTCTTCTGTCAATTCAGTTCATGCAATTAAGTCCTGTCCTGCTTAATATTAGATTAACAATCATCATAAATGAATCAGGTATCAATGAGAGTCATGGAAGTTTTAATCTCTATACCAATGGCACAATTTATAAAATTGTCACAATCGTATATTTGAGTACTCCTCAAAATTCTATAGATTACTATAAGCCACCTGATAAAGAATCAAAGTAAAACACCAACTGTGGATGACTGAAGTTTTAGAATAGCCATGGTTAAAGACAGAATTGAGGGGAAGATTTGGTTATTTCTGCAATAAACAGAAATTTTACATAATAATCATAAATACTACTGATAAAATATACTAAGACATATCAAATCACTTGAATCTCATACAATTTTGGAAAATATACTCTTTAATTTATATAAATATAGTCCAATTATATAGTCCACATTTATTTAAATATAGTCCAAAGTTAAACACTTTTGCAAATTTGACATTGCTTCCTGCATATTTTAATTATACCAAATAAGCTGAATATGTTTAATTTTGGCTTTGGGGACCTAATATCATAAAAGAATAATGAGGTCAAATGACTGAATTTAGAATTTTATTTTGTGAAGTTTGTCAAATATCAAAAGTTTACAATGCTTGATATTACAAAATAGGATTACAGATTGCTGTAATGTAAGTTATTTATTTAGCCCAGTGAGAACTCAGTGATTTTGAAAGAAAGCAAAAACTTTTATTTTTCAAAGAGAAGAATTAATTTTCTAAACAATAGCCCCTTATAAGAACAGCATGAGAGAAGTTAAAACTGTCTCTCAATTCTGAAAAATAAATCTATTACATTATAATTACTTTTACCATAAAATTTAATTTCAAATGATCTCTTATAAACTTTTATAAGTTTTTCAAATTAAAAAGTGGATTAATTCTTCAAGAAACCCTTGTCAATCTGACACATGGCCCAGCTACTAGCCTGGCATTAGTGTGCCTTTAATATTAATGTTTACTGTATAAAAAACTCTCAAGTAATTTCATCTTTCAAAATTAGCTTTTACAATCTTACAAACCGCTTCTTCTGTAACAGTCCCTGGGCCTGGAGTGGTTGAGTAGATTCAATTTTCCGGCCTTGTGTCTTAAGTGTGTGATTAATTTTTATTGTCATTTTCTTCCACATCTCTAGATGGGGCTTCAATTGCTGTCAGAGTTTAAAATTTAGCAAGACTCGGTGTCTTTTTTATTTTTATTGTATTTATTTGTTTTTCCTGAGACAGAGTCTCACCCAGGCTGGAGTGCAGTGGTGTAATCTCGGCTTACTGTAACCTCTGCCTCCCAGGTTCAAGCAATTCTCCCTGCCTCAGGCTCCCAAGTAGTTGGGATTACCTGCGCCCGCCACCACGCCCAGCTAATTTTTGTATTTTTTATTAAAATGAGATTGTGCCGTTTTGGCCAGGTTCGTCTCTAACTCCTGCCCTCAGGAGATCCACCCTCTGAAGCCTCCCAAAGTGTTGTGTATCCTTTTTAGACCTAGGAATCAAAGATCAGTAATGTAGCAGGACAAGTCCTTTAAAAGTTATGCAGATAGTTACATTAACGTAATAACAATAATTTATATTTTCTCAAAATCTCAGTATTCCTAAGTAGTTGAAAAACTTAAAAACAGCTACAGAGGAAGTATTTCAAGAAAATATAAAATTTGTTTTATGCCAGTTACCAAATGGGAAAAAACACCTTCAGCAGTGTGACTGTGTTTCCCTGTGGGGAAATCCATGCAGATAACCTGCAAGTCAACTCTAATGAAACAAAGTATTTGATTAATTAGACATAGGAAGAATGTGTCTTGGATTACAAGTGAAGATTTTGGTTCCATAGACAAATATAGACATTTAAAAAAACCCAAGAGTGCAGAATACTATATTGAAATAAAACATTTTATTAAGAACTTTAATATAAAAGATTTTTAGCATCAGGCAATAATAGCAGTTAGAAGCTAACAACAGTTAGAAGTTAACATCGTTAGAGGCTAACTGCTGTAAGAAAAAAAATGTTAGAGGAGCTCATGAAAAATTTGAGATCCTCTCAAGCCTTCTCAAAAGAGAATAAAATAAAACTGGCAAGATGCAGTAAGAGTTAAACTTTTGGGTTAAAAAATTAAAATATCTTATAATTTTATTGAGTAAATCAATACTTTAAGACAATTTTTCATTCTAACCAATCTTTAGTATATTTATATATTTTTATATGAAAGCCAGATCTCTACAAATCTATAAAGACTATTATAAATACTTCCTTTTTAATTATAGTCAACTTCATAATATGAAGTTATTTTAATTAATTAACTTTTTACAAACCTTAGTTTGACTTACACAAAACGCTTATGGCATACTTGAGCATATAGTTTTATTCTAAACATCACTGTTTCTTAAATAAAGTCATTTTTATTTTAGGATAAAAAGTTACAAGATTCTTTCTCATATAAAATTATTTTTTTTTATTTTAACCTTTCATACCAAAAGTACTCCTCTATGTCTAAAAATTTCTTTTCTTTTTTTTTTTTTTTGAGACAGAATCTTGCTCTGTCACCCAGGCTGGAGTGCAGTGGCATCTCTCTTATTTACTGGTTATGTTTAGGATGTTTTATAAGTAACCTCTGAATTAAATAAAATCTTTCTGTAAGAACAAATTTTTTACAAAAATATTTTCTTATAGTATACATTTTTTAAAACAATTAGTAATGACCTAAACATTTAGTTAATATCTATTATTTAATTAAACTTTAGATTTTTAAATTGTAGAACAAGTTTATTTAAAAGGTTTATTTTGTTACATTAACCTAATTTATTTTTTAAATAGCTTACCTAGATCATTTATGAAAACAGTAATACTCATCCTTTAAAGTTTTTTCCCTGTTACCCATATTATAACCCATGAATTTCAGGTGTTTACCTAAGTAAAATTCTTATTAAATAAATGATTGTATTTCCAATAACTATTTACCTGTTTTTTATTAAAACAACAGTATTAAACATCTTATTTGTCAAATTACAAAGATCATTCTGGTTTTAACTAGGTTAATAATTTTATAATCTTCATAGAAATGTTTCACACCATATAATATCTAGCTGTGATTTTAAATATAAAATCACTTGATCAATTGATATAAACTATGAGGTATTCTAATAATTGTTAAAATATTTCCAATTTTATTTTACCAATAATTTTGAAGCCAGCTTATTTATTACATATTTATTTAAGTTACATGTACTTCAGATGCATTAGGGCTCATTGACTTAATTTAAAATAGTTATTTATTTTAAAGTCAATTTTGTACCTTGTAGCCATAACACATAACAAAAAATATATATATATGTACATAATACATACAAGCACACATTCACACTAATACAAAGATACTAGAGCTTTTACTTTAAAACTCTAGCTGTGGAATATGAATAGAAACTCAACAGATGTTCAACAAAAAAGGGTTAGATGTAAACAGTGGTTGTCATCTTAAAACCAGTAGAAAGGCCCTGTAAACTGGAAAACAAAATATTTTTAAGCAAAAAACGTATCTTCATCTTTCTTAATAAACTTCACCATAAATTGATTATACTCTCTTACTATTCTAATTTTTAGTAACCCTAATTCACAGTGAGAAGCCTAGGATTACTTAATTTAACATGACATGACTTTAAGATTTTTAATTACTGAAGATAATTATGAGACTAAATTTACCAAATTAATATTTGTAAAGCAATGTAAAATGTAAAGGTGACTCTAAAAAATAGATGTACATTTTCTTTACAAAGCATTTCATTAAACAGACTTAACTTGATTGCAGATCTTTGAAACACAGCTTGATTACATTACTGCCCTTAGAGTGGGACCATTTAAGAAAAAGGACCAAGAAAACAGGCAGTTTTTAATTCATAAACTACAATTGCTTACGCAAATGTGCAAAGAAATGAGTAGCCTTCTGTAGTGATGACCATTTCCTGTAAACTTCCCTCAGCCACACCTAACATAGCTTTCAAAGCCACCCCTAAAATTACAGGTTTCATTCACTATTGCACACACCATGAATGAATCCTCTCAAAGTACAATGTAATTCTGGTAGCATCCAAAGCCAAAAACATGACATAATCCAAGAAAGCAGAGCTTTATACTTGCTCTGCTTTATACCGAAGAATCAGCCAATAATTGAAACCACAAAGGAAGCAGAAAAACTCCCAACATGTTAGTGACAAGATACAAGAGGAACCCTCCTCCCTGCTCCCACTCAGGGACCTGATGTGGATCTGCCTCCTAAGGGAGCGGTGGTGTCCTCAGTGCTCCCTGGTTTCCTGGGCACCCCCTGGTGTCCTGAGTACCCCCTGGTGGTTGTGAGTGTCCCCCGGTTTACTAAGCACATCGTTGTGTCCTGTGAGCCCCTTGTTGTCCTCAACGCACCCTGGCGTTCTGATCGCCCCCTGTAGGTCCTGAGCTATCCTTTGTGTCGTGTGTGCTCCTGGAGGTCCTGAGCACCCCCCGGTGTCCTGAGCACAGCCTGGTGATTCTGAGATCCCCCTGGTGTCCTGAGCGCCCACTGGTGGTTCTCAGCACTCCCTATTGTCCTTAGCAGCCCCCTGGGGTTCTGAGCACCCCTGGTGGTTCTCAGCACACTCTAGTGGTTCTGAACCACCTGGTGTCCCTATCGCCCCCTGGTGTCCTGAGCGCCCCCTGGTCTCCTGAAAACCCCCTAGTGGTTCTGAGCCCCCTGGGGTCCTAATCTCCCCCTAGTGGTTCAGAGACCCCTGGTGTCCTGAGCACCTCCTGGTGGTTCTGAGATCCCCCTGGTGTCTTGATTGCCCTTTGGTGTTTCTGAGCTCCCCCTAGTGTCCTGAGGGCTCCCTGGTGTCTCGAGTGTCCCCTGGTGGTTCTGAGTGACCCCCCCTCAGTGTCCTGAGCGCCCCCTGGTGGTTCTGAGCACCCCTGCTATCCTGAGCTACCCCTCACCACCGTGTCCGGAGTGCCCCCTGGTGGTTCTGAGTGACCACCCCCCCTCATAGTGTCCTGAGCGCCCCCTGGTGGTTCTGAGTGACCCCCCCCCCCCCAGTGTCCTGAGCGCCCCCTGGTGGTTCTGAGTGACCCCCCGCCCCCCAGTGTCCTGAGTGCCCTCTGGTGTCCTGAGCATCCCCTGATGGTTCTGAGTGCCCCCTGATGTCCTGAGCACCCCCTGGTGGTTCTGAGAAGCATCTACCAGGCAGTCCCCTCCTGTCTCCCTGCAGGGAGGTTGGTGTCTGAGTTCACACAGATGTCCCCTCACTGTGTCCCTCAAAGTAATACACGGACTTTTCCTGAGCTCTCAGGTTAATCATCTTAAAAGAGAATCTCCTGAACTGAGTGTATTTGAGGATTGTTAATCATCTTTTTACTCAAGGAGAGTCCCACTGAGAACTTCTATTTGAATTATTGTTATTACCCACACCCACCCCTGTCATGAAGCCTGCTGGATCAAGCTTATGCTGTTTTCAGTGAAAGTGAATCCAGAGGCTTTGCAGAAAAGGCAGAATTCCTGGTCTGTAGTATTTCTCTGTCTGACTCCATTAGTTAACTTCACAGGGGACTTCTGCAAACACAGAGGCAACAGCCACAGCAGGGCCTGATCCACGGGGAACCTAAACATTGAGAGTGATGACAAGAGCAGCCCAGATCCGCACAGACCCCATGGTGTGGACACTGAGGAAGGGCACAGATGTGGGATGGCTCCTCACCAGGATCTACAGGAACAGGGGATGAGCTACTTTTCATTTGCAGAGGAGGGGCCTCATTTCCATGTCTTTCTCCCTGGGGACATGAGTGCACTGCTCAGCAGGCCTCTTCCATCTCTGTCTCTGGATTCCAGGGAGGGCAGGGTCAAAGACTCCTGGGACTGGATTTGCAGGGTTGATCTGCCCATTACTCTTTTTTTCTCGTATGTGGACCCTATAGGCTATCTTTGTAGTATCAATATTTATCAACAAATAAGTACAGTAAACAAATAAAAATAAACCTTGCCCAGAGGAAATGGACTCCTGCCTGTAGGCTGTGCAATTAGAGCTGTAAAGGACTGTCTTCTACAATAAAGGAAAGTCTTCAGTCAGAATTTTAAAAATGACAATTTCTACAAACTATCAGAGCTGGAGTCCATAATTACCACTATCCTGAGCTCATTTTGCCACATAACTGTTCGTTGTCAGCTATATGTGCTTGTCTGAGGAAAAAGTCAATGTGGGGACATGTGTGCTTATCTGAGGGAAGAGTTCACATGAAGACAGGGGTGCTTGTCTGAGGGAAGAGTCAACCTGAGGATGTGTTTGTTTGTCTGAGGGAAAGGTCCATGTGGGGACAGGTGTGGGCATTGTCTGATGGTAAATGCCCATTCAGAGATGGTGTGTGCCTGCACTGAGCTGAAGTTTGAGGGAAATCTTTCTCAGTCAAAGGAAGTTGCGAATCATCTGGCTTAAATGCTTGTCAGCAGGGAAACTTGGTTGCACATGAACCTGATAAAAGAAAGGTCTCTTGTGAATGGAAACATCTTATGTGCAAATGGGGAAGGTTACTTCATTCTTTGTTGCCTGCATCTCATGCAATTCCCTGCCCACGCGGTGTAAATGTATTTGATATTTTATTTTTGTACACTTTGCATGTTCATGATGTGCTACATAATTTTGTAAGTTGTATATATTTAGATTCACAGTTTACATCATAAAATTGTGAGAATTAACAAATTGTGTCATGTGTTCACTACTGCAGATCATAAAAAATTTCACTGTTTGCAAACAGTACCTGTTTCTCCTAATGCATACCCTCTCTCTAAATTTCTAGAAAATCCTCATATATTTATGACATCTACAGTTTTGTCTTTTACAGAATGTCAAATAAAATGTATACAACATATTTCAAATAACCTCACTGAAGAAGGTGGCACATAAAGTTTCTCACCTATATAACTTAGAACTCAGGGTGTTCTGTAAGTCTAAAGTATAAAGAAACTGCACTTAAACACTTTATTCTAGTCAATAAACATACTTCCAACAGGGGTACAAGTTAACAATTCTAATACCACGACGCATATATTCTAAAATTGTACAACAAATTGAATGAACGGCAAATGATGGGAGGGGTTCCTCACTTTGCAGTAGGTGGTATGGACAGGCAAGGAAGGAAGGCTTGAAACATTCATGTATCATCATAGTAGATTGTAGATACCAGTGTTCTAAAGTTTGATGCAATAAACATACAGAAGATTGGATACATAAATAGATTAGATGGGTCAGTTAACATGGGTTAATATACACATACACATTTTCTAGGCCTGTTAGCTTAGAGATTCTAGAAACACTGACAGTACATTAACAACACACACATCCAACATCATAATTTTGTGTTTTAATATAATTCTTTAATATCAGGGACCAGTAATCCTTGGAGAAATAACTGATTCTATGTGTGGAAAAGATAATAGAGATAATGAGCTTAGTATTTCTTGTAATACCAGGAAATAGGGAAGTGATCAAAAACAAAAGGATGGGGCATGCTGTAAAAATACAGAATCCAAACTAAATGAGCTCACAGAACCTAAAAAAAAGCTGTGGTGATTTGAGCGATAAAATAAATAATGTAGCACTAGATCTTCTCCATAGTAAAAAATAAACATTCATGAGCCAATACTGATATTAACAGATTATTGAATACAGAAAATTAGAAAAAAGGCACCTTCCATTCAGAAGAATTCTAAACATCTTAAGTTAATAATCTTCTCATCAAATAGGAGAAATTTAAATGCTTATGCTGTGATTGTGGCCTGAGATTAGAGACAAGAGAAAAATCCTGTTAGTGGAATTCATAATTAGTTTTTAGATATGATGCCAAAAGTATGATTTATGAAATAATTATTTTATCTAAGTTTACACACACACACACACACACTATATATATATATATATATATATATATATATATATATGCACACACACATATATATGTATATAAATATTTTTCTCCCACAGACACTGATATGGGAGTAAAACGACAACAACAATTTGGAGAATACACTTGTAAAACACATATTTGTTAATCAATTTTTTGTTAACTTTGTGAGTGACTTATATAATGGGTATATAAGGAAACTTACAACTGATCAAAAAGAAACAATGCAATAAAAAATAATCCAAATACCATACGAGACACTTCATCACAATTATATAAAATAATTAAATACAAAATTTTAATTAGAAATATGTGCATTTAAACAGCAATGAGCTATCACTACTAATCTATTAGAATATTAAAATACACAATACTCTTAGTGCCAAATGGCAATGAGGATGCGGAAGAACAAGATCTATCATGCATTGCTGGCATGAACACAAAATTATAATTGCACGAAATGGAAAACATTAAAACATTTTGATATTTTATATAATGGAGATAAGTGTAGAGTTAAAGTGTTAAAATGTGATTATAACACAAAATTATAATTGCACAAAATGGAAAACATTAAAACATTTTGATATTTTATATAATGGAGATAAGTGTAGAGTTAAAATGTGATCTAGCAGCTGTGTTCCAAAATATTTACAACACCCATTCAAAAACTTATGCTCACACTAAATTTTCAGAGGAATTCTTTTATCAGGTTTATTAATTTGATTTGTTTTCCACTCCCTGAATTTTGCTTAGAGAACAAAAGTTGTATGGAAAATTTCCCACATAATTAGAGTCCATACACATTTCTATTTTCCTTTTTTCTGCAATGAATTAACCTCGCTTTCTAAAAAAAGTCTTTAAAGCAAATAAAATCCCTGTCATCTCTCAAGCCTAGCACTGCTGCCACCTCCCTCAGGATTTCTGACTCTCTCAGGATGTGGGTTTTCACACTGTGTGTCTCGCACAGTAGTACACATCTATGTCCTCAGATCTCTGACTGCTCAGCTCCATGTAGGCTGTGCTCGTGGACGTGTCCCTGGTCATGGTGACTCTGCCCTGAAACTTCTGTGCATAGCCTGTGTTACCATTGCCAGAGTAGCTCCCTACCATCCATTCAAACCCTTATCCAGGGGCCTGTCACACACAGTGAATGTCGTAGCTGGCGAAGGTGTATCCAGAGCTTTGCAGGACACCTTCACTGAGGCCATGGACGCTGGCAACAGGAGAGTCATCAGAAGCTGGGTGAGTCATATAATCAGGACAAACCTGTGCTCTCTTCTTCGGACCTGGAAAGAGTGGGCTGACCTTGTGTGGGGCAACAGAGGGGAGGAGACAGACCAAACATCCAGAACCAGGTGAGCACCTCACTTACCAGGTAGTCTCTGGGCCTTTTGTTTGAACACATGCAGAAGGACCTGTGCTCACCTTCAGGGAAATGGTGAACTTGGAGAAAAGATCACAGTGATCAATAATTTTTTACTTATCGAGAAAAAAGTGTCATAGGTCTGTATGCATCAATATGCGTGTGTACAGGTTGCTACACAAAAAAAAGGAAATTATATTAGCTGGAAAGAAAGCCAAAGAGCTTCTGAATGTGTAGGTGTTGTTATTCTCAAATACGCTAGCTCCCATTTTAGGATGCTGCTCCTTAGGGGCCAGGACACTGGGGCCGACAGAACATGCTGCAGAGGCTCAGTTCTGGACAAGAGCTACTGAGAACCAGAGACTCACTTCTTCCACAGCCCCACTGATGGATGAAGGCTCTGCCCTGGGTGCAGCAGCACTGAGGACATTGGCCCCCTGGTTCCCAACCCTGCTTCTATGGAAGAAGGTCTACCCCAGCAGGAGCTGCATGCTGACAAAGTGGAAAGTTTCTCCCCAACCCTGCACTGAGCGCTCAGCAACTACATTGAAGAAGAAAAACACTCCTAATCTCCACCTGCAGAATCTTATCTAGGAGCTCTGTCTCAGGAGCAGGGGTGAGGCTGAAATTTGGTCATAAAATAGAGTCCCGAATCTGGTCTTGAAGGACCTGACTTCCTTTACAACAGAGTGTGGAGAATTACAAAGCCCAAGAGTGCTTCAAAAACAGTGGAGGCTGTGGTAAAATGCACTTGGAAGGAGATGGGTGGATGCATGGGAGATCCAGGCTAAACTTCAGGGCTGCTGGCCTGCAGGAGAGAACCAAGAAGAATGAGAGCTGGAAAGAGTTCTCCTGGGGTCAGTACAAATGTCAGGCACTGTTTGTTCAAAGGCGCCCATGTTTGTTTGGTTCCATCTGCAGAGCAACTTAGACCTCAGTGCATTGTTGAAAATATAAACTTCCAACTGCAGGTAGTGGAGCTCAACATCTGGTCCTGGTCAGGGAAGAGCCAGAGAGAGCCCAGCCCAAGCCAGTGACATGCGAGGGTGACAGTGAAATCCACGACTGTGTCTCTGGGGATCTTTCAGGCAGGCCTTCTGTCACTCAGAAGAAAGTCTGGAGTTCACCTGTAATGGTTTGTGTCAAATTTTCAAAGACGTCCATGTTGTTTTTAGTTTCTAACACACACACACACACCACACACACACACACACACACACACACAATGTTAAACATCTGAATACGTGTGTGAACATATGATTTTAATCCTTTGTAGGACATACTTAGGAGTGAGAGTTCTAGGTCATGGATTAAGGACATGTTTAATTTTATGGGAAACTGTAAATGATTTTCCCAGAAACGGTTTCATTTTGCATTCCCACTAGCAATATATTAGTCTCTAGGGTGACTGACTTCCTCACCAACTCTGATATTGTCAGTATTTCTTTTTTATTTTTTGTCTTTCTAGAAAGTCTATAGTAGTGTCTCCTTTTGGTCTTGATTTGCATTTCTCTGGTGGAAAATCACATTCCTATGCTGATGTGTCATCTGTACATCTTTGAGGTTTGCCGGTTCTTGTTATAATTACATTGGTAGATATATGACTTGCAAATATTTTTTCCTTTGCAGCTTGTCCTTAATTTTCTTGATAGTCACTTGAGTAGAAAATGTTTTAAAATTTGAAGTTCAACTAATATTATTTTCATTTATTGATCACAAATTTTAATTTTCAGTATTGTTTATCAACTGTTAATCATTTTAATTGTATTTGTTTTTATTTTATATGTATAAATTTATGGGGAGTGACTGCAATTTTGTTACATATATATATTGCATAGTAGTCTTGGCTTTAACATATCCATGATCCAAATAATGTACATCATACCCATTAAGTAATTTCTCACCATTCTCCCACCTTTTGCTCTCCCATCTTTCTGAGTCTCCAATGTCCATCATTCCTTTCTCTATGTCCTTGTGCACATATGAGTTCACTCTCATTTATAAGTGAGAACATGTGGTGTATGATGTTCTGTTTCTCAATTATTATACTTAAAATAATGATGAATTCCATCCATGTAGCTGCAAAAGATATGATTGCATCCCTTAATATGGCTGGATAGTATTTAAATGTATATATATGTAACATTTTCTTTATAAAACTATCTGTTGTTAGGCATAGGTTAATTCCTAAGTTTGATGACTGTGCTATTATGAATAGTTCTGCAGGAAAACAAAAGTCTGCTTATCATTCTGATATAATGATTTATTTTTCCTTTAGGTAGTTATTTGTGGTTATCGAATCAAAGTAGTTCTACTTTTACTTCTTTGAAAAATCTCCATACTGTTTTCCATCGAGGCTGTGCTAATCTACATCCTCACCACAAGTGTCCAAGCGTTCCTTTTGCCTTCAATCCTCACCAATACCTGTTATTTTTGGCTCTTTAATAGTAGCTGTTCTGACTGGTTTAAGAAATATCACTGCAGTTTTAATTTGCATCTCCCTGATAATTAGTGCTGTTTAGCATTGTTTACTTATCTACCATCCAGCATTTTCCCATGTATATCAATACGTCAAGTGGTGTACCTTAAATACATACAATTTTATTTGTCAACTTTAGCTCCATAAAGCTGAAAATGTAAGTCTTATAATAAAAAAGCATACTTATATTTCTACATATTTTATCAATATGTGAGAATATAAACAGAAAAACTTGCACAAAAATAGTTATAACAGTTTGCTTATAATATTTATGTTGGAAACAAATTTAAATTTCATCAACAGGAAAACAAATATACATATCGTCATTATTTCACATAATAAACTGATTTATTTACTTAATAAACTGTCATTTACTGATGTTATGGATTGATTCAGATATGAAATATTCATATGTGTATTAGTACATACATATGTATATATACGATGACAAAACCTTGAGACATGAAATTACATAAATAAACCTAAAAAATAGCAAAAATAAGTTCAAAACAGAAAAAATCAATCTATAATGACAAAAATTAGAACATTTTTCTATTTGCATTTTTCTGATGGTTAGTGATGATGAGAATCTTTTAAAATATTGCTGGCCACCTGTAAGTCTTCTTTTCAGAAGTGTCTGTTCTTGTTATTTGCCCATTTATTAATGGGGTTATTTGTCTTTTGATTCTTGATTTGTTTAAGTTTCCTATACATTCTTGATATGGTTTGATTGTGTCCCCACACAAATCTTATCATGAATTGCTGCTCCCATAATTACCATGTGTTGTGGGAGGGACCCCGTGGGAGATAATTGAATCATGGTGGGGGGGGGTCTTTCCCATGCTATTCTCATGATAGTGAATTAGTCTCATGAGATCTGATGATTTGATAAAGGGGAGTTTCCCTGCATGAGTTCTCCTGTCTTGCTGATGATTTTATAAAGGGGAGTTTCCCTGCATGTCCTCTCTTCTCTTGTATGCCACCATGTGATATGTGCCTTTCATGTTCTGCCATGATTTCGAGGCCTCCCCAGCAACGTGGAAGTGTGAGTCTATTCAACCTCTTTCTCTTGTAAATGCCCAGTCTCAGGTATGTCTTTATCAGCAGCATGAAAAGCAACTAATACGGTAAATTGGTATCAGTTGAGTGAAGTGCTTCTGATAAGATACCCAAAAGCATAAAAGCAAATTTGGAATTGGAAAACACGCTGAGGATGAAACAGTTTGGAGGGCTAAGAGGAAGACACAAAAAATGTGTGAAAGTTTGAAACTCTCTAGAGATTTGTTGAATGGCTTTGGCCAAAATGCCGATAATGATGTCAACAATAAAATCCAGGCTGAGGTGGCCTCAGATGGAGACAAGGAACTTGTTGGGAACTGGAGCAAAGGTGACTCTAGTTAGGCTTTAGCAAAGAGACTGGTGGCATTTTGCCTCTGCCTTAGAGATTTGTGGAACTTTGAGCTTGAGAGAGATGATACCAGGTATCTGGCAGTAAAAAATTCTAAGCAACAAAGTATTCAAGGTGTGACTTGGGTGCTGTTAAACACACTCAGTTTTAAAAAGGAGGTAGAACATAAAAGTTCAGAAAATTTGCAGCCCGACAATGCAATAGAAAATAAAATCCCATTTGGTTAGGATAAATTCAAACCAGCTGCGTAAATTTACATAAGTAACGAGGACCCAAATGTTGGTCACCAAGACAATGCAGAAAATGTTCCAGGGCATGTCAGAGACCTTTGTGGAAGGTTCTCCCATCATAAGCCAGAGACCTAGGAGGAAAAAATGATTTCATGGGCTGGGCTCAGGGTCCCTCTGCTGTGTGCAGTCTAGGGACTTGCTTCCTTGCATCAGAGCTGCTCCAGCCATGATTAAAAGGGGCCAAGGTACATATAACTCAGGCTGTGGCTTCAGGGGGTGAAAGCCCCGAGCCTTAGCATCTTCCATTTTGTGTTGAGCCTGCAAGTGCACAGAAGTCAAGAATTGAGGTTTAATAACCTCTGCCCAGATTTCGGAGGATGTATGTAAATGCCTGGATGTCCAGGCAGAAGGTGGCTGCAGGGAGGGGCCCACATGGGAACCTCTGTTAGGGGCAGCGAGGAAAGAAAATGTGGGGTGGGTGCTTTCACACAGAGTCCCCACTGGTGCATTGCCTAGTGAAGCTATGATTAGAAGGCCGCAGTTATTCAGACCCCAGAATAGTAGATCCACCAACAGCTTGCACCATGCACCTAGAAAAGCCATGGACACTCAGAGCAAGCCGGTGAAAACAGCTGGGTGAAAGACTGTACCCTGCAAAGCCAGAGGCACATAGCTGCCCAAGACCATGGGAACCCAACACTTACATCAGCATGACCTGGATGTGAGACATGGAGTCAAAATAGATCTTTTTTGAGCTTTAAGATTTAACTGTCCCACTGGATTTTGGACTTGTACGGGGCCTTTAGCCTCTGTGTTTTGGCCAACTTCTCCCATTTGGAATTGCTCTATTTACCCAATACCTGTACTCCCATTGTGTCTAGGAAGTAATTAACTTACTTTTGATTTTACAGGCTCATAGGCAGAAGGGACTTGCTTTGTCTCAGATGAGGCCTTGGAATGCGGACATTTCAGTTAATGCTGAAATAAGAATTTGGGACTGTTGGGAAGGCAGGATCCATTTTGAAATGTGAGTACATGAGATTTAGGAGGAGCCAGGGGCAGAATGATATGATTTGACTGTGTCCCCACCCAATTCTCATCTTAATTGGAGCTTCAGTAATTTCCTAATGTTGTGGAATAAACCCCCTGTGAGATAATTAAATCATGGGGGTGGGTCTTTCCCATGCTATTCTCTTGAGAGTGAATGTCTCATAAAATCTGATAGTTTTATAAAGGGGGATTTTCCTGCACAAGTTCTCTTTTCTTGTCTGCTGCCATATGAGACGTGCCTTTCACATTCCACCATGACTGTGAGGCCTCTCCAGCCTTGTGGAACTGTGGATCAAACCTCTTCTTCTTCTTTTTTGATAAATTTCCTAATATCGGGTATGTCTTTATTAGCAGCATGAAAACCAGCTAATACAATTCTGGATATTAGGGCATTGTTGGATGCAACATTTGTGAATAACTTCCCACATTCTGTAGGTTGTCTGCTTACTATGCTGATAGTTTTGTTTGTTTATTTGTTTGTTTGGTTGATTAGCTGGTTGGTTTGCTGTGTAGTAACTCTTTAGCAAATTAGTCTCTCCTTATCTATTTTTGTTTTTGTTGCAATTGCTTTTGCATACTTAGCCAAAAAGTATTTGTCAAAGCTGGTGTCGAGAAGAGTATTTTCACGTTGTCTTCAAGGATTGTTATAGTTTGATGTCTTACATTTAAATCTTTTATCAATTTTGAGTTAATTTTTATATATGTTGAAAGCAGACATCCAGTTTCAATCTTTGTCGTGTGGCCAGCTAGTTGTCCCAGCACCATTTATGGAACAGGGAATTCCTTTCTCATTTCTTGTTTTTTTGTCAGCCTTATCAAAGATCATATGGTTGTAGGTGTGCAGCCTCACACCACTCAAATTTTTATCACTAAAAAGTCAAAAACCAATGGATACTGATGGGGCTGTGGTGAAAAGAAAGCACTTACACACTGTTAATGGGAATATAAATTAGTCCACCCACTTTGGAAAGCAGACTGGAGATTTCTCAAAAAACTTAAAATGGAGATATTATATGAACCAGCTATCCTATTACAGGGTATACACTACAAGGTAAACAAATAATTCTACCAAAGAGACACATGCATGTGTATGTTTATTGCTGTGTTATTCACAGTGGCAAAGACAAAGATCAGCCCAGATGCACATCAATGGTAGAGTGGATATATAAAATGTGTTACATGTAAAATATATAATACTACACAGCCATAAAAAAGAATGAAATCATGTCCTTTGCAGCAAAACAAATGGAGCTGGAGTTCTTAATCCTAAACAAATTAATTCAGGAAAATAAAACTGAACACCACATATTCTTGTAAGTGGGACCTCAGCATTGAGCACACATAGACATAAATATGGGAGCAACAGACACTGTGGACTGCTAGACCATGGAGGGAGGGGGTGAAGAAATCTGTATTCCAAACCTCAGCATCACTCAGTAATCCCATGTAACAAATCCACACATGAACCCTCTGTATCTAAATTATAAAGTTGAAATAAAAAAAAATCCTTATGTGAGAACTAACTGGAAGCACTAAGAGGACACTTTGTGGGGAGATGGACCTCACCTGTTCCTCACCCTCACTTAGCTGCTGTAGACAAGTATGTGCACATTTGCCTGAAACCCTCTAACTGTACCTGGAGAATCTGTGCATTTTTGTATATGCTAATTTTATCTCACAAAAATGGAAAACAGACAATTGTAGAAAAATATTTTATATTAAAATTAAAATCTTAGTAAAATAAATATGAAAATTCAAATACAAAATGAGAATGTGATTGTTACAATAATTATTATGCATTTAGGATATAATTATATGTTACAATAATTATGTTACAATAATTATTATGCAATTAGGAATGTTTATTTCTTGAAAGTATATACTTAAAAATATAATAATATGTAGAATGTTAATAATTACTAAAATTTAAGTATTAATGATAAAATTCATAATAAATATAAGTAACAAAATATCACAGCCTAGAAGACTCCAGAGTCCTGCGAAGATAAACCTGACTTTTCCAGCTGAGGAGAAAGGAAACCTCTCCCGGCACCTGCTCCTGGGACCTGTCCCGCCCTCAGTGGGTCACGAGCGCCCCCTGGTGGCCCCGCGCGCCCCTGCAGGGAGGTTTGTGTCCGGGCTCACACTGACCTCCCCTCACTGTGTCTGTGGTACAGTAATACACGGCTGTGTCCTCGGTTTTCAGGCTGTTCATTTGCAGATACAGCGTGTTTTTTGAATCATCTCTTGAGATGGTGAATCTGCCTTTCACGGGTGCAGCGTAGTCTGTTGTCCCACCATCAGTTTTGCTTTTAATACGGCCAACCCACTCCAGCCCCTTCCCTGGAGCCTGGCGGACCCAGCTCATCCAGGCGTTACTGAAAGTGAATCCAGAGGCTGCACAGGAGAGTCTAAGGGACCCCCCAGGCTTTACCAAGCCTCCCCCAGACTCCACCAGCTGCACCTCACACTGGACACCTGCAAACACAGAGACACTAAGATCAGAAACTGCCACACATATCCACTGTTTCTCTCACTCACGTCCACTCACACTTAATCTCTCTAGTTCTCCATAAATCACCTTTTAAAATAGCAGCAAGGAAAATCCAGCTCAGCCCAAACTCCATGGTGAGTCCTCTGTGTTCAGTCCTGATCACTGAATGAAAACACTTGGGAATCCCAAGGCTGGGGCTCCTCTCCCAGAGCTGCAGGGTCAGGACTGGGCTGGTTTTCATCAGGAGAGGGAGGGCCCTATTTGCATGTCACCTACTATATAGCAAGCTCTGGGGTGGGATGCCTGAGCAGAGGGCAGGGCCCAGATAAGGTAATGATGCCCTGCAGGAATCTAATGACAATGATGCTGTTTGGAAAACTTGCTGTCTTGTTATGAAATTGTGCTGTGATAAACACTTTGCACTAATCACTCTCTTACATTTTTACATATTTGTGTAAATCATATTTTTAGGGGTCAATGGTTTCTCAATTTACAGATGGGGAAGTAAACCCATGCGTGGAGGGGCTTTGTATGTATCTAAGAGCTCATACCTGAGGTTAGTGAGCCCCAGTATCTAGGCCTGTGCTCCTCATCCACTGGCCCTATATTACTCCCTAACCCAACTCCAGGACAGAGCTGAGCATGCCTAGTGTGGTTTGTGAAACCCACTTTCTGTATTGAGAGCATGTGTAATTTTGCTGCATTCTAGCATTCACCTAAAAATATGGTGAGAACTAGGGTTCACGAAGATAAATTATTAGGTGTTTCTGAAATTTAATATTTTTTCTATCTTTATGTCACTTATTTCTTGTGCAAGTTTTCATTTGTTTGCTGGTAATAAATTTTATAAATTTCAGTTTACTGATAATAAACTTCACATATTTAAAGTGTACAATTGATAAACCTGATGTAACCATCCTAGTTACCAAGGTGAACCAGAAAATTCACAAAATTTCCCTCTCATTCTTCTATATTCCTCCTCCTTTCCTCTTCCCTTCTTCTACCATTTCCCCAAATGGTAAATTCTGTTCTTCTTTATATTGCTGTAGATTCAATTTAATTTATCAGAGTTTATTAAAATGGAATAACATAGTACATATTCTTATTCATTTGCTTTATTTTCCTGAACATCAATACTTAGATATTTTACCTTGTTGTTATATTACTTAAGTAAGTTCAGTTTTTATTTTCCAGAATTTATATAAATGAAATTATATGGTAAATCTTCTCATTTGTCTGGTTTATTTTACTCAGCAAAAATACTTAGATATTTTACCTTCTTGTTGCATGTATCAGACAATTATTTATTATAAATGTTGTGTAGTATTCCATTGAACAAATTTACCATAATTTGATTTTCTGTTAAGCAGCTTAACAATGTTCAAATTATTTTATTACTCTGGTAGTACTAAAAATCTACTACTCGACTTGAAAATGTACATAAATGAGGGATATATATTCTTTATTTCTTACAACTACATCAACAATAACAGATAAACAGTCAAGATGAAATTTTGCAAATTTCTGAATGCTTAGGATAACTGAAGTTAAAAAAAATCTTAAATTTAACAAGAAGCAAGTTCTTGTAGAGAGTAACAAAGCCAGCATATGAGATTACCTAAGGCAGAGTCTGGCATATGAAATATAGTCTGTTAAAGATAAAAATACAAATATATATGGGATTGCTTGAAACTGAATATGGTAAGCTTGTTGTAGTTTGAAATTCTAAGGGACCACATACTGAAGAGCTTTTCTATCCTCTTGAATCCCTTTCCCCAAAAAAGGGGCAGTCACAAAATCTTCCTTTCCCAAAGTGTCTGTCTGGGAGAGAACAAGAGCCCCCATTTTTGAAAGGCATTCAGACTCGACTCCCTTATATCCACTACAGAACCAAAAATTACTTTGCAGGGGAACCACCAAAACCAGTACCCTAGGGGCACTGGTGCAACCCCTCAGGAATTGAGATGGGAACAGAGGTCACTGCCACGAAGTTCTGTTGAGACATAACTCTCCTTCTTATGGAATCAGAGCTTTAGTCTGCAGGGCAGGGCAGCAGATCTGGGAGGTGATGACACTGATGCGGAACACTGGAGCTGTGGGAGGGAACACCTGGGGGAAACAGGGTGGTTCTACCCCAGTGAAAGGGACAAGAACACACAGATGAGCATCTCCTCTGGAGGAGGGACAGGAACACTCAGAAGGTCACACCCAGACTTACGGGCACAATGCCTTTCTAGGAATATGGACCAAGATGAGGTCAGAGACTCTTCCTTTAGTGTAAGGGCTTCCACTAATTTATCAATTGTCAGTTACATGTAACAGAGGAATGCACCTGTGGGAGCTGAAAGAGATTCTCTGGAGGATGGAACAAGGAGAAGAGACACAGTCACGCAGCAAAGAAAAACAAGATATCGCTGGAGCATCTATATCTCTGGTGGACATAGAAGAACAGACTTCAATTAGTTGTTGAAACCTTTATATCAGTCTTTACTAATTTATATGCTAAAATAGTCGGCCTCATCAATGGAGTCTTCTTATCCCCATCAGGGATGAGTGTCCATGTGGGCACGTGGTGCAGTTCTAGTCATGGGGGCAGGGGAGGTGGTCTGTTGAGGTGTTCCTGGTCCTTCAGAGGAGAATTGCAGAACTGTCTCTGCCCCTTTTCCAGCCAATATATAAAATACGTATGTGACCATGGGAATATTGTCACCATGTCACTGCATTATGGGAGTCACCTGGGGGGTGAAGCTGACTTTCTGGATGCATCAGTGTGGAAAATTGAGAAAAGAAACTTCCTGGGTACATGAGTTGTCAAATTATTCAATCCTGGAGCCACTCACATCCAGAGGCTTCCTGTTTCATCAGGTTGTGATTTTCCTCATTGTTTAGTCGGCCTAGGCTGTCTTTCTTCACTCTCTGCTAAAATAGTCACACATAATATCTAGAAGCATTAAGATTAATAAGTAACTAATTTGAAAATTAGAACAAGTCCCAAGTGAAGTCAAAGTTACTGTGTGGTTGACAGGAAACATGGCTGGATACTAAGAGTGTGTTCACATCTGTTTTATGTAGATTAGCAATATATTTTGTATATCCCTTAGGTAATACTTTCATTGAGACTCCTGATTTAACACTATTTCTTGATGAATAACATGTAAATCATAAAGGTGGAGGTTATTACCTAATAATTCATATTACTGGTACAAACTTTCACCTAGGATATATTCCTATACCTGATGTAAAATCAGCCCAGAATGGAGAAGTTACTTCACTTATTAGAGCTTGTCAATTAACTAAAAACCAGGATTAAATACAGATGTTCTACATTAGTGCGTAATTTTAAAATGTGTTGCAAGCAGAGGAGGTTCTTACGTCTCCTGGAAGCCCCATCAAAATGGACAAAAAAAGACACTTTTAAATAAATTCCTACATTATAGAGACCTGACATATGAATTCGAAACCAAATGCCAACAAAGGAGAAAACAAACAAATAAAACAACTAGTATGGAAGCTAGAATAACGTGATGCACCATGACACCAAATATTCAGTCTTAACGTGGTTTTTAATATTATGTAAACATGGAAGGTATTGCCATTGTTCATACGATACAGAATCAATGGCACTCACAATCATCTGAGTATGTTGAAAAATGGCATCTTTAAATAAAAATTATGAAAACTTCAATAAAATATTGAACTCTCTTCACCAAGGGTTATACCATTAGCACTATGGCGTGATGGTTTCCTCCCTCAGCACACATCAGTTATTACCCTACGACTTGGTAGCTGGAAGATTCACACTTTCGAGATTTTACCCTCATCACATACCTTTGTCCTATTGCATGCATGTGTTACAAATATTGAAAATGATTTTTGTGTTGTACGCACTCCAATGACTAAAAATTTAAAGTTGCCTTTTTACCACATCTTTTAACGGCATTTTGTGATATCCGACCATGAAGTTATGTCTATTGTGTGTCTTTTATCACACAATGTGAATCTAGTTAGGAATTGCGGGAGCTTCCTCATTTGACACCAGTGGGTGTTTCGCACTGTACAATCCCCTTCCTGTGCGTGGGAAGCCTCACTCTGACCCACGACGAAACCATCACAAAAACCCTGAGCCAGTCTGCTTTCTGGCTCTATCGAGCCATTTTGGGTGTTCCTGAGAGACCAGCACTAATCTCGGCAGAGAGTTCAAGAGGTAATTAACCTTTCCATATTCACATCGGGGGAGTATGCAGCACCCACAGATGTGACATCTACATGATATTTTAATTGAGATCCCTTTGCCTTTTTGAGGTTTCAACTAGAACTGACGCTGTGAGCTTGTTGTCATGGCTCCCAAACACAGGACCCACCTGTTCCCTGAACCAGCTCCAGGACAGAGCTGGACATGCCTGGTGTGGTTTGATAAACCCCCATTTTTAATAAAATCATGACATTATTTTGCTGTATTCTAGTGTTTCCCTAAAAATATAGGTAGACCCAGTGTGTATTCATGTGTATATTCAGGAGTCTCTGATTTCTCATATATATTTAATGGAATATGTAATCCTTTCTTTAAATGATACTTTACGTTCTGGGGTACGTGTGCAGAATGTGCAGTTTTGTTACATAGGTATACACACGCCATGGTGGTTTGCTGCACCCATCAACCTGCCGTCTACCTTAGGTATTTCTCCTAATGCTATCCCTCCCCTAGCCCTTTACCTCCCAACAGGCCTCAGTGTGTGATATTCCCCTCCCTGTGTCCACCTGGTCTCATGGTTCAACTCCCACTTACGAGTGAGAACAGTGGTGTCTGGTTTTCTGTTCTTCTGTTAGTTAGCTGAGAATGATGGTTTCCAGCTTCATCCATGTCCCTGCAAAGGACATGAACTCATCCTTTTTTATGGCTGCATAGTATTCCATGGTGTATATGTGCCACATTTTCTTTATCCAGTCTATTATTGATGGACATTTGGGTTGGTTTCAAGTCTTTGCTATTGGGAATGGTGCCCCAATGTGTCTTTGTAGTAGAATGATTTATAATCCTTGGGGTACATACCAAGTAATGGGATTGCTGGGTCAAATGGTATTTCTAGTTCTAGATCCTTGAGGAATCGCCACACTGTCCTCCACAATGGATGAACTTAATTACACTCCCACCAACAGTGTAAAAATGTTACTATTTCTCCACATCCTCTCCAGCATCTGTTGTTTCCTGACTTTTTAATGGTCACCATTCTAACTGGTGTGAGATGGTATCTCATTGTGGTTTTGATCTGCATTTCTCTAATGACCAGTGATGAGGAGGGTTTTTTCATGTTTGCTGGCTGCATAAATGTCTTCTTTTGAGAAATGTCTGTTCATATCCTTCACCTACTTTTTGATGGGTTTTTTTTTCTTGTAAATTTGTTGTAGATTCTGGATATTAGCCCTTTGTCAGATGGATAGATTGCAAAAATCTCCCATTCTGTAGGTTGCCTGTTCATTCTGATGATAGTTTCTTTTGCTGTGCAGAAGCACTTTCCTTTAATTATATCTCATTTGTCAGTATTAGCTTTTGTTGCCATTACTTTTGGTGTTTTAGACTTGAAGTCTTTGCCCATGCCTATGTCCTGGATGGTATTGCCTAGATTTTCTTCTAGGATTTTTATGGTTTCAGGTCTGGATAAGTCTTTCATCCATCTTGAGTTAGTTTTTGTATAAGGTGTAAGGAAGGGGTCCAGTTTCAGTTTTCTGCATATGGCTCGCCAGTTTTCCCAACACCACTTATTAAATAGTTCCGGAATTCTTTCCCCATTGTTTGTTAGTGTCAAGATTGTCAAAGTTCAGATGGTTGTAGATGTGTGGTGTTATTTGTGAGGCCTCTGCTCTGTTCCATTGGTCTATATGTCTGTTTTGGTACCAATACCATGCTGTTTCGGTTACTGTAGCCTTGTAGTATAGTTTGAAGTCAGGTAGCATGATGCCTCCAGCTTTGTTTTTTTTTTTTTTGCTCAGGATTGTCATGGCTATGCAGGATGTATTTTTGGTTCCATATGAACTTTAAAATAGTTTTTTCCAATTCTGTGAAGAAAGTCATTGGTAGTTTGATGGGGATAGCATTCAATCTATAAGTTGCTTTGGGCAGTATGGCCATTTTCATGATGTTTATTCTTCCTATTCATGAGCATGGAATGTTTTTCCATTTGTTTGGGTCCTCTCTTATTTCTTTGAGCGGTGGTTTGCAGTTCTCCTTGAAGAGATCCTTCACATCCCTTGTAAGTTCTATTCCTAGGTATTTTATTTTCTTTGTAGCAATTTTGAGTGGGAGTTCACTCATGATTTGGCTCTCTGTTTTTCTGTTATTGGGTTATAGAAATGCTTGTGATTTTTGCACATTGATTTTGTATCCTGAGACTTTGTTGAAGTTGCTTATCAGCTTAAGGAGATTTTGGGCTGAGATGATGGGGTTTTCTAAATATACAATCATGTCATCTGCACACAGAGACAATCTGACTTCCTCTTTTCCTATTTTTATACAATTTATTTCTTTCTCTTGCCTGATTACCCTGGCCAGATCTCTCAATACTATGTTGAATTGGAGTGGTGAGAGAGGCATCGTTGTCTTGTGCTGGTTTTCAAAGTAAATGCTTCCAGTTTTTGCCCATTCTGTATGATATTGGCTGTGGGTTTGCCATAAATAGCTTTTATTATTTTGAGATACATTCCATCAATACCTAGAGCATTGAGTTTTTAGCATGAAGGGGTGTTGAATTTTGTTGAAGTCCTTTTCTGCATCTTTTGAGATGATTATGTGGTTTCTGTCATTGCTTCTGTTTAGGTGATGGATTACATTTATTGATTTGCATATGTTGAACCAGCCTTGCATCCCAGGGATGAAGCCCACTTGATCGTGGTGGATAAGCTTTTTGATGTGCTGCTGGATTTGGTTTGCCAGTATTTTATTGAGAATTGGTGCATTGATGTTCATCAGGGATATTGGCCTGAGCTTTTCTTTTTTTTGTTGTGTCTCTGCCAGGTTTTGGTATCAGGATGATGCTGGCTTCATAAAAAGAGTTAGGGAGGAGTCCCTCTTTTTCTATTGTTTGAAATAGTTTCAGAAGGAATGGTACCAGTTCCTCTTTGTACCTCTGGTAGAATTCAGCTGTGAATCCATCTGGTCACGGACTTTTTTTTTGGTTGGTACGCTATTAATTACTGCCTCAATTTCAGAATTTGTTATTGTTCTATTCAGGGATTTGACTTCTTCCTGATTTAGACTTGGGACGGTGTATGTGTCCAGGCAGTTATGCATTTCTTCTAGATTTTCTAGTATATTTGCATAGAGGCATTTATAGTATTCTCTGATGGTAGTTTGTATTTCGGTGGGATCAGTAGTGATATCCCCTACATTACTTTTTATTGCATTTATTTGATTCTTCTCTCTTTTCTTCTTTATTAATCTGGATAGCTGTCTATTTATTTTGTTGATGTGCTGTATTCAGGAGACCCATCTCATGTGCAAAGACACACATAGGCTCAAAATAAAGGGATGGAGGAATATTTGCTAAGCAAATGGAAAGCAAAAAAAAAAAATAGCAGGAGTTGCAATCCTAATCTCTGATAAAACATTTTAAACCAAAAAAGATCAAAAGAGACAAAGAAAGGCATTGCATAATGGTAAAGGGATCAATGCAACAAGAAGAGCTAAATATCCTAAATATATATGCACCAAATACAGGAGCACCCCGATTCATAAAGGAAGTCCTTAGAGACCTACAAAGAGACTTAGACTCCCACACAACAAGAGTGGGAGACTTTAACACCCCGCTGTCAATATTAGACAGATCAACGAGACAGAAAATTAACAAGGATATTCAGGACTTGAAGCAGACCTAATAGATATCTACAGAACTCTCCACCCCAAGTCAACAGAATATACATTCTTCTCAGCACCTCATCGCACATATTCTAAAACTGACCACATAATTGGAAGTAATACACTCCTCGCCAAATGCAAAAGAACAGAAATCATAACAAACAGTCTGTCAGACCACAAGTGCAATAATCAAATTAGAACTCAGGATGAAGAAATTCACTCAAAACTGCACAACTACATGGAAACTGGAAAACCTGTTCCTGAATGTCTACTGGGTAAATAAAGAAATGAAGGCAGAAATAAAGATGATCTTTGAAACCAATGAGAACAAAGACACAACATCTGAGAATCTTCGGGACACATTTAAAGCAGTGTGTAGAGGGAAATTTATAGTACTAGATGTCTACAAGAGAAAGCAGGAAAGATCTAAAACTGACACCCTAACATCACAATTTGAAGAACTAAAGAAGCAAGAGCAAATTCAAAAGCTAGCAGAAGAGAAGAAATAACTAACATCAGAGCAGAACTGAAGGAGATAAAGACATGAAAATCAATTCCAAAAAATCAATGAATCCAGGAGCTGGTTTTATGAATCTATAATTCTGTGTTGAGAAATTTAAAATTTATTTAGTTTGATGGTTGAATCCTTATGCCATCGTTCTGAGATTTTCTTTTTTATTTCTCATATATTTTATCCATCTCTAACTCCTTTTCTACCAAATTATATATGTTTAAATTTGTAGTATTTTAAGAAGTCGAAATTAGAAAGTAATAATCTTCACTTAATGTGTACAATTTGACAAATAATGACATAACCATAACCTTTCTCAATACAGAAAAAATTATCCTCAAAATTTCCTCTCGTTGTCCTGTAATTTCCACTTGCTACACCTTCCCTTCTCATACCATGTCCACGGCCAACTACTGGTTTTCATTATGTAACTTTAGATTAGTTTTCATTTTATAAAATTTATAAAAGTGGAACTGTATGTATGTACTTGTATTTCTTTGGCTTATGTTACTCGTCATAAGTACTTGTGAATTTACCCTTGTTGAGCATTTCCAGCCGTACTTGTTTGAACAGTGGGTATTATTCAAGTGAACGAATTTAGAACAAAGTGTTTACTGCTTAACCTGCTGATCAATATTTGGATTGCTTTCAGTATCTGGGTATTATAAATAAAGGTGCTACTCAGCTTAGAGAACTACACAGTTGAGAAAGACAATGTTCTTATTCCTACATCAACATGAACAGCAGTTAAACTGAAAAAGCTGCACTTCAGTAAATTTTCTTCAACGCATCAGGTAATTAAAGTTGTAGAACTCTTTGTGGGTGTCAGTTTGTGTGTGAGAGAGGAGGGAGGAAGGGACACAGAAAAAGTGAGAGATCCTACATAATTAACCATAACTTATGAGGTGCTCAAATACATACAGGGACTTCGTCCTAATGGACAAGGTCCACATAAGATGGAAAGGACAACTTGGTGCACCTACGTATGGCTATATATTTATATAAATATCATTGTCTAATAATAAAATAATATACATTAGAATAAATATAGTGGAGAGTAAAATATGACAGTGATGAAAAACCCCACCTCCAGCACCTTTTTTCCCCTCTTGCACCTGCCTTGATGTGTCCTGAGAGCCCTTGGTGTCTGAGCACCCCCTGGTGTCCTGAGCTTCCCTGCAGGGAGGTTTGTGTCTGGCCTCACAATGACCTCCCCTTCTGTGTCTTTTGTATAAAAATCCATGGTGGTTTACTCATTGTGCGGGTAGCTCAGCTGTAGGAAAAACTGTTTTCTGAATGTGGATCTGGAGGTGGTGACTGGACTCTTGAGAAGCGGGTTGCACTGTGTGTTTCCTCGTGACCTACACACCTGACCCACTTCAGCTTCTTCCCTGGGGGCTGGCAGATACAGCTCCAGGAGGAAGTACTGGTTATGATTGGAAATCCAGAGACAGCACAGGTGAAGGAGAGGGTCTCTGAGGGCTTTACTAGAACATGAGTGCACTGAAAAACACAATTTTTTTCATACGCAGGATCTGAATGACATTTTGATGAGGACGATCCTGGGCTAGAAGCATCAATAACAAGGTTGACATCAGTGTAAGGTTGGATAGGCAGTTGCTGTGCAGATATTTTCACAGAAGTAATTCTTTCATTGTTGTGGTTGCCTTGTGCAAGATTGTGGCCTTTCCGAGTGTTAAAAAGCTAGCTCTTGTTGTTAGGGATATAAGTAATTATTTTGTTGTTGTGGTTATTCTGAGTGTTATAAAGCTAGCTCTTGTTCTCAGGGATATAAGTAATTCTTTTATTGTTGTGGTTGCCTTTGTTCAATTTGTGGTTTTTTGGAGTGTTATAAAGCTAGGTCTTGTTCTCAGGGGTATGTGCATGAGAAGCTTCCATCCATGGCCTTCCCCAGCTCCATTTGTCAGGGTTTGAACACAGGGGACTCCAGTTGGATTCCGACAAATTTTACAAGCTCTTCTAACACTACTGGTGAAGAAGGTGACTCTGTGACAGTTTACACAGCACAGGATCAATTCCACATCCTCACCCCATTTTGACCAAAGAAGCTTGTGCCCTCATTACTAATGGCCACACGCGTTCTCAGACGCGTCTCCAGAAAACAGAGTGGAGTATCCTGAACAATGAGAGAGAAGAAAGTCTCAGCAGCCTCTCCCAATGGCTGCAGGAGTCACAGCCTGAGCCCCACCTAAGCTCCAGGGAAAGGGCTTGAGCCCCAGGATTTAGACCACAGGGACAACATCCTTTTATCCAGAAAGCAGGAAAATCAAATGGAAAAGCGAGAACCACTAAAAATGAAAGTCAGGAAGCACCAGATCAGTGCTGATACTCATTTGCATACTTTATTGTCAGGAGAAATGTCATACATAAAATCTGTGAGGTCCTACATGACACTGAACCTGGTCCAGCCTCTCTCTTGGCTGTAATCGAAATCCCTAAAAGCCATTCTAGTCAGGGAATCCCATTGAGGTTACTGTCCTGAGTCTGACTGGAGAAGACTCACCAGGCACCCCTGAGCTTCCTCACAACTCTGATGCTGGTGACCATGGTTGAGGAGTTTTCATTCCCGTAGGTGGCAATATACATATTGTGCATGTGAGAATGAGTCCTCGTATTATAATGATTTAAAAAAATATATGTAGAGATGACATTGGTGGGCACAGAAATCTAAAATTAAAGAGTTTCCCTAGGGAAACTGTCAGAAGCAGAGGAAGTCCCAAATCCTGACAGGAAACAAACCCCAGCCTCCATGTGCACCTGCTCTGGGGTTGACTCTGATGAGTGGGCCCTGAGCACCCCCTGCAGCTGATTTCGCCCAGTGTTCCTGCAGGAGGTTTGTGTCTGGGCTCGCACTTGTGTCCCCTCACAGGATTTCTCACACAGTAATACACAGCCATGTCCTCGGCTCTCCGTCTGTTCTTTTGCAGATACAGGGAGTTCCTGGAATTGTCTCTGGAGATGATGAATCGGCGCTTCACGGAGTCCACATAGTGCGTCCTACTGCCATTCCAACTAACACCCGATACCCACTCCAGCCCCTTTCCTGGAGCCTTGCGGGCCCAGTTCATGTCACTGTTACTGAAGGTGAATCCAGAGGCTGCACAGGAGAGTCTCAGGGACCCCCCAGGCTGTACCAAGCCTCCCCCAGACTCCACCAGCTGCACCTCACACTGGACACCTGCAAACACAGAGACACCCTGGTCAGAAACTGCCACACATATCCACTGTTTCTCTCACTCATGTCCACTCACTCAATATCCTTAGTTCTCCATGAATCACCTTTTAAAATACCAGCAAGAAAAACCCAGCTCAGCCCAAATTCCATGGTAATTTGTTTATTGCTGTTGACCCAATAGAAACACCTGAGAATCCCAGGGCTGGGGCTTCTCTCCCAGGGCTGCAGGGTCAGGGCTGCGCTGCTTTTCATCAGAAAAGGGAGGGTCCTATTTGCATGTCTCCTATTATATAGCAAGCTCTGAAGTGGGACACCTGAGGAGAGGACTGAGCCCAGAGTAATGAGAGTGAAATAGCAAACCTGAACAACTACAAATAAAAGAAAAAAAAAAACCTTCAACATATCAGAGTTGATATCATGGAGCAAACATAAACTGAAAATTTGAGGATAGGGGTTGATAGGGAGACCCAGGATGCATATATGAGTGTGCCTGGGGCAGGTGTCGCTCCATGGCATTTAAGCTAACCTGGAAACACTTAGAGTTCCTTGAGGATGTGCGCATTAACGGTGTTGGAGTGTGAAGCTTTTAGTGCCATATACTGTTGCAGGCTTTCCTTACGAAGTTTGAAATATCCCAGATGACCTCACACTCACACAGTGTGACCTTGCACATCCCCAAGGTCACCTCACACTCACCCAAGGTGACCTTGCACATCCCCCAGGTCACCTCACATGTGCCCTGAGTCACCTCACACATCCCCAATGTCACCTTACACATCCCCCAGGTCACCTCACACATTCCTGTGGCCACCTCACACAAGTCCCTATTCACCTCACACATCCCGCAGGTCACCTCGTAAATCTGCTAGGTCACCACACACATGCACCAGGTCACCTCATGCATTCCTCAGGCACTTCACACCTGCCCCTGTTCACCTCACACATCCCCCAGGTAAACTAACACATGCACCAGGTCACCTCACATGCACCCAGGTCACTGCACACATGCCCTTTGTCAGCTCATACATTTCCCTAGGTCACCTCACACATCCCCCAGGTCAACTCAGATGTGCCTTAGGTGACCTCACATGTGCTCAGGTCACCTCACACGTCAGGGGGGTCACCTCACATATACCCCATGTCACCTCACACACACTCCTGCTAAGCTCACACACCCCCCACGTCACCTCGAATGCTCCCAGGTCACCTCACACATTCCCCCAGGTCACCTCACACATTCCCCATGTCACCTCACACGTCCCCCAGGTCACCTCACACGTCCGCCAGGTCACCTCACACATGCCTGAGGTCACATCATACATATCCAAGTCACCTCACGAATTCCCCATGTCACCTCATACATGTCCAGGTAACCTCACACGCACCCAGGCCACCACACATGCACCCTGGGTCACCTCACATGTGCCCAAGTTCACTGCACACATACCCCCAGGTAACCTTACACCTCCCCCAAGTCACCTCACTGTCACGTGACCAGGGCACCTCACCTTCATACAGGTCCATTCACACATGCTATCATACATGCATACATTATGGAATTGTTAATCAAGCTATTTAACATATCCAGCACCTCATAAATGTATTTCTTTTTTTTTTTGAGACTGAGTCTCACTCTGTCACCCCGGTTGGAGTGCAGTGGTACGATCTTGGCTCACTGCAGCCTTTGCTTCAAGCAATTCTCCTGTGGTGAACACCACGCCTGGCTAATTTTTGTGTTTTTAGTGGAGACAGGGTTTCACCATCTTGGCAAGTCTGGTCTTGAACTCCTGACCTTGTGATCCACCCACCTCGGCCTCCGAAAGTGCTGGGTTTACAAGTGTGAGCCCCCGCTCCCGACCTGTATAATTTCTTAGTGGGAAAAAATTTTAACATTTGCATGTTTAGCCATTTTGAAATATATAATGCATTCACAGCCATATTTTCCATCTTGTGCATTAGAACACTGTAACTTACTCCTTCTGTCTAACTGGAACATTTTACACTTTGACCACAATCTCTCCTTTTCCAGTCCACCCCTCCAGCCCCTGGTAACCAACATTCTATTCTACTTCTGTGAGTCTACCATTTAAACAAACTACAGTGAAATCACGAATCACTTGTCTTCTGCGCCTGCTTGTTGCACTTCACGTGTGGTCCTCTAGAGTCATGATTGCTATCGCATTTCAAAACCAATCATGCCTGTTCAAGAGTCCGCCAAAGTCTTAACTCATTTGAGCCTTAACTCAAAAGTCCACAGTCCAAGGTCTCATTTGAGATGAGGCAAGTCTCTTCCATCTATGAGCCTGTAAAATAAAAACCAAGTCAGTTACTTCCTAGAAAGAATGGGAGTTCAGGCATTGTGTAAATACAGCCATTCCAAATGGAGAAATTGGTCCAAACTACAGGTCCCATGCAAGTCTGAAATCCAGCTGGGAAGTCAAATCTTAATGTTCCAAAATAATCTTCTTTGACTCCATGTCTCAAATCCAGGTTACCTGATGTAACAAGTGGGTTCACATGGTCTTGGGAAGTTCTGCCCCTGTGACAGAACTTTTTTAAAACTTTTCAAATGAAAAGTTTTAAAAAACTTTTGCAGGGCACAGTCTCCCTCCTGGCTGCTTTCACGAGCTGGCATTGAGGGTATGTGGTTTTTCCAGAAACATGGTGCAAGCTGTCAGTGGATCTACCATTCTGGGTTCTGGAGGGCAGTGGCTTTCTTCTTACAGCTCCACTAGGTGGTACACCAGTAGAAACTCTGTGTGGGATTTCCGACCCCACATTTCCCTGCCACACTGGGACTAAAGGCTTGTGCCACAATACCTGGCTAATTTTTGTATTTTTAGTAGAGACGGGGTTTTACCCTGTTGACCAGGCTGGTCTCAAACCCTTGACCCCAGGTGATCTGCCTGCCTAAGATTCCCAAAGTGCTGGGATTACAGGCTTGAGCCACCATGCCTGGCCAAGATTAATATAACTATGTCATTTAATGATGTATTTGAAAACTTCATGGTTCTACAAACACACATACATACACAACAGCCCAGCAAAGACACATACATGTGCCCATGCAAAAGTGAATGTATATCTAAACACCAAAACAGCACACCCATTTGTTTCATATTTTTTTAATTACTTAATTGAATTTAAATTGTGTTTGCAGTTTGAGGTTGTAGTAGAAAATAATGCTCTTCTACGTGTATGTCTGCCTATTCCAATACTAAAAAGACAAATATATTTAAATACATGTTTTGTTAAAGCTGAATGTAAATGCTGTTCTTGCCAAATATGTCACTCAAATGTGCAATGGTATTAACTTTAAATATCAGTCTGTTTTTAATAAATTGAATAACTAATAGGACAAACGTTGTATTACATTATTTGTTAAATTTAGATTGTAGTTTTCAAACTAGGCAAGATAAAATTGTTTCATTTGAAAAATTTTTAAAAAACTTTTTTGGCATGAATATTCAATACAAACTCTAGTATTTATTTGTCAATATTCCTTTACAACAGAGAACATCCAGGAATATGAAACTGAACACAGTCCATGATTTTCAGGGCTCACTCACAATGGCATCTTCCTAGAGGGTGGTCTCAGAGGGTCCAAGCACATGGGGATTTGGACTTGATCATCAAAACACTAGTGAGCCCCAGGGCTGAGCACACAGAGGGCAGCAGGAGCTGCAGAGCCCACTCTGTGGTACTTAGGGAAACGAGGAGATGGTCTGCAGGACCCTGGAAAAGGGTGAGTTAGGGCAGAGAGTCTGCAGGTAGACGAGCATATTCTAAGGAGAACCATTATCCTCTAAACTTGGTTGGCTTCAGTGATTATGAAGAGAAGAGAACTGATTCACCAGACTTGGAGGTCAGAAAGTAAAGGGACTTTCTTTTTCCTTCATGGAGACTGAGGAAAGTAAAATACTTTCAAAGAGAAAGGGAAGATGGAGAAATAGTCTGAAAAACAGGACACCTGAAGCCAACCAAAATGGAGAACAAGAGCATTTAAAGTCGTGTTTAATTTCCAAAAACAGCAGATGAAAGAAAAATAAACAAAATACCATGTATATGCTGAGTTAATGTTAAAAAACATGTACAATTGTTTGACTATTACAGCACAAAAATACAAAACTCTAATCATTGAAACAGTTTGTATTGAGGATATACATTTTCTTTAAATAGGGTCTCACTCTGTCAACGAGGCTGGAGTGCAGTGGCACAATCACAGCTCACTGCAGCATTAACCTCCCAGGCTTAAGGGATCCTCCTGCCTCAGCCTTTCAAGTAGCTGCTACCACAGGTGGAACCATACCCAGGTATTTATTATTATTATTATTATTTTATATATATATATAGAAAAGACCTCACTGTGCTGCCAGGCTGTTCTAAAAGTCCTGAGCTCAAGTGATCTGCCTGCCTTAGCCTCCCAAAGTGCTGGGATTACAGGTGTGATTTTTATAACTTTACTATTTTAATAATAGTATTATTTTTAATCAAGAAAATATATAAATAACCTATTGTAAAAATTGTCCTGAGAGATCATTGCTAGTATTACTTGGAAAATATGCAGCATTAAAAGTTGAATTAAATTCCTGTTCTAAGTTAATGTTTTGTAGGTAAAAGTAATCATGGACTTACAAGGAAGAAATGGTGAGAGATCCTGGGGAAGACTTTTGCTTGACCAGGTCGGGAATCACCAAGGTTTAAAAGAAAACCACAGCCTCTCAGGCTTCTGATTTGGAGCTGCCTCCTAAGAGAACCCCCCTGTACTGAGCGCCCCCTGGTGGTTCTGAGTGCCCCTGGTGTCATGAGCGCCCCCTCGTGGTACTGAGGGCACTCTGATATCCTGAGCACCCCTGATGCTTCTGAGCGCCCCCAGGTGTCCTGAGCGCCCCCTGGTGGTTCTGAGCGCCCCCTGGTGTCCTGAGCGCCCCCTGGTGGTCCTGAGCACCCCCTGGTGACCTGAGTGCCTGCTGGTGGTCCCAGGCAAACCCTCGTGTCCTGAGCGCCCCCTTGTGATTCTGAGTGTCCCCTGGTGTCATGAGCGCCCCCTCGTGATCCTGAGCACCCCCTAATATCCTGAGTGTCCCGTGGTCCTAAGCACACCCTGGTGGTTCTGAGTGCCCCCAGGTTGTCCCCAAGGTGCCCTGGTGGTTCTGAGGAGCATCTACCATGCAGCTCCCTCCTGTCTTCCTGCAGAGATTTTTCTGTCTGGGCTCACGCAGATATTCCCTCTCCTGTGTCTCTCACAGTATTACAAGGCCTTGTCCTTGACTTTCAGTTTGGTCCCTTTAAGGTAGACTGCACATGAAAAGGTGTCACTTGGGACTGTTAATTTATTTGTACTCATGGAGAGTAACTCTGAGAACTCCCACTTGATCACTCACTGTTTCCACCCACACCAATCCCTGTCATGAAGCCTGCTGGACCAAGCTCATGCTGTAGCCAGTAAAGGTGAAATCAGAGGCTTTGCATGAGAGTCTCAGTGAACCACTGGGCTGTACAATTTTTCCCCCCTGACTCTATCAGTAAATTTCACACAGGACTTCTGCAAACACAGAGGAAATGGAAGAACGGCCCCATGTGGAGCAGCCGCAGCTGGACCTGATTCACAAGGGACACTAATATTGAGGGTGATGAGAAGGGAAGCCCAAATCAGGGCAGACCCCATGGTGTGGACACCGAGGAAGGGAACAGACATGGGTTGGCTCCTCACCAGGGCCTGAAGGAACAGGGGATGAGCTGCCTTTCATGAGGAGGGGAGGGGACACATTTCCTTGTCTTTCTTTTTGTGGTCTTGGGTGCACCGCTCAGCATTGCTCATCTGTCCTCTGTGTCTCCATTTCAGGGGGGCAGGATCAAAGGACTCGTGGGTCTGGATGCACAGGGTTAATCTGCCGATTAGTCTTTTTTATTTTCTAGTGTGGACCCTGTTCAGGTATCTTCACAGTAGCAAACATTATCAAAAAAATACATCCAGTAAGAATATAAAAATACATTTCCAGAGAAAATGGACACCAATCTCTAATCGGTGCATATAGAGCTGCAAACTATTGTTCTTGACAATAAGGCAAAGTTAAGGTACAATAAAAAAATGCAGATCTACACCTTGTCAGGAGGGATTTTATAATTATTATCTTGAGATCATTTTGCCATAAAACAGTTCAACATTGGATATATGTGCTTGTGTCAGGAAACAGTCACTGTGGAAATATTTGTACTTATCAGAGTGAAGAGTTCACATGCAGACATGTTTGTTTGTCTGAGACAAGAGTCCACTTGAGGAAATGTCATTACTAGAGGAAAGAGTAAATGTAAGGACATATGTGGTGGTCTGAGGAAAGAGTCCATGTGGGGACAGGTGTGTTGGTCTGAGGGAAGAATCCACGTGAGTAAAGGTGTGTTTGTCTGACAGAAGAGTCCCCATGTTGACAGGTGTGTTACCCATCTGAGGGTAAATGCCCATTCAGGGACAGTGTGTGCCTGAACTGAGCTGAAGTTTGGGGAAAATCTTTCTCAACCAAGGAAAGAAAAGAATTATCTGGGTTATTTGCTCGTCAGGAAGAAAAAACCTGGGTCACGTAGAAAATTGATTTTTTTAAAATTAAAGGTCTTTAGTGAATGGTAACATCTTAAATGCAAATGAGGAAAATTACTTCATTCTTTTTTGCATGCATCTCATGACATCCCCACCCTCACCAAATAAGTTATTAGATAACTTGATACAGTCTGCATTTAATCCTGGGGTTAATGAACTGCTAAATACTTTTTACAAAAATTGTATATATTTAGGTTTATATTTTCCATCACACATTTATGAGCTTAGACAAATTAACTGCATCGTGTCTCAACCATTTTATATCACTAAAAATAATTTTACTATTCTTAAACAGTGCCATTTGTACTTATTTAATACTCACTCTCTAAGTTCCTTGAATATCCTCTATCTGTTTACTTGACTATAGTTTTGGTTTATACCGAATTTCAAATAAATGATATTATATAATGTAATTGAAATGACTTCACTAAAGAAAGTAGAAAATGAAGTTGCTAATCTAATTAACTTTGGAAATGAGGAAATTCTATAAGTTTAAAATGTAAAGAAACTACACATAACACTCTATTCTAGTAGATAAACATATTTCCAATGAGCTTTACATTTCTGATACCGCTATGCATGTGTCCTAAAATTGTGCAACTAGGTAATAATAAGGCAGTTGGTAGGATAGGATTCCTCACTTTGCAGTGGGTGGTTATGGACAGTCAAGGAAGGAAGGCTAGAAAGGTCCATGTGGTAGCATAGTTGGGTCAGGAGACCAGTGTGTTCTCATTTTTAATATAATAAAGTTACAGAAGATTAGTTACATAAATAGTTTTGATGCGTCCACAAACATGGGTTCATATAAACATGCACGTCTACTAGGCCAGTAGGTTGAGAGGTCCTAGAAGTAATTGTACACGGTATCACAATTTTTTTTATTTTACTGCTATTCGTTAACATTAGAAACAAGCAATCTTTAGAAAAAAGGCTAATTCTATGTACAAAAAAGGTAATATAGAAAATGAGCTTAGAATTTATTGTAATACAAGGAAACAGGGAAGTATTCAAAAACAAAAGGATGAGGTGTGCTGTAAGGATACAGGATCCAAATTAAATGAGCTCCCAGGACCTAATAAAGCTGTGGTGATTTGAACGATAAAATGAATAATATAGCATGGATCTTCTTCAGAGTATGAAATATATATTCATAAACCAATACACATATTAATAGATGATTATATAAATAAATATTGGGAAGACGAACACATTTCCTTACAGAAGTATTCCAAATATCTGAAATGGATAGTCCTCCAATCAAGTAGATGAAGTTTAAACACTCATGAGTTGATTGTGGCCTGAGTTGAGAGACATGGAAAAAATAATCACTATTAGTGTATTTTATAATGAGACTTCATATATATTGCCAAATACATCATCTATGAATGAATGCAATTTTACATGTTTTTGAGTCTAAATTTGTACAAACAGACACATACACACACAGACACATACACACACATATGTTTCTGCAATACACACTGATAAGGGAATAAAGACAGCCACAGACTTGGAGAAAATACTTCCAAGTCACATATTTGTGAAATGAATTCTTTTAATTTGTGAAATGACTTTTATAAACAATATGCAAGTCAACTTGCAATGAATCGAAATGAAGCAATGCAGTTAAAATGAACCGAATGTCAGGAGAGGCGTCTCAACAGAAGTTATACGAAAATTGTTAAATATGAACTTTTGGAGGGACATGTGCATTTAAATAAAAATTAGATCCCATTACTCACCTACTAGATTGGTTAAAACACACAATTCTCGTAAGGATACATGACAATATGAATGTGGAAAACCAAGAACTATCATGCATTGATGGTGGGAATTCAAAATGCTACATGCACAAAAGGAGATTTTTTTGGCATTTTTAATAGACATAAATGCAGACTTAAAATGTGATTTTGTGTCTGTGTTCCAAAATACTTACAGCACTGATTAAGAAATTAATGTTTACAAAGATACCTTCAGAGGAAGTTCTGTATTAGTTTCATTAATTTGATTCATTCTGTAATCATTGAAATTTGTTTACAGAATAAATGCTGTATGAAAAATCTCTCAAATAATTAAAATTTCTCAAATACACATTAATATTGTTCCTTTTCTTTAATGACTTAGTGTCATTTTCTAAGAAAATCTTTAATCTAATAATCTTTGTCATCTCCTCTGTGTCAGCACAGGTGCCTCCTTCCTGGGGTTTCTGACACTCTCAGGATGTGGGTTTTCGCACTGTGTCTCTCACACAGGAATACACGACCATGTCTTCAGATCTCAGGCTGCTCAGCTCCATGTAGGCTGTGCTCACGGACCTGTCACTGGTAATGGTGACTCTGCCCCGGAACTTCTGTGCGTAGTGTGTGTTATCATTGTAAGGGTTGATGCATCCCAACCACTATGCCCTTGTCCAGGGCCCTGTCGCACCCACTGTGTAAAGTATTTGGTGAAGGTGTATCTGGAAGCCTGGCAGGAGACCTTCACTGAGGACGCAGGCTTCTTCACCTCAGCCCCAGGCTGCAACAGCTGAACCTGGGAATGGACATCTGTGAGGAGAAGGGAGGAGATGATAAAAGCCCCCTTGACTGGACTCAATCCCCTCCTCATCACTAGGACTTGGGAGCCCCTTACCTGTGGCAGCTGCCACCAAGAAGAGGATCCCCCAGGTACAGTCCATGGTGAGGAGCTGTGCTCTCAGGGGCTTCTATAGAGGAGGGATGTGGTTGTTGGGTGATGCTCTCAGGGCACAGACATCCAAATTCACCTCAGTGGATCTCAGGTTATTTGCATATTCATGAGACAGAGCATTTCATAGCGCAAAGCCTGGTCAATAATAAGAAAGGGAAGATAAATGACACATCAGATTTACAAGAGTGAGATGCTGATGGTCCAAGCGCTATTCCTGTTTGAGGAAATGCATGCCCTGCTCCATTTATGAACACTCGTGAACAGAGGTCCTTTCACAGAACAATCCCCCTCAGAACACGCTCCTCACAGTGAACCTACATTTTATAAGCACAGAGAGCACCTGGATGATTTCTGGAACCATCACTCTCCATGACACTGAGGAGGTGCCTTGGTTCTGTCCTGGGTCCATCAGTCACCAGCACAGCTGACTGGTGACTGAGAAAGTTACTGCTGATGTCCCACGTGAGTGACCAGCAGGTCCCTCTGAGATCTGCTGGGCGCTCCTGAAACAGGGTCTCCAGCACCTGCCTGGTGTTCAGATCCCCCAGGATCTTCCATAGAAACACTCTTGTTTACAGATTTGCTGTGTGATGTGTGATTAGAGATGATTTTCTCATCTCAGGAACAATAAGAATCAGAAGCTGAAACAGTAGTTTTGAATTCTTTATGAACTCACTGCTCCCAAAATAATTGTCAAGGAATTTGTGTTTTGAATAATTTGGGGTTAATTTTGGACTCAATTTACTGGAATTTTTTGAAGTATTTATATATTTTCAATTCATATCCATAGGTCCTCATCTTTACATATTGATTTCTGACTCACCTGCTCGGTGCCCCCGACAGCCCAGCCCCTGCCTTGCAAGGAGGTTCCTTGCTGAGACTTCAAATCATTTCCCCCAGGCTTCTCTAGCCCAGCATGAAATGGCTGTGTGCTAGTGTAGAATACTCCTTCAGTGACACCATATGCTGCTGACACCATCTCTTGAAACAATTGATTAGCCTTACTAAACCTATTGAACTCTGCAGGGAGACCCAGAGCAAGGATTCAATGACACAGGAGGGAGCCCCTTCCCTGAAGCTCCAGATTCACTTCATTAGTGGAACCAAAATGAAGACAAAAACTTACAAGAGATTTGCGAGTGCCATGTTTCTTCACTGGGCTCTTGCAGTTGAATGTTGCATCTGAGAATACTAGCAGGTGCAGATACATTCAGATGAAAGCCCACTCCATATCCACTATTCCAATAACACACATTTTCCCTTCTTCCTAATATGTGGCTTTTAGGAAGTGCCTCCTACACTGACACCAGGCCCAGTTATCTGACTTTCTTCTCCTAGAGATCTAAAGCAAACAGGATACAGGTGGAGACTTGGGAAGTCCATGCAGGTTGTTATTTTCACTTTCTCAGCTAGGAAACCAGCAAAGGTCCCATAATAAAAGAAGCTGAGAACTATGATGGCATTTACAAGATGTTGGTCTTAAAAATCACGATGTCAGAGGCTTCACATTGCTCTACTGTCTTTGTCTCACCCTCTGCCATTGTCTTAGTATTTCTGTGTTCTCCTCAGATGGAGTCTGTGCATTGCCACACTTTCATCTTTAATCCATAGCCATCATCCTAGTTAGAATGGATTGTGCAGTGCAGGTAAGCACTGCCTGTTCTTCCAATGGAAACCTAGAGATTCAATAGGCTTCCTCTTCTGGGCTGTGACCTTGACAAAGCATCTCCAGGGGAAAAGCTCATTTTTGGCTGTTACTCCCTTTTGAGGTTTCGGCCTCCCTGGACTATTTATGTACGTCTTACCCCTTTTGGCTAACTTTACTCATTCATATAATAATGGAAGAATGGGGGAGAATCTGGAATGGGAGATTTGTCTTCCTTCACATAGGATAAGGTTCTGGAAAAGTCATTCCCTTTAGAAGCTTTTGAAGTGGGCTCCTGGTATATTTCTCTGTAATTAATCATCTTCATTTCATCTTCAATTCTGACCCATCGGAAATTTATTTGGATTGTATATTTTAGAATCTGGAGGTTTCTGGAGAGAAAGTCCAGAAACCTTAGAAGTATAAGACCCTCTGGAACGGTCACATTTACCGAGTCCACATTTGTCTTTCAGACGTCCGTAGTGGTTACCATGTAAGTGCCCTCAACAGCTTGTGGCTTCTGCAGTTTCTGCACCAGGTAAGCAAGTGCTAACTGCCATTCTGGACATGCCCATCTCTCCAGTTTTTGGAGTGGGTAATATTTCTTGCAATTTCAGTTATTTAATAGATTCCAAAATGTACTGACATTCAGATTATGCAGATTTATTTTGACATAAAATATGACGGTGATGAATTTTATAATCAATATTTTGGAGCATAAACCAAAAGTACAATCAAAGGTCACCTTTGATGTGTTACTGGAGGCAGAATTCTGACCTTATTCCATGTAGGTGGCACATCTGACATAAATAAACAGGCAAGAAAACAGAGAAAGGACATGGCACAACACTGTGCCATGGCACAACTCTGGTTGCCCTTAAAACTTTTTCCTTCATTTCAACCTTGGTGAATCTGACAATTATGTGTCTTAGGGTTGCTCTTCTCAGCGAGTGTCTTTGTGGTGTGTGGTTATTGGGTGATGCTCTCAGGGCACAGACATATCTGTAGTGTTCACCTCAGGTGATTTGCATATTCACGAGAACTACTACTTCATAGCCTTACCCTTGATCCAGCATGAGAAAGAGAAAATAGATCTCACATGAACCACACAACTGTGGGATGCTGAGGTACAAGTCCTCGTTCTTATTTAATGTCGTGTTTCCCTTTATATGCCCAAAACTTTGTGAAGGGAGAACTTCTCCACTAAGAAGGTGACTCACACAGGACATGGCACATGGACAGCCTCCGCCCTTTCTAGGCTTTGCTGTCTGCAGTCTTACTCTTGGGATCTCTGTGTCTTCTGAAATGTGTACCTTTTGATTTAATAAAACCATCCCTGTTCTTCATCTTTTTACTAGGAAAATATCTCAAACAAGTAACAATTTTGCCTTTTAAATGTGGTTCTCACTGAATTGTTGATTTGTTTATTTCTAAATGTATAGAGATAATAGAAATAGTCTTTGCAAAATTCTAATTTTAACATGTTATAATTTTTTGGTTTTCAATAAAACAACACTCAATTCTGGGAGAAATCCCCTCTGCAGCCTCCTGTGCACCAGCTCTGGGGCTGGAGCCTGTTCTGGGTGGGTCCTGGGCGCCCCCTGCAGCACTGCCTCTGCCCTGCATGGAGGTTTCCATCTGGGCTCACAGAGGATTTCTCTCTCAGTGTCTCTAGGGCTATAGGAAGAGGTCATGCCCTAGTTTAAAATGCTCCTTCAGTGACACCATATGTTACTGACACCATCTTTTGAAAACATTGACCTTAGGAGACCCAGTGAACTCTAAGAAACCATCGGGGAGCCCTTCCCTGGAGCTCAGGATACATTTAATCAGTGGACACATAGTGAGCACAAAAATTTTCAAGGGTTTTGGGGGATGCTTTATCTTGTTTGGTCTCCTGCAATTGAATATTACATCTAAGAATACCTGTAGGTATATATACTTGTGGATCAATGCCCACTCCATGTCTTCTTTTTCAATAACACACACACACACACACACACACACACACACACACACACACACAGAACTGGTTGATTTTTACAACAGTGGGCCTCTAACTTGCCATTTTTCCTAGTATCTTGCAAATGGTGAGCACCCTCTACACGGATACTAGACCTGAGTATATGACTTCCTTCTCCAAACAGAAGTAAGGAAAACAGTACACAACTGGAGACGTAGCAAGTGTACATTCATCATGTTTGCATATTGTCACCTGAGAATACTGCAGTTTCCCTAAGAGAAGTGACTCTGTGTCCACCAAGGGTTGAGTGACCCTGTTCATCAAGCTGTTGGTGTCAGAAGCTTCCAGTTGCTCTACTGTCCTTGACTTTTTTCTCCCATTGTCTTTGCATTTCCCTATGTTCTCCTCCCTATATAGAGTCTCTGCATTGCCACACTCATCTTCAATGCTGATGGGAAGGGAATGTGTGAGGATTGTGTTTTTTTTCTTTTCTTACAACTATAGGCTTTTTCATTCAGTTAAAAGGTAAACAGATTAACATTGGAGGCTATTCCATTTAACTAGCCCAAGTTCCTATTCCACTTTATATATCCCTCCCACACTGCCATACATCTTGAAGAAATGACTGCCAAAAGACTGTTTCTAACTTCTTCTTAGCAATAACCTTCAATGAATTGCTTTCAAATAAGTTATTCCTAACTTAAAATTTTATTGTGTTCAAAGAAACTCGTCCCTCTAAGAGGTTTCCACATGTGCCAATAGAACGTTCCACCACTGACAGGAGGGCAGAATACAATGATTCTAATTACAGGAGCTACTCCAAGGAAAGCTTCCATGATATTTGTGTTGTTAGATTCGGTGCTTGTTAGGGCAGAAGATGGTGAGACTAACAATGCAGACCACACTCGGTCAAATGGCTGCATGTTTGGTTGTTTTAAAAAAATCTTTGTTTATCTTTAGAGACAACATTTTAAACATAATGGAATTGAAGCCTGATACAAAATACATAGAAACTTGCGCAGGAATAGACAGCCAAGAAGCAAAGTGGAACTCAGTGGAAACCTGGCTACATTACATAGCTCATTTTGAACTGAGCCGGAATATGTAAGGTAGTCCCAAACATTGACAAAAATGTTAATGTCAAACAGCTTCACACTGTGAGGATGACATACTTGAAGACAGCCAAGATGGCAGCACTGATAATTCCAGAAATAAAGATTGTGACAAACCAGGCTATACAATGTCACGAAAGAGTCAAGTCGACAACTTTCTTGGATTAAAGCCAGGTACAAAGGAGCCCATGTTACAACGTGTTGTACTGGTGGGGAGGCCAATATCTGATGCAATCACCATAGTGAGGGCAGGAGCCAGTCCAGTACCGAAGGCACCAGAGGGTGTGAGAGTGTCAGATTCTTCCCCATGGCCTGAATCTCCTTCCTCCAAACCCACAGACTAATGCAGATTCCAACACCACCAGAGAGCAGAAGCCACACTGGCATCACCACTCTTGAGGAAACATCTCCCATGTTATAAACCAGATATAAAGCCACCAGAGAATTTATTGCATTGCTGATGTCATTACCACCATAGGCAAGTGACCTCAATCAGGCAATATGAAGTTGCAGGAACTGGAAGAGGAGAGATAGTTCAGGCTTATCTTGGCCATACCATTCTTCTCAAGAACCACTACTTCCTTTTCTCTCACCTAGACCCATCTCCACCTTGATACTCATGACTATCTTCGATCCTGAGAAGGTCAGAGACAACATTGTAGTAACCAGTGTAACTGTCCATTCAAAGTCCCTTCTTGGGGACTGCATTGGACCATGTAAGATTCTCCATTTCCTTACCCTTCTGAGGAACTTCTTTGGCATGAAATGAATCTAGAAGCATGCCACATATTGTCATGATAAAGGAAAAATAGCTATTATTGCACCTTAAGTGTTTGTCACAAAATCTCCCATGCCATCTTCCACTATGGCAATGTGCAATTTACAGAGAAGCTCTTTGTACAAGCCAGAACATTTAGGCATGGGGTAATATGCATAGTGGCCACTGAAGCCACCTGGCTGTTGATGGCTTGATTGAACTGGACCAAGATTCTTAGAATTTAATCTCAGTGATTTTGTCTTCTTTTTCTTGGCTATGACCTTTACAAGGAGTCTCCTCTAATAAAGCTGATATTTGTCTATTACGTCCTTCCCTGTCTGCAGCATCTCAGGACTATTTTTGCTCAATCTTACCCTACTGGCACATCCTTTTGTTCAATCTTACCATACTGGCAATCATTTGCCTCATAAAGGAAGGCTGGGAAGAGGGTTCTACAATGGCAGTGAAGTACCTTCCACCATGTAGATAAATTACTATAAATGTTCTTCCTGTGGGTGGTCTATCTGGAGAAGGTTCTGGGTAAAGGTGTTAGAGATTAGGTCTCTCGATGACTGACACAACTCACAAGGAATTTATGTGAATTCTAAATTAAAAATGTGGAGGTTCATGGAGCAAATGAGGGGCACCCAGAATATCTCATCCTAATAATAGTACAAACCTGTCCTTTAAGTTGTTTTAGTTTAGATTTATATATAACAAATCAAACAGCCAGGGTCATTTAAATAGTAACATGCTCAAACATATTAGGGCAGCAGCTGAATATAATAATCAAACTGAAATCAAGAAAATCTGGGAGCAAACTAATGTTTTTCATAGTTCAGAACAGCTTTATTAACTCAATTAACTTGTAATCCCAGGACTCTGGGAGGCCAATTTGGGCGGATCACCTGAGGTCAGGAGTTCGAGACCAGCCTGACCAACATGGCAAAACACTGTCTCTACTAAAAAATACAAAAATTAACTGGGCGCCGTGGCATGCACCTGTAATCCCAGCTACTTGGGAGGCTAGGGTGGAGGATTGCTTGAACCCAGGAGGTGGAGGTTGCAGAGCCGAGACCGCACCACTGCACTCCAGCCTGGGAGACAGAGCAAGACCCCATCTGAGAAATAAAAAATTTAAAAAAATTAATAAAAGTGCTTCCAACGCTGACCTTAATCCTGGTTATATTTGCGGTTGTTGTTGTTTGTTGTTGTTGTTTTGTTTCTTCAAACAGAGCTAAAGCAAGCTCAGTACTGCTGGAGATTTGGAAAGTGTCTTCACCTTGTTTTTGCCTGTTCTCACCTGGGAACCCTGTGGATGCCCCGTGAGAGGTAAATCTAAGGCCATTGACAGAGGGGCCGTGGCCTTGGTCCTGAAGCTGTTGGTCTCAGAGGCTTTAAACCGCTTCACTGTCCTTAACTTTTCCTCTCCCTCTGCCTTTGGTTTCCCTAAGGTCTAGTCCTTGGACAGAGTCTGTGCATTGCCACACTTTTCTCTTTAATCCAGATTGATCATACTGGTGAAGAGGTGATGTGGTGGGCAGGGGAGCAGTATATGTACTGGAAATTGAATTTCAATGTTTTCTTGATGTTTTTTCTCTAGACTGTGCCCTTTACAAGGAGTCTCCAGTGGTGCAGCTGATTTTCCTCCGTCTTCTACTCCCCCCTCCTGGCTGCAGCATCCACATATTATTGTCTTGAACCTGACCTTTTTATGACACAGGAAGGCTAAGATGAAACTGCCTGGGATGGAAAAGAATACCTTCCCCTCACATAGAATAGAGATCTTGAAAAGCATTTTTTCTCTGTAGGATCTGTCTGGAGGAAGTTCTGAGCATATTTATCAGAGAGTAGCTCTCCTGATGACAGAGCCATGAAGGAATCTGTTTGGATTATCATCCTGAGAACCCAGAAGTTTCTGGAGGGAAATTCCATCGAAGTGTGGGGTGTGCAGCCCCCAGGAGTTCTTACCCTATCCCTGTCCACACCTGTCCACCAGCAATTTACCGAATTACCATGTAACTGTTCCCACCAGCTTGCACTTTCAACGGAACAGTCACATAATTTATAAATTTAGAAAGGAGACTTTACTTCTGAGAAATGGTTAAAGCTGCAGGACAGCCACCTTAACAGGCTGGGAAGCAAAGCCTCCCACAGAGACAGTGAGCAGGCACTTCAAGAGAGGGAAAGAGGAGAAATGAATTCATGCAAATGGATTGGCCAAGTGTACACACTCAGCAGGCTATAGAAGGATCTGTTGATGTTCACATAGTGGGCAGGCTGTCATGTCTAATAAGCAAACACACATGTTACATGCATTTAGTGTTTGCTTTGGGGATGAGGACTTAAGAACTAAATGAATGACAATCGGGCCCTGTTCATCAAAAGGGCTTTGTGCAGAGGCAGAAAGACACACACTGCACAGTCTCTGTAAATTGCCAGGACAAGTTCATGGTCAGTAGTCTCTTCTCAGAAGACAGTTACTGAAATCTGTCTCTTGTCCAAACAAAGCTCTATTTATGGCTTGTGGGAGAGGGTCAGTTACCACGTTTGGAGTTCCATGAGCTGCAAATGTTTTAATATGCTTACCTCAGAACCAGTGCTTGTTTAGGTGCTACAGAAAACAAAAAAGCCCTGTGGAAGTTACAGTACAGTCATTTTTTTAAGTGTAGGGGTGAGTGACTTAATCCATGACTTTAGGCCTTGTTTATAATTTGGTATCTTATTGCCACAGAACTTTGATCCATCAGTCTGATTATCTCTATTTTAATGTCTTTCTAGTTTTGGGGGTCCTGGTTTTCCCTGCAATTTCATTTCTTCAACAGATTCAAGAAATTATTGATAATCAATTTTCCAGGCTTTTATTATTGTAAGAATGTGGGTGATGTTTGACATGCTCTTTACATATTAAAGCAGAAACCAGAAGCAGCTTCAGAGATCACCAGTGACCTGATACAAGCAGCAGGAATCTCATCTCATTAAGTGTAAGTGGCACCACACAGATATAGCTGAACATGCAGGGACACAGAAGACCCATTCCACAGGACACCCCCCAAAATTACAGTGAATCTAACGGAATTATAGAAAATCATACATGATGTGCCTCATGACCAAGGTCTCCACTTCTCATCAAAGGACATTCCTTATGGGATTCACCAGAACTTGCTTTCTTTCCATAGACATGGATATACCGCAAAACACTTAGGGACCTTACCCTCTGGGAAGGGATAGTAAATCAGGAGTCACAGAACGTATAGGAAAATATCTGTTTTATGAATCTTCTAAAAAAGAGCCCAAATATGAATAGCCCCACCCACTTTTCCTCTGAACTGGCATCATTCCCAGGAACCCACTTGTAGTGTTATACCCAAACGAGTTAGAGAAAACGCCACACTTTGAGACAAATTAAGAGTCCTTTATTTAAGCCGGCTGCCGAAGAGATGGCTAACGCTCAAAATTCTCTCGGCCCCGAGGAAGGGGCTTGATTAACTTTTATATCTTGGTTTAGGAAGGGGAGGGGAACTCAAATACAATAATTCTACAGAAGTAAAAACATGCAAGAATCAAAAGAAGCAAATGGTTACAGAGAGATAAACAATTTAAAAGACAAATGGTTACAAAAAGCAACGTTACCAGGTGCAGGGCTCTAAATCCTTCATTATAGTTAGATATGATGCTATGCTGGGCATGAACTCAAGGCTTTATGTTGTTATCTCTTTGAGAAAAATCCTGGGAACTTCATACATTGTTTGTTCCAGTACCTTATCAGTTAATTGGGCTCCTTTGAAATGCTGAGGATCTGCTTACACAGGTTAATTCCTTGAAGAAGGGGGTTGGGTAAGGAGCCCTTAATGTCTTATAAATCAAAAGGTCAAATGGAGTTTGCCCAGCTTTCCCAGCCAGGGAGAGTCTATTCATATGGGAAACATGGCTGGCAATTAAGGAGACAAAAAAAGGGAAAATTTAAAGTAGCAAACTAGAGTAAAAAACAAGGTTAGGCATTACAGTAGAACCTATGGTGCTTCAAGATAATTTGGGCTTGGTATGCCAAGAGACCACCAGAAGAGGAAAGAACCAATCCGCCCATGTAAGTTCATCCATTGTAACTTATTGATGACTCTGGGGCAGGATGGTGACAGTGGGAAAGGCTGTGCATGGTGAAGCAGGGGCACATGAGAACTCTCTGCACCTTCTGTCCAATTTTGCTGTGGTCTTAAAACTACTTTTTAATACATTTATGTAAAAGGAGTGGCAGAGACAATTTGGAATAGATTTTGGCCAGTTTTTAGGAATCATATTTAGTCTTAGCCACGTTACCAGCAATCTTGTTCCAAATTATTTATCTATCTGATTTTAAAACGTATGTCTGCACAAGGCCTCCATGGGAATATTTGCGTCAGCCTCACTGATTGCTGCCTTTACCATTCTGAATTTTGCATATAGGGTGACTGTTGAAAGAAACATTTCCTATATAGAGTGCATCCATGTTTCCATTACTCACATTCCTCAATTGCTCAGCTCATTTTCTAAACAACTTTAAACATTGTAAGCCCTGTAATCTCCTCAAATTCAGTGCAGCTGCCTCCTCCCTGGGGTTTCTGAAACCCTCAGGATGTGGGTTTTCACACTGTGTCTCTCGCACAGTAATACACGGCCGTGTCGTCAGATCTCAGGCTCCTCAGCTCCATGTAGGCTGTGCTCGTGGATGTGTCTGTGGTCATGGTGACTCTGCCCTGGAGCTTCTGTGCATAGTTTGTGTTACCATTGTAAGCGCTGATCCATCCCATCCACTCAAGCCCTTGTCCAGGGGCCTGTCGCACCCAGCTGATACCGTAGCTGGTAAAGGTGTAACCAGAAGCCTTGCAGGAGACCTTCACTGAGGCCCCAGGCTTCTTCACCTCAGCTCCAGACTGCACCAGCTGAACCTGGGAGTGGGCACCTGTGGAGAGGACACAGGAGTGGGTGAAGTCTCACATGACTGGCCTGGTTTCTCTCTCAGCCCTGGGACTGGGGAGTCCGTTACCTGTTGCTGCTGCCACCAAGAAAAGGATGCTCCAGGTCCAGTCCATGGTGAGGAGCTGTGATCTAGGGGATTCTCCCAAGGAGGGGTGTGGTTTTTGGGTGATGCTCTCAGGGCACACAGATATCTATATTCACCTCAGTTATTTGCATATTCATGAAGGATGCTATTTAATAGCCCAATTCCTGACCCAGGATGAGAAAGAGCAAATACATGACACATGGACGACACAATTGTAGAAGCTGAGGGTTCAAGCCGTAATCCTGTTAGAGGCCACGCATCCCCTACCCATCCCTGAACTCTGTGTTGACAGAGCTTCCCCCACTGGAGAACAAGCTCCCCCAGGACACGCACCTCACTTAGAACCCACATTTGACTGTCTCAGGGGCAACTCGAATCATTTCTAGACCTTAATATGTGAATGTGCTATTTTGGGAATGAGTGTGTTTCTCCAAAAATTGCACTTATTTATAAGAAAGGATCTCCTCCTGACCTCCAGCTGCTTACTATTAAGATGTCTAGGGAAGTTTGAAATTCCCATTGTAAAAGTGGTTCTCATTACAACATCGAGTTTCATAAATGCTCACAATTGAATAGGATATTTATATAAACATCGGCAGTCCTTGTGAAATACTTATTTTAGATTTTTTAAAGGAAGTCCCAGGCCCTGAGAGGAACCCCTCCCCAGCCTCCTTCACCTGCTCTGGGGCGGAAGCCTGTGCTCTGTGTGTCCTGAGCGCCCCCTGCAGCCCTGCCCTGCCCCTGCAAGGAGGTTCCTGTCTGATCTCACAGAGTATATTCCTACCAGTGTCCCCAGCCAAGTATAAAGTGGCTGTGCCCTGGCTCAGAATTCTCCTTTAGTGACAGCCTGTGCTTCTCACACCATCTTTTGAAATACTGAATTGGCCTTAGGAATCCCAGTGAACTCTGCAGGGAGACCCCAAGAAAGATCTCATGCATCACTGGGGAGCCCTTTCCTGGAGCTCAAGAGGCACTGAATCATTGGACACACGGTGAACCCAAAAACTCTTCAGGGGTTTGGGGGGACTCTTATTTCCTTTAGGGTCCTGCAGTTGATTATGGCACCTGAGAATACCTGCAGGTGTAGGTGGATAGAAGCCCACTCCAACTCTACTATTCAACTCACACGCACACACACACAAACACACACACACAATGTCTGATTTTCACATTAATGGGCCCTATGTTTACCCTATTTTTCTGGTATCCATGTCACGGAAAGCACTCCCTACACTGGCACTAAGGCTGAATATGTGTCTACTTTCTGCAAATAGAAGTAAAGATATCAGAATGCAAGTGGACACTTCGGAAGTGCATGCACAGTGAATTAATTTTTCTCACTTTGGAACCCTGCAGATGCCACAGGAAAAATAAATTTGAGGCCAATAAGGGTGAAATCATTTTCTTTGTGCTGAAGTTCCTGGTATTAGAGGCTTCGAATTCTTCTATTTTCCTTAACATTTTTCTCCTATTTCCTCCTCAGATAGAGTTTGTGCATTGCCACACTCTCGTATTTAATCCATATTGACTAAACTGGTGAGACATAATGTGTGGAACACGGAAGCATTACATGTTCTTACAGCTGAATTTTAATGCTGTGGTGATCTTCTTTCTCTGGGCTGTGACCTATACGGGAAGTCTCCAGAAGTGAAGCTGATTTTTGCTCTTTTCTGGCTGGAGCATCACAGGAAATTTTCTTTAAATTTACATCTATTGGCTAATTTTACCCATTTTCATGATAAAGGAAGGCTGCTAGTATGGGCTTGTAATGGGGATGGATTACCTTTCCCCACATAGATGAGGATCTAAAGATGCCTTTCCCATGGTTTCTGTGTCTGAAGAAAGTCTGGGTGTATTTATTAGAGATTTGGTTTCCTAGAAATAGAGCCATGAAGGGATCTATGTGGATTCTCACCCTGAGAACCTGGAGGTTCCTGGAGGAAAGGGCGATAAGAGTATGGGGGGTGGAGTTCCCAGGATCTCTCACCCTCATGCTAGTCCAGACATGCCATTTATGTTTATATAGTTCAGATTTTCATATAACAAACCACACAGCCAGGCTCATTTAAATTCCCCGTACTCAGTCCAGATTGGAGCAGGAGCTGAGTATAATAATCACGTTGAACTCAGACAAACCTGGGCCAAATCCAATTTTTCCTGTAGCTCAGAGCAGCTTTACTGACTCATTTAACTTGGAGATTATTTCTTCCCTGAAAGAACTGTAAGGGTTGCTGTGGAGCCTCTGTGGGGTTGGAATTTTTTGCATCAGCCTATCCTGTGGGGTATTCTGTATGATGTAGACCTTTATACTTAGATGGTAATTATTCCTAATGGCGTGGAAATGGCTGGCAGCCCTCAATCCTGTTTATTTCTTCTGTTGACCTGAATGTTTACAAGAATCCCATGAACCTCAGGACTCCCCTTCATGGATGACTCTGAAGATTGTAGACTCAGTGCTACAGACAGAGAGAGCTAAGGGAGGATACTCAGTTCACTGATATGTTGGGCCAGCAACATAGGACACATCTGAGAATGAATCACTTTTGTGAATGCCAATAAATATTGAATTCAAGAGTCATGACTTTCAGTATATTGGAGTAAAAATTTTCATGATTCTTGACAATGAGACTCAAACTTCATGGTTTGCAGAATAAATGAGCTCTTCAATGTTAGAAAGAAGCTTCTTTTCCTAAGAAGCTAGTCTTTTAAACTAAAGAGCCAGAGAGGTGGTTTCCTGAGATCTTGTGAAAATTTATCTATTGGAGAAAAATAAAATCAGGAAAACTGGTCTCAAATAATTGAAAGAAAGCTTATAAGAAATTTTTATTAAGACAGCCACAAAACTCCAATTAGTCAAATTTTTTGGTTCATTTGTTACAACTCAAGAAGCAATTCAGAAGTCTACACAATTGGAAGCCTACTCCAACAGAGATAATTTTTCCTGACTTGAAAAACAGACCAGTATTTATAAAGAGACAGTTCCCCATGAGATCTACAACTTACACAGATTTCTGTAACCTGAAGAAGTTTTGCTAAGAGGATTATCCTCTAGATATCTATGTATGGAAAAATATGTTTCATATATTTGTGTAAGATTAATCTGTACCAGCCTTTGGCACATTAAACAAACTTCATGTAAACGTGATAACGTTATCACTTACTGTGCACTCACACTTTACTGGTTTCAGAAGTTCATCGCCCTTGTGATGGAGCAATAAGTTCCTTTGAGAATGTGCTGTTGCTTCAAGTGAACATGTTCTAGATCCTCAGTTGACTTCATCATTTCATATTGAGTGTAGGTGTGTCTATAACTGAAAACCCAACATTTTTATCCAGCAGATTCTCCTTTTATGAGATCATCCTGAAACCTGCCAACAGCCTCCATCATGTATGCTTCCAAACTTTTGCTTTTAGGAAATAAGAGGTAAATTCATAATCCATCCAAGCTTTAAGGTGAGAATCCTTCCTGGCCTTCCATCATATTTAGTAGAAACTCTCATTGAGAGCCATAAGCAAATGCTGTTTATGGATCATAACTCAAAACCAAAATTGTTTTTCATAATGGCTATACCATTCTACATTTCCACAATTATGGAAAGCAACATAAAGCGTCCTAAATTAATTAAAACTGGAGATATTATATGACCAGAAATCCTGTTTCTGGGAGTATACCCAAGTAGATGAAATTACCACCTTGTAAACATATCTGCATCCTATGTTTATTGAAACACTGTTAATAACAGCGAAGATATGGAAACTATCTGATGGTCAGCATACAGACAAATGAATAAAGACAATGTGGTATGTGTATACAATATAATATGGTTTAATGTTATAAAAGAAAGATGCTGCCATTTGCCACAATGGATCAATTTCCATAGCTACTAACAGTGCACACCATCCACTATAGCACCTCCCTAGGGGATGGCAGATCCTTATTCAGTAGTAACCACTGGCTGTGGTGGGAAGGCAATTTTATGTACTGTTGAATTTTTCAGCATAAGACATCGATGTCTTAAAATATTCTGCAGTGTCTGCATGTGATAAAGTGGAGTCTAATATTGGAGGTAAAATTAAAAGTGCATGAGTCTTCTAGACACCAAGTCATAGGATGATCCTGGCTGTGTCCTTGAGGGAGTGGACCATATGTAATAGCATTTGGATTGGGGATTGGTGCATTTCCAGTTGAACGAATAAAGTTGTATTATATTAGGTGTAATTATGACTTTATTATTGTCTTTGTTTGAAGATTATGTATAATCTCAGGAGATGTGTATGGTTTCAAGTTGACGGGGTGGACTTGTAATGCTAAATACTGAGTGTCAACTTGATTAGATTGAAGGGTGCAAAGTATTGATCCCGGGTGGGTCTGTGAGGGTGTTGCCAAAGGAGATTAACTTTTGAGCCAGTGGGCTCAAAAAGGGAGACACACTCTTAATCTGGGTGGTACAATCTCATTAGCTGCCAGTGTGGCCAGAGGGAAAAAAAAACAACAACAACAGAAGAACATGAAACGATTAGACTGGCTTAGCCTTCCAGCCTACATCTTTCTCCCGTGCTGGATGCTTCCTTGTCTCGAACATGGGACTCCAAGTTCTTCAGCTTTGGGACTCGGACTGGCTTCCATGCTCCTCGGCTTGCAAATGGCCTATTGTGGGACCTTGTGATCATACGAGTTAATACTCCTTAATAAACTCTGTGTGTGTGTGTGTGTGTGTGTGTGTGTGTGTATCCTGTGTGCGTATATATATCCTGTTTGTTCTGCCCCTCTAGGGAACCCTGACTAATACAATCTTACTTCAAAAGAATTTTTTTTAAAAATAGGTGATTAGGAATTCCAGGATGGAATGCAGATAACATAGAAAATGTCTAATTCCATTACAAATGTATGAATTCAAAAGAGGTACTAAGTAGATTCAGAAATGGTGTAGGCAATAAGATTAAAGAAAAAAGAAACTTCACATCAGCATTGTACCCCAATTGACGATGTTCCACAAAAGAGCACAACTTACACATCTTGTTACACTCCACAGGAATCTTGGAATTGGACTACAAAGAGAATGGACGGCGTATGGGGAAATGGGGTTCCTTGTGGTTGGAGTGGGAGGTTAGTGTCAGGCATAGAAGGAATGCGATAAACATCCATGTGGTATTAACTTAGGGTGGACATGTCATTTTATTTGCAAGTTTAGCATAATATAGGTACATATATTAGATAAAAATAGTTTAGATGTCTGTGTATATATGGGTTAATACACAACACATACTTCCTAGATTTTTTACCTGAGAATTTCTACAAGAAATGAGTGCACATTAATAAAAAATACACCCAGAATCAAGATTTGAGTTTTTAATACTATTCTTCTATAAAAGAAACCAGTGACCAGGTGCAGTGGCTAACACCTGTAATTCCAGCACTTTAGGAGGCTGAGGTGGGCAGATCTTTTGAGGTCAGGAGTTTGGACCAGCCTGGCCCACATAGCGAAACCCTGTCTCTACTAAAAATACAAAAATTAGCCAGGCACAGTGGCGCATGCCTGTAATCCCAGCTACTTGGGAGGCTGAGACAGGAGAATCGCTTGAACCCAGGAGGTGGAAGTTGCAGTGAGTCTGGACCCTGTCTCAAAAAAAAAAAAAAAAAAAAGGAACCAGCATGTCTTTGAGAAATGGCTAATGCTAGGGCTTCAGAAGAGAATATAGGGATTAGTCTACAATTTCTAATTGTACCAGAAAATGAGAAAGGGTTCCAAAACAGAGAATTGCTCCTTTTGCATTTTTCTTTGTTGACAAATCTAGCTAGCAGTCTAACAATTCTGTTCATGTTTTATTTCTGTTTTTTTCAGTAGAATCAGGGTGTACATGTGCAATTTTGTAACATGAATATATTTCATAAAGGTGAGGTTTGGGCTTCTGGTGTAACTATCGCCCACTAGTGAACATTGGAGCCAGTAGGTGATTTTTTAACCCTCACATTCCTCTCACCTTGCCCTCTTTTGCAGTTCCCAGTGTCTTTTGTTTTTTATGTATGTACATGTGTACCCATTGTTTACTTTCCAATTATAAAAGAGAAGATCTTTTTGAGTTATTTTATTTAGGCTAATGTCCTACAACTCTATTCACGTTGCTGTGAAAGACACTAGGAATGCAGGTGACTTTTTCTGATATAAAAATTTCCTTTTGGGAGGAATATACCCACTGGGAGGGATTACTGGGACAAACGGTAATTCTAATATTAGTTCTTTGAGAAACTTCTGTATTGTTTTTCATAGAGGTTGTACTAATTTATATTTTCACCAAGCATATAAAAAGCATTATTTTTCCTATGCTTCTCTCCAAACACCTGCTGTTTTTTATTTGTAATAACAGCCATTGTGACTGGTGGAAGATGCTATATCATGTTGTTTGTAATTTACATTTATCAGATGATTGGTGATGCTGAGTATGTTTTATTTGTTTTGGCCACGTCTGTGTCTTCTTTTGAGAAATGTCTGGTTTTTGCTCACTCTTTAATGAAGTTATTTGTTATTTCTTGTTGACTTATTTGAGTTCCTTGTAGATTCTATGTATTAGCCCTTTGATGAATAGATTGCAAATTTTTTTTTACTGTTCACAGGTTGTCTGTTCACCATGTTGGTTATTTCTTTTGCTATGCAGACAATCTGTGTTTCAATTAATCCTGTTTGTCTAATTTTGTTTTCATTGCATTTGCTTTTGAAGTCAGTCTTAGTCATATTTTATTTGCTTAGGCAAATGTCTAGAGGATTTTTTTTAGATTTTCTTCAGGAATTTTTATGAGTTTATAAATTTAAACATTGAATCCATATTCACAGTTAATTTGTGTCTATGATGATACAGAAGTCTCATTTTATTCTTCTGCATAAGGCTATCTAATTCTCCCAGCACTACTTATTGAATAGAGGGTTGTTTCTCCAGTGTATATTTTTGTCAGTTTTGTCAAAGAACCGTTGGTTGTAGATATTTGGCTGTATGTCTGGGCTCTTGATTTTTGTTCTACCATTACCACGCTGCCTTTCTTGTTATCTTTGTGTTGTGTAATTTGAAGTCAGGGAATGCGGTACTTCCAGCTTTGTTCTTTTTGCTCAAGATTGCTTTTGCTTTTCAGACCCTTTTTTGGTTCTATATGAATTTTAGGATTTTTAAAAATATGTAATCAATTATATTAGTTACTTGATATAAATTGCATGGACTCTGTATATTGCTTTGGGCAGTGTATTAGTCTATTTTACATTGGTATAGATTAATACCTGAGGCCAAGTGATTTACAAAGACAAGAGGCTTATTTGGCTTACAGATCTGCAGGCTGTGTGAGAAGCATGGCACAAGCATCTGCTTCTTGCGAGGGCCTCAGGAAGCTTACAGTCATGGTGGAAGGCAAAGGGGGAGGAGGCTGTGTCATATGGTGAGGAGGGGGGACATGAGAGGGTAGGAGGGTTGCCAGACTTTTTTGAACAATCAAATCTCACAGTAGCTAATACAGCAAGAATTCACTAATTACCATGGGGTGGATGCCAAGCCAGTCCTGAAAAATCTCCTCATGACCCAAAACCACCCAGTTGGCCCCACCTCCAACATTGTGGGTCACATTTCACCATGACATTTGGAGGGGAAAACCCCTAAATGATATCATTGCACTCTCAGACCCAAAGTTCTCATATTCTTCTTACACTGCAAAATATAATCACCTTTTTTCAATAGTTCCCAAAATGTTAAGTTGATCAACCTCCAACTAAAATGTCCAAAGTCTCATCTGAGTCTTAAGGCAATGTCCCTCCAGCTGTGAGCTTGCAAGTTTAAAAATGAAAGTTGTTTACTTCCAAGGTGCAATGATGGTGCAGGCATTGGGTAAATAATTCCAATCCTAAAGGGATAAATTGGCCAGTGGAACAACCAACAGGCCTCACACACATATAAAACCCAGCACTGCAGATATTAAATCCTAACACTACAAAATAATCTCTCTTGACTTTATGTACTTCAACCAGGGCACACTGGAACAAGGGGTGGGTCCCCAAAACCTCAGGCAGCCAATCCCTATAGGTTTGCTAGGCACAGACCACGGGGCTGCCTTCACAAGTGAGAGTCAAGTGCTGGAAGCTTTTCTAGGCTGAGGGTGCAAGTTGCCTGTAGCTCTACCATTCTAGGGTCTTGAGGGTTGTGGCCACATTCCCACAACTTTACTATGAAGCGCCCTAGTGGGGACTCTGAATGGGGGCTCCAACTCCATCTTTCCCCATCTTTGGCACTGCTCTAGTAGAGGCTTTCTGTGGTGGATCCACTCCTGCAGCAGGCTTCTTCCTGGGCATGCAGGGCTCTCTACACATCTGAAATCTAGGTAGAAGCTGCACAGGCTCCTTCACTCTTGCATTCTGCATACCTGCCAGAATCCAGTTATCCCAGAACCATTTACTGAATACAGAGATTTTTTTTTTCCAATTGCTTTTGTCAGCCTTGTCAAAGATCAAAAGGTTGCAGGTGTGCAACTTTATTTCTGTTTTCAATTTTGATCTATTTTTTTTTTTCTGCAGGTCTGCTATCGTACCAGTCCAAGCTGCTTTTGTTAGCAAGACATTATGGTGTAGTTTAAGGTCAGTATCATGATGCCTCTGGCATTGTTCTTTTTGCTTAGGATTGCTTCTGCTATTCAGGGTCTTTTTTGGTTCCATATAAATTTTAGAATAGATTTTTTTCTGATTCTGTGAAGAATGATGATGATAGTTTTATGTAAATAGCATTGAATCTGTGAATTCCTTTGGGCATTATGACAATGTTTACAATATTGATTCTTCCAATCCATGAGCATGAAATGTTTCCCATTTATTTGTATCATTTATTATTTATTTCTGCTGTGCTTTATAGTTCTCCTCGTAGTGATCTTTCACCTTGTTTGTTATCTGTGTTCCCAGGCATTTCATTTTCTCTGTGGATACTGTAAGTTGGATAGGATTTTGTTCTTGATTATACTCTCAGCTTGGATGTGGTTGGCTTATAGAAATGCTGGTAATTTTTGTCCATTGATTTTGTATCCTGACACTTTACTAAAGTTGTTTATTCTAGAATTATTTTGGCAGACTTTTTAGGATTTTCTAGGTATAGAATTATATCATCGCTGAAGGTGGACGGATTGACTTCCTTTCCTATTTGGATGCTGTATTAGTCAATTCTCACACTATAAAGAAACTCCTCAGACTGGGTAATTTATAAAGACAAGTGTTTTAATTGGCTCATTTAGTATGGTGTTGACTGTGGGTTTGCTGTAGATGGCTATTATTCTGAGGTACGTTTCTTTGATGTCTAGTCTGTTGAGGGTTTTTATCATGAGTGGATGTTAGAACCTACCAGAGGCTTTCTCAGTATCTATTGACATAATCATATGGTTTTTGCTTTTATTCTGTTTACATTGTGAATCACAGTTACTGTGGATATTGAACGAGCCTTGCATCCCAGGGGTAAAGCCCACTTGACCATGATGTATTACATTTTAAAGTGCTTCTGGATTCTATTTGATAGTATTTTGTTGAGGACTTTCAGGTCTATGTTCATCAGGAATATTCATCTGATATTTTCTTTTGTCATTATGTCTCTCCTGATTTTGTGTGCCAAGAGCACACAGTAGAGAAAGGACAGTCTTTTCAATAATGGTGTAAAACTGGCATTCATATTCAAAAGAAATAAAATTAGGCCTTCTCTAACTCCATATAAAAAAATCAGCTAATATTGGACATAATACCTGAAGCCATAAACTCATAAATCACATGGAGCAAAAAAAATTCCTGCCATTAATTCGGAACTGATTTCTTTGAATTTAACAACAAAGCACAGGAAAAACTATGTGTAATTATGTATCCGACAAGAAGGTCTATCTAAATGTATAAATAACCCATATACCTCAATAGCAAATAACAAATGAACTGATAAAAAAGTGCAAAAACCTGGATAACTTTTTTCAGAAGATACATGCATGGCAAACAGAAAACGAAAAGGTTCTCAACATTCCTAATTATCAGAGGAATTCAAATGAAAAGCACAATGCGATATCACCTCACACTAGTTAATATGGTTATTATCAGAAATGTAATAGATGACAAATATTGGCAAGAATGTGAGGGAAAGGGAATACACTGTGGTAGGATTGGTTACTCGATAAGTTGAAAATAAAGCTATCATATAATCTGGTGATCCCATTTCTTATTATATATGCAAAGGAAATAAAATTACTTTGCCAAAGACGTGTTCATTGAAGATTATTAATAATAGTGTAGATTTGCAAAATAATTTAATGACTGTAAATGGATGAATGTATAAAGAAAATGTGTATACATAAATCTGTATTTTATTTGGCTTTGAAAAGAGGGAAATTCTGACATTTGCAACAACACGGATGGGCCTGGAGGACATGATGCTGAGTGGAATAAGCCAGATGCAGAAAGACAAATGCTGCATGATCTCATTTACATGTGGGATCTAAAATATTCAAGCTCTTGAAAGTAGAGAGCAGAATAGAGGGTCTCAGGACCTGGGAGGAGAGGGAAATCGGGTGATGTTTGTTAAATTGTACAGTTTCAGTTGTGCAGGTTGGATGAGTTCTGGAGATCTAACGTACAGCAATGGTCCTATAGTTAATACTGTATTATAAAAATGATTGTTGCTGAAAGGGTATATCTGAGGTGTTCTCATCAGACACTCACTCATGCAGTTAATTTAAAAAAATAATAAAATGGTAGCGCTGTGAGGTGATAGAAATACAAATTACCCTGACCATCATGAGCATTTCACAATGTGTATCTGATATGGTTTGGATTTGTGTCCTGCCCCAAATCTCATGTTGTATTATAATCCTCAATTGTGAAGGGGTGACCTGGTGGGAGGTGACTGGGTCATGGAGTGGGTCTTTCATGAATGGTTTAGAACCAACTCCTGGTGCTGTTCTCATGAAAGTGTGTGAGTTCTCACAAGGGAATCCCCTTGAGGTTACTGTCCTGAGTCTGACTGGAGAAGACTCACCAGGCACCCCTGAGCTTCCTCACGACTCTGATGCTGGTGACCATGGTTGAGGAGTTTTCATTCCCGTAGGTGGCAATATACATATTGTGCATGTGAGAATAAGTCCTCCTATCATATTACAATGATTAAAAAAATGTAGAGATGACATTGGTGGGCACAGAAATCTAAAATTAAAGAGTTTCCCTAGAGAAACTGTCAGAAGCAGAGGAAGTCCCAAATCCTGACAGGAAACAAACCCCAGCCTCCATGTGCACCTGCTCTGGGGTTGACTCTGATGAGTGGGTCTTGAGCGCCCCCTGCAGCTGATTTCCCCCAACGTTCCTGCAGGAGGTTTGTGTCTGGGCTCACACTTCCGTCCTCTCACAGTGTTTCTCACACAGTAATACACAGCCATGTCCTCGGGCCTCAGGCTGTTCATTTGCTGATACAGGAAGTTCCTGGAATTGTCTCTGGAGATGATGAATCGGCCCTTCACAGAGTCTGCATAGTGCGTCCTACTGCCATTCCAACTAACACCCGATACCCACTCCAGCCCCTTTCCTGGAGCCTGGCGGACCCAGTTCATGTCACTGTTACTGAAGGTGAATCCAGAGGCTGCACAGGAGAGTCTCAGGGACCCCCCAGGCTCTACCAAGCCTCCCCCAGACTCCACCAGCTGCACTGTTGTACCCAGGTGAGTTAAGAAAACGCCACACTTTGAGACGAATTAAGAGTCCTTTATTAAGCCGGCTGCCAAAGAGACAGCTCATGCTCAAAATTCTCTCGGCCACGAGGAAGGGGCTCGAGTAAATTTTATACCTAGGTTTAGGAAGGGGAGAGGGACTCAAATGTAATAATTTTACAGAAGTAAAAACATGCAAGAATCAAAATAATCAAAATAGTTACAGAGTGATAAACAACTTAAAAGACAAATGGTTACAAGAAGAGCAACGGTACCAGGTGCAAGGTTCTAAATCTTTTATTATAATTAGATATAGGGTCTATGCCGGACACAAACTCAAGGTTTCATGTTGTTATCTCTTGGAGAAAATTCCTGGGAACTTCATACATTGTTGGTGTGGGTACCTTATCAGTTAATTGGGCTCCTTTGAAATGCTGAGGATCTGTTTACCCAGGCCAACTCCTCACGAAAGGGGGTTGGGTGAGGAGCCCTTAGTGTCTTGTAAACTAAGGGGTCAATTGGAGTTTGTCTGGCTTTCCTAGCTAGAGAGAGTCTTATTTACATGAGAAGCAAGGTTAGGTGATTAAAGAGACAAGCAGGACAAAATTCAAAGTAACGAGTTAAAGTAAAAACACCGTTAGGCATTTCATTTCCCCACTTGTGTTTTAGGGGAATCAAGTCGTTGATTCTTCAGTTACAACAAGGGGGTTATATTGAGTTCTTAGATACATAAGTTTGACAGACGCTATACGTTGTTTTACAAAATCAAGGAACCAATTTAATATACAAGGGCCAAAAATTAAACTCAATAATATGATGATGATGGGTCCAGCTAAACCAGTGATTAAAGTAGTTAACCAGGGGTTCCAATTGAACATGCTTTGATACCAGGCTGTGTTATTTTCTCGTTCTTGTTGGCTCCTATCTAGATTTTTTTGAACTTTTTGGAGTGTATCTTTTATGACTCCAGATTGATTGGCGTAAAAGCAACAGCTTTCTCCTAGAGCTGTGCATAATCCTCCTTGAGAGAGGAACAGCAGATCTAAGCCTCGGCAGTTTTGAAGTACTACTTCAGCTAGAGACTCTACCTGGGAATGTAGTATATCTATGGCAGACTGAAGATTATTTAAATCAGCATCTACCTGTTGGGACAAAGACATTAGTCCAGTTTCTCCTCGAACTAGGGCAGCTGTACTAATAGCTGCTGACCCAGCTATGCTAAGACCGGCTAAAAGAGAAACCAGTAGTGGGGCAGCTCTGCGTAGCCTGGGATGTAATTCCGGGGGAGCAATGAGGAGTTGTCCTTCTGATCCACTGTACTCGTATACCTGGGGAAGGACATGAACTAGAACACACAAGAGGGGTTCTGATTTAGTTCCATTAAGGCAGCGAGTGAGACCTGAGGTGCAGGCCAACCAGGTATTGTTAGGTGCTTGGTAAGAGACTGAGATGCTCATGGGAGTAAGCAGAGACTGATTACAGATAGCCTGAAAAGGAGAAATAGATAAGTCATATCCAGTACTAATTAGACAAGAAGCACTTCCAGACACATCTCCTAATGTGAAAGCATGAGGTTGTGCATGACAGGATAAAGGACTACCTTTAAGTGCGACTTCTACTCCTAATCCTATATAATATGGGGGTTTTGCTTTTAAACATAGCCAACAATCTTGGGCTAGTGTAGGCTGGCTGAGGTTAAGAAAATGATGTACTCCACCAAGTATAGACATCAGACTGGGTTGGAGTTGATGTCTTTGTAGCTGGGTCTTAGGAACTGAGAATGGTGGGGGCACAGTTAAATTAACTTTGTCAGGGTGATTTTGGAACATAGGGTCACCTAGATCAGTTAAAGGTCCGATTGGCTTGGGTGGGCTCCAGGGGACCAAAATTTTCTTTTGGATGGTGAACATAGTTCCAACATCGAACCCTGGGACATAAAGTCTTAATCCCCATGACATACCATAGTACCATTGAGCTGAATTAGGTTCATGGACAATGATGTTAAGAGGGTTACAATTATTTTTAGAACACGATTTGGGACGAGAAGCACGACTTATTGACAGAGTTGGAGATCTAGTTGATCCCCCAGAGTAAGTGGCTAAAGTTACACATGCCCAATCCGGGCGGACGAACTGGTAGGTATCTCAACAGCTAGCATCAGGGTGATTTTCAGGACAGAGGTAAAAGTCAACCTTTTGGAGTCCTTTTTCAGCACCTTTGGAGCTTCCACATCTGGCTTGGCTCCCAGAGTGTCCAAATCCTGCTGCAAGGTCGACACCTCCTGCTCCCATGACTGGCAGGTCGCGATGATCTTCGTGGGTACCAGCCGGCTCCGGGAACAGTATACACAAGTCGACTGCAAAGGTGACTTCCTTGGAGGTACCAGCCTTCCAAGTAGTATTGGCGAAAACACGTCCTGTTGTGAGAGAGGTGAGGGGGAAGGAGTAGGAAGGCACAGAAGACATTACAGGCAAGGATAAACAAAAGAAGCAAATAAAAAGAGTTAATTTAACAGTTTCACCCGACTTAGGTGTAGTTTTAAGGGTCCTGATCCAGGCTTGGGGACCCATGTTTCTGTTTGGGCTTTGTTGGCCTTTTTGATGTGGGAGTGATGAATCCAAGCAGGAATTCCGTCCACCTTCAGAGCTGTTGGCGTCGTGAGGATGACGGTGTGAGGTCCCTTCCAAGCAGGAGTTAGGCCCTCTCTCTGGAACTTTTTAACAAACACCAGGTCACTGAGCTGGAATGAATGGCAGGGCCCCATCTGGTCAGGAACTGGACTGGGATGGGCTTCTCAAACAAGTGGCAGAATGATCTCTTGTACCTGTTGGAGAGACTGCAGGTACTGTAATAAATTAGCTTGTGATATTTCTGCAAAATGGGCATCTTTTAGCTTAGGCAAGATAGGTGGTGCCCGCCCATATATAATTTCAAAAGGTGAGAACCCAGCCTGATAAGGGGTGCACCTTACTCTAAGTAGGGCTAAAGGAAGGAGTTTTACCCAATTTTCACTGGTGTCTAGAATTAATTTTGTAAGAGTATTTTTTAGGGTATGGTTCATGCATTCCACCTGTCCAGAGCTCTGGGGTTGATAGGCACAATGGAGCTTCCACTGAATGTTTAATGCCTTACTGACTGATTGAGCTATGGACGAGGTGAAGGCAGGTCCATTATCAGACCCTATGGCAGCAGGCAACCCGTACCAGGGGATGATTTCATTGAGTAAGAACTTAACTACTGTGTTAGCTGTCTCGTTCTTGGTAGCAAATGCCTCAGTCCATCCGGAGAAGGTGTCTACTGATACTAAAAGGTACTTGTACACAGCCCGGTGTGGCTTTACCTCTGTAAAGTCAATTTCCCACTTTTCTCCTGGCGAGTTTCTTCGGAGACGGTGACCTGGGCTGGGTTTAGGACCTTGCTTGGCATTTACCTGGGCGCAGGCTGTGCACCAGAGAACTGCTTGATCTGTTAGGCTTTGTAGATGAGGGATCTTAAAACAGCTCCGGAGGAGCTGAGCTAATTTTGTCCCACCAAATGGGTGGTAGAATGTAGGTGACTGACTAAAGTTTCTCCAAGAGCTGGGGGTACGAAGATTCTAGAGTCAGGAAGAATCCACCAACCTTTTTGATTTTTATTTGCTCTAAGGTTTGCAGCCAGTTTTTCTTCTTCTGTTGAGTACGCGGGGTTGTCAGGCAGATCTGGCTGTGGAAAAGAAACTGCCGGTAGCAGGTTTATGGACGGAGCTGAAGACAGCGCCACTTCCCGAGCTGCTGAAACCGCTTTTGGGTTACCGCGGGCAACAGCCGTGTTTTCTTTTTGATGTCCTTTACAATGGATTACAGCCACTTGTTGAGGGAGCCACACAGCTTCAAGCAGGGCTAAAATTTCCTCTTTGTTCTTAATTATTTTTCCTTCTGACCTGAGCAACCCGCGTTCTTAGTAGATGGCTCCATGTACATGCACAGTAGCGAAAGCATACCTGCTGTCAGTATAAATGTTAATACGTTTATCTTTAACCCATCGGAGAGCTTGAGTAAGGGCAATCAATTCAGCTTTTTGTGCTGAGGTGCTTGCCGGTAAAGCCTGAACCCACAACACATCTGTCTCTGTGGTAACAGCTGCACCAGCTTTGCGTATCCCCTGTTCGAGAAAACTGCTGCCGTCGGTGAACACGGTGGCGTCCGCCTTTCTCAGGAGCACATCTTGAAGATCTGGCCTGCCAGTTTCGGTAGCTTCTAACAGCTCCTGACAGTCATGGACAGGAGTATTAGAATCTGGATCTGGGAGTAAAGTAGCAGGATTTAAACACCTTGTGGGAGAGAAAGTCAAACAAGGCTGATCCAACAGTAAACTCTGATATTGTAAAATACGAGCATTTGACATCCATTTACCTGAAGCACTTCGTAGTCAAGTCTCTACAGCATGAGGAACTGTAAGGGTTAAATTCTGGCCTAGAGTTAATTTATCAGTTTCTTGGACTAGGCTTGCTGTAGCCACTATGGCTGGCAAACAACTTGGCCATCCTGAGGCCACAGGATCCACCTTCTTAGATAAATAAGCCACTGGGCCTCTCCAAGTTCCTAAAGTCTGAGTAAGCACTCTCTTAGCAACTCCCTGGCTCTCATGGACAAACAGATGAAAAGGCTTTGAGATATTTGGGAGGGCTAAAGCCTGGGCTGCAGTTAAAGCCTTTTTCAGATTCTGAAAAGCCTGTTCCTCGGTGTCTGTCCAAATCAGTGGGCCATTACCTTTTGTAGCAGTATACAAAGGCTTTGTAATCTCTGCAAACCCCGATATCCAAAGACGACAATATCCCAGGGCTCCTAGGAATTCATGTACCTGTCTCTTGGTGGCGGGAGTGGGGATTCGCAGGATGGCTTCTTTCCGGGCACTAGTGAGTGCCTTTTTTCCTTTGTTTATCTTGTACCCCAGGTAGGACACTCTGGGAAGACAAAGCTGGGCCTTTTTGGCTGAGACTCCATACCCGAGCTCCTGAAGGAGGTAGAGCAGGTCTCTTGTGTGTTGTAGACAACCATCCATAGTTTCAGTTGTTATTAAAATGTCATCTACATATTGGAGAAGAGTACAGTTAAGGTGACTGGCTCGGAAGGGTATAAGATCTTGCTGAAGAGCCTCTCCAAAAAGGGTAGGGGAATTTTTAAAACCCTGAGGTAACTGAGTCCAAGTCAGTTGGGTAGTGTCTCCTGATCTTGGATCTGTCCATTTGAAAGCAAAAATCGGCTGGATTTTGGGGGCCAGAGGGATAGCAAAGAAAGCATCTTTCAGGTCAAGGACAGTGTATACTGTATGTTCTGGTGGGAGCAGGCTGAGTAGAGTATAGGGATTAGGAATGGTTGGGTGGACAGCAACAGTCCATTTATTAACGTCCCTTAAGTCTTGTACTGGCCAGTAATCATTTGTTCCAGGTTTCTGGACCGGCAAAAATGGCGTGTTCCAGGCCGACTGGCATGGGGTAAGTATGCCAGCTTGTAACAGTCGTTGAATGTGGGGATTAATCCCCTCTCTAGCCTGCTGACTTGTGGGGTATTGCTTTGCCTGGACCGGTATGGCAGTGGCCAAGAGTTCTATGACTACTGGCGGATGGTGTTTAGCCAGTCCGGGAGGGTTTGACTCGGCCGAAACTTGGGGGAAAAGTGTCTGTAGATCTAACAAAAGAGTATTAGTATTCTCCTCCGGTGATTACGACGGTGAAACCAGAAGGTATTCTTCTGACAGAGGGGTAGTTAGCAAGAGTTGGGCAGTGGGGGAAGTTGCATTTCCTAGTGTGAGATGAGCCTGCTGAGCTGAAAAGGAGATTGAGGCCTGTAACTTATGGAGTAGGTCCCGTCCAAGGAGAGGAATAGGACACTCTGGAACTACTAGGAAAGAGTGTGTCACTCTTTTCTGTCCCAAGTTTACTTCTCAGGTGTGTGTGACAGGATATTCTTGAATAGCTCCAGTTACCCCTTGTACAGCAATTTTTTTATTTGAGACACTGCCCAGGGGAGTCTCCAGTACGGAGTGCTCTGCCCCGGTGTCTACTAGGAAACATACAGGCTGGCCCCCCACTGTAGCAGTTACCATGGGCTCCTGGGGGCCGAGAGCAAGGGAGCCCTGGCCCCATCAATCATCAGGCTCCTCTGTTGCGGCCAGGGTGAGAACCTTTTTGTTTTCAGATTTTTCTTTTGGCAGTAACGGGCACTCCTTTTTCCAATGCCCAGTCTGTTTGCAATAGGCACATTGGTGTTTTCCTAGAGGGGCCTGTTCACCTCTTTCACTTTTCTGGTGGGAACCCGAGGTTCCTTGGCCATTTTTCTGGAATGCAGGCCTTTCCTTTCTGCCCTCTTGGATAGCTGTTACCAAGATTTTTGCTTGTCTTTTATATGCTTTATCGGCAGCTTTTTCAGCTGCCTGTGTCGCTTGTTTTTGTTTTTCAAATTCTCGGTTTTCAAAAACCTTCTGGGCTATTTCTAAAAGCTGACTGATATTCATCCCAGTAAATCCTTCCAGTTTTTGGAGTTTTCTCCTAATATCTGGGGCTGCCTGAGCCACAAATGCCAAATTAAGAGCACGGCTATTCTCGGGAGTCGCCAGGTCAAAAGGTGTGTGAATTCGATAAGCCTCCTGGAGAGGTTCTAAAAACACCCCTGGTGACTCATCAGGCCCCCGGACAACTTCAGTTGTCTCAGACAAGTTTATGGGCTTCCAAGCGGCTCCTTTAATACCCGCGAGGAGATACTGGTGAAAATCGTCCAAAGCCCTCCTTCCACCTGAGGAATCTGGGCCCCAGTTAGGCCAGGTGGAGGGAAAGACCTCCTCCTCCTCCAGGAGGTCTCTAGCTTCCTCCTCCTCCAGGAGGTCTCTAGCTTCCTCCTCCTCCAGGAGGTCTCTAGCTTCCTCCTCCGGCCCACCGGCTGATGCAAGGAAGTGCTTTCTGGCCTCTCTTCGGATATGCTCCCTCTCCTCAGAGGTAAACAGAGTTAAAAGGAGCTGTTGGCAGTCATCCCAGGTGGGTCGATGGGTCCGGAGCACGGACTCCATCAGTGAGGTCAAAGCCTGAGGCTTTTCAGAGAAGGGAGGATTATGGGTTTTCCAATTATACAAGTCAGAAGTAGAAAAAGGGACATAAACCAGGAAGGGGGCTGAGCGCTCATCAGCCGCGGGACTCGTGCCTCTCTCAGTGGGAGTAGAGGGGCTGCTTCCTCCCATGCGGTCGTAGCGGAAGGCAATGGGCGGTCACAGCCCACAGGGGACGCAGTCGAAGAGACACGGGATGGCGCCAAGGGAGCAGGCTGGTGGTAAGGCGGTGGAACTGGGTGAGGAAGACTCTCCTCTTCTTCAGAGGGAGGCAAAACAGGGGGAGCCGAACTGGCGGAGGGTTGAGGCAAAAACGCGGCCTGGCTCAGGAGGACTTTGGAGGTGGAATTGCGAATGGCACATGAACAGAGCCATGGAGGAGGATTCCTAATCAAACTTAGCCATTGATCGATATAGGGAAACTGATCAGGGTGGCCGGGAGTTCCGGTAACAACCCATCACACGGCTTGAACAATGGTAGGATTTAATGACCCTTCACAGGGCCATCCGACTCCAAACTTTGGTCATTCTAGTTCACAGAGTGTCCAGACCTTGCCTTTTCTAAGGCGGACTCCATAGTCCTCTGAGAAACCAAGAGAAAAATTTTCCAGCATACACTGGAGAGGGCTCCAACCCTTACGGGGCCAGGAGGAGGTGTTTCCCGTTTATTATTATTATTATTATTTAAAGACAATTTAGCAAAGTCTTGAGCAGAGATATCAGATCCAACACCGGCAGAGAAACTCTTTCCCTGGGGGGCTGGAGTGTCGGAAAAACAGAATTAACATGATCAGAAAGAACAGAAAAACCACAACAGCTAATACCACTTGCCACATTGCTGTAGCTTTAAGATTGAGGGAGGGGGATTGGAGGCCAGCCTGAGGTCTCCTGGGCCAGTTCGATCTAGGCGTTCTCCCTCTTCTTCTTCTTCTAGACCTATATCCTAAGTGTTTTTTATGTCTCCACGATTCAAAGGCAAACAGTTCAAATTCAGCTTTTTCCTTTAAGGGTTCAAGGAGTGAGAGCAGAGCGAAGTCTTGGAGACGCTGAACTTGCTGTTGCACTGGAAAACGAGATGTGCGGGGTAAGGGGCAGGGACGAGGGGGAAAAGGACCACTCGGATCGTCCTTAAGATGAGAAAGTAGCCACAGTGGAACAGAATAGGAGTCTAAACGAAGTAAAGCATGACGGGCGTAGGTTTCTTTACACAAGGTCCTATTTAAGGGCGCAGGAAAAGTTACAGAATGACAGAAGAGGTGAGCAAGAAGGTCTGCAGGGTGGCTGTTTTGAACCCACCACCAGTTCAGTTTAGAAGGGGACCAATCACTAGGACGTGGGGTATGACAATCTAAATACCCGCAACCTTCATGGTGCCAGAAATTCCAATCAGGTGAATGTTCTCCACACTCTTTTCCGTAACAACAGCTTACTTGTTTATGACAGAAAAGACAAGACTGTGGTGGCCAGTCTAAATGATTGATTAGAAATTTAACCTCTTGTGACAAAAAATCAGCACTAAGGACCTTGAAGAAATTTTTACCCAGACCTCGTGGACTATATCGATGTCCTGACATGTAACACCTTGACAACTATTAAACAAGACAATAGACACCGAACAAAACAATAAACATAAAACAAACAATTGACCCTAGGGCATGTAAACAATGATGACAGTTTTCCTGTTTTACCTTCTCTATTAGACAGACAAGGGAAGGGGGTCCCGTGATGGGATCATTTAGATGCCTGCCTGGCCACTCCCCGTGAGGGGACTTGGGTTCCTCTTAGCATTGGCAGGCCAGTATAAACCCCCAGCTCGGATCGAGCTATGCCCGATGCTGCCTTAAGCCTTATGAGGTCACCACAGAACGGCAGGTGAGGGCCCACTCAAACTCCGTAGCTTTCGCCATGGAGCTACAAACTGGAAGACAAACGCAAGCCTTTGTCCTCCCACATTCACACACCATTTACACAGAGTTTATAACAGGTTTTTTTTTTTTCCCTTTCCCGGAGATTTCCAAAAGAAGGATGGAAGATAGAAGAGAGAGAGAGAGGTCTGCCAGAAACCAAGGCTTAGCTCTCCAGCGTCCTGGGTCTTGAGCTAAGTCAAGGGAGGGTCCTGGTCAGGACCACTTCCCACCCAAACCAAGATACGAAGGCGCCTACCGGAAAACGAAGGCTCAACCCACTAGCATCCTAGAGTAATGGGCTGAGTCAAAAGAGGGACGCCCTCGTCAGGGCCGCTCCCCTCTCACCGGAAACGAAGTCACATCCGACCTACCTGACCCCGGGGTCAGAAGCTGAGGACTCAGCGCCCTCGTCAGGGCCGCTCCCCTCTCACCGGAAACGAAGTCACATCCGACCTACCTGACCCCGGGGTCAGAAGCTGAGGACTCAGTGCCCTCGTCAGGGCCGCTCCCCTCTCACCGGAAACGAAGTCACATCCGACCTACCTGACCCCGGGGTCAGAAGCTGAGGACTCAGCGCCCTCGTCAGGGCCGCTCCCCTCTCACCGGAAACGAAGTCACATCCGACCTACCTGACCCCGGGGTCAGAAGCTGAGGACTCAGATGTTGACTTTTAGGGCGCTGACACAGTGGTCGATCCGCTCTCCTCTGGAAGGCGGTCACTCTTTGCAGACCTGAAAATTCTTTCCTCAGGTGGTGTCCCTCCTCCGAGCTGGCCATCCTTCCGGGGGAGCCCGGAGCGAGACCGGCTCTCGCCCAGTGGTGTTAATATCTCGCTGCGGCCTCCAAAAATGTTGTACCCAGGCGAGTTAGAGAAAACGCCACACTTTGAGACGAATTAAGAGTCCTTTATTAAGCCAGCGGCCAAAGAGACGGCTAATGCTCAAAATTCTCTGGGCCCCGAGGAAGGGGCTTGATTAACTTTCATACCTAGGTTTAGGAAGGGGAGGGGAACTCAAGTGCAATAATTCTACGGAAGTAAAAACATGCAAGAATCAAAAGAAGCAAAATGGTTACAGAGAGATAAACAATTTAAAAGACAAATGGTTACAAAAAGAGCAACAGTACCAGGTGCAGGGCTCTAAATCTTTCATTATAATTAGATATAGGGGCTATGCCGGGCATGAACTCAAGGCTTTATGTTGTTATCTCCTTGAGAAAAATCCTGGGAACTTCATACATTGTTGGTGCTAGTACCTTATCAGTTAACTGGGCTCCTTTGAAATGCTGAGAATCTGTTTACACAGGTTAACTCCTTACGGAAGGGGGTTGGGTGAGGAGCCCTTAGTGTCTTGTAAATTAAGGGGTCAATTGGAGTTTGTCCAGCTTTCCCAGCTAGAGAGAGTCTTACTTACATGAGAAGCAAGGCTAGGTGATTAAAGAGACAAACAGGGAAGATTCAAAGTAGTGAGTTAGAGTGAAAACAAGGTTAGGCATTTCAACTGACCACAATACTCAGACAACAGCTCCCCCGCTACCCAGGAAAAAAAAATAGCTGGCATTCACTACAAAGCACTATGATTAAATGTGTACTACAGGTCCCAAGGCTGCAGACAACCACAGACACTGTTATCTGGCATAGCATTTTAAGGGCTCAGAGTTCTCATCAGGAGGTAACTGAGAGCCATAAATGAACAATGTTTTTCAGGAATGTGCAGGGTTTAAACAATCCAGGTCTGCTGAGTTAACCTTCTACTGTACACAAATCCAGATTAGAGGGCAGCAGGGACGTTCAATGGATGGCCAGACTCAGGAGAGAGGGTAGAGATGGTCAGGTTAGGACCCCAAGGAGCAGCCTGGGAGACTGTAGGAGTGAAACTGAGAACCTCCTGAGGGGCCTATGGGTGTACATAGCTGTGAGTTTAACTAAAGCTGTTGGGTTTCCCAGGAGCCCAAGAAAATGGTACTACAGTGAAGGGTGTGGGGAAGTGGCCATAAACGTCAGTGGGTGTGTGCAGGAGGGGAAGGGAGCCAATGGAGTTAAGAAAGAGGAAAGAGACCAAGGGATATGGGCATTCCTTACAGAAGCAGGTTCAGAAATAAGCTTTCAGATGCCTCTTGCCTGGACTTCCATCAATATGTCAAATATAAATTTGAGGTATGTTTCCCATCTGACAAATACCACAGAGTGAGGAAAGAGCTGGAGGCGTTGCTAGGAGAGAACACCCTGGACGTGACCACAGCCCCTTTTGTCCTCACACTGCCCTGCCTGTCCTCTATCCTCACAGCGTGGAGGTTCTCATCTTTGCCCTGCCTGTCCTCTATCCTCACAGCGTGGAGGTTCTCATCTTTGTCCTGTGGTGGGAAAAACATCTGGTTCTTGGAACACTAAGAAGACCTCCAGAATCATGTAGGTGATTACGTCTACTATAAATCTTGCATTTCCAAACAAGTTCTCTATCTACTTTTCATCAATGTGTTCGTGAAGCTTCAGGGTAAATGAAATAAGGCAGTCACTAAATAGTGAAAAAAGTCACCTATTTACTCATGTTCAGATGACTCCCGGGTTTCAGAATCAAAGAATTGGACAGAGAAGCACAACCGTTGGTGCCCAGGACTTCTGGACACCACACATGGAAACTGAAATTCACAAAACACCCCTTATAGTAAAATGGAGATCCTCGCTTTCATGCAATGTTTGAGGTCCTTTGATCAATTAGGAAATACTAAAGGTTGATTTGTTAAAGAAAAAATGTATATATGAAGACACTTGTTCCAGCACAGTAAGGAAGACTTCATCCAGGGCCCTCATGATAGGTGTAGGGACCAGGGCAGTGGGATTTTGCAGTGGGGGAGAGATTCAGCAGAACTCCAAATACAGAATGAGAACGTGAGGATTTATAGGCATACAGCAGGGTTGGGGCACAGGATGGAAAATCACCAAGAAGAAACATCAGGAGTGAGGTAAATCCTGCTTAGGGCAGCCTGCCAGGATTTTTGTTGAAGTTAGACCAGGGTGATCAGATGTCACCCAAGTTATGGTGAAGGACAAGGAAACTGATCAGATATCCAGGAAAATCAGACACTCAGTATGGGGAAAACTGGCTAAATCAACACAACAGAATTCCAGGTAAAACTGAATTTTAAAGGAAAGTGCAGAGAGACAGGCTTAGGATAAGATTCAGGAGCCTCCTAACTTCTCGTGAAGCAAATTAGCTTCATCAGGTTGGGACACATAAATGGTAGCACTTTCTGCTGACCAAACTCATGACTAAATGAAATGAGAACAGTACATCACAAAAATGTAAACTGAACCATATTCAGAATTTCTGAAGATGATGAGTGGCAGAATGAGCTGAGGTGTGATAGATCAGGGGGTCTCCTAATTCTGAATCCTGCAATTAGTTCTAAGCAGCATTCACTGACAACAGCACAGCTCGAGATTCCCACATGCACAAACACCTGACTCCATGAATCTGCAGCCGGGGGTCTCTGCAGGCTCTGAGGTGCACAGGACATATCCCACCTCAGATTCAGCCTCAGGTAATTATCTGCTGTTCCCGTGGGGAGGAGAGGAACAGTGTGGAAGGAGGGTCAGCTGTACTCCACTCAGGATCTCTGTACATGGAGGAAAACAATGAAAGTGGGGAACACATGTCCTCAACTTATGTTACACTTCCACATGAGAAAGGCAACACCATGCCAGGACATTCTGCAGAATCAAAGAATAAAGCTCTCAAGGTAAATGTAGGAATCACCATTGTTTACAGACTGTATGTTTATTTCTATGTCATCCACAGAAATTAAGTAAAAGTTGTGTTCTGTATGGAACCCACATCATATGGGTTCTGAGTCAGGTCTTCCCTCCCTCCACCTGCAGGGAGCACAGTGCACCTGAGCCATGCGCCTGGGGCTGCACTCTGATGTGCATGCCACGGCTGGTGCTGGGGCCACGTCCTGTGCTCCACTCTCAGGAGAACAATGAGCTCCGCGCTGATCTGAGTAGAGCCACTGCTGGGAGTCACGGGGGTCCCCGATGGGAAACTTTGACATGACTCAGATACAGTGACTTGCTGGACCTTCCTAGAACAGCACAGTTTAAGGAAGTTCCACTGAGTTATCCTCCCTCTCTCCTTCACTCAGGGACCAACTTCCCTCATATGCCTTCAGCTTCCCCAGCCTCCTTCCACCCGCTCTGCGTTTCCTCTCAAAAGCGTGGACCGGTTCCTTAGGAAACTGTACATAAACCTAATCCATTCATAGAATGTGCTTCTCCGAAGACCAACACTAACACATGTGTTGGCAAAGCTGTTCATAATACCAGCCAGATTCTACTGACAAATATATGATATGAACTGACCACGGCAATCACCAGTTTTATGTGTCTCCTTGGCTAGAACATAGTCTCAATTATTAAATGAGACTCGAATCTAGGTGTTGCTCTGATGATTTCATATAGGTGTTATTCAAGCCCACCATTAATTTTCTCAAGCTAGGAAGATAGTAGTAGTTAACCTGGGCGTGCCTGATTTAATTCTAGCAGAACAGAAGACAACAAAATTTCCTGATGGATGGCAGGTGTGCCTCTTTCCAAGAATTCCAGCCTGTCGTTCCTGATGGCCAGCCATAGACATGCCTAGACAGAACACACAATTGCTGTCACCAAGATCTCTCCACCCACTGGAATGTCCACACTAAGCTTCCTCAAAGTCACAGGTGAGGAAGGTGACACAGATAGTTTGAGCAGATACAGATCACAAATCTAGGCAGGGTTCTGGGGAAACTGTTAGATGGAGAAACAGCTAAGTCTCTGAAAGGAAACCAGCCCTTAACCTCCCTGGGCACCTGGTCCCTGAGTTTACTGTGTTCTTAATGTGTCCTGAGCGCCCTCTGCAGCCCAGGCCCCTCCTGTCTTCCTGCAGGGACGTTTGTGTCTGGGCTCTCACTGGCTTCCCCTCACTGTGTCTCTCGCACAGTGATACAAGGCCGTGTCCTCGGCTCTCAGACTGTTCATTTGCAGATACAGGGAGTTCTTGGCGTTGTCTCTGGAGATGGTGAATCGGCCCTTCACAGAGTCTGCATAACCTGTGCTACCACCATTCCAATTAATACCAGAGACCCACTCCAGCCCCTTCCCTGGAGCTTGGCGGACCCAGCTCATGCCATAATCATCAAAGGTGAATCCAGAGGCTGCAAAGGAGAGTCTCAGGGACCCCCCAGGCCGTACCACACCTCCCCCAGACTCCACCAGCTGCACCTCACACTGGACACCTGCAAACACAGAGACACCCTGGTCAGAAACTGCCACACAAATCCACTGTTTCTCTCACTCGTGTTCACTCACACTCAACATCTCTATTGATCCATGAATCACCTTTTAAAATAGCAACAAGGAAAACCCAGCTCAGCCCAAACTCCATGGCGAGTCCTCTGTGTTCAGTGCTGATCACTGAATGGAAACACGTGGGAATCTCAGGGCTGGGGCTCCTCTCCCAGAGCTGCAGGGTCAGGGCTGGGCTGGTTTTCATCGGCAGAGGGAGGACCCCATTTGCATGTCTCCTACTATATAGTGACTTCTGGAAGGGATGCCTCAGAGTAGGCTGTGTCCCAGAGTGGATGCGAGTGATTATACTTCATAAATAATTAATTCTCATTAGCATTTCTACTTATAGATGCACATGAATTATGTTCTGTGGGAGTCAAAGTTTCCTTCATTTACAGATGTGAAGGTAAACCCCCAAGCACGGAAGGGCCATGTGACATGTCTAAGAGCTCACATCTGGTAAAAGCCAGTCTCACTGTCTGGCCCGTGTTTCTCACAGCTGGATCTGACTGCTCCCTAAATTAACTCTAGGACAGAGCTAGAAATTTCGAGTGAGGGTTACAAAACCCTCTTCTTATAAAGATATCATGATATTCTTTGGCTGTATCTTAGTGTTTTTCTAAGTAACATAGAAAAACTGAGGGTTAACTCACGTGTGGAGTCAGGAGTTCATGACTTTTCTTGTATTATTTTTATTTCTCTCTTCATTTTTTTTACCAAATTATACACTTTTATTTGTAATAGTTTTAATGAGATAATATTGACAAATAATCTTCACACAATATGTTCACCGTTTGAAAAATATTGACCTAATCACCATTCATAGAGAAAACAAATCAATCCGTTTCACGATTTTCTTTTTCTCCTGCAATTTCACCTTCCAACGCCTTCCCTCCTCTTACCAGGTAGAAGTCATTTAGGGATCTTTTTTACATAACAGCGTGAACAACAGCTAAACTGGTTAAGTTCCAAATGAATCAATTTTTTTTAACACATCAGGTAATTAAAGTTATAGCAACCAGCGTGTTTGTCAGTGTGTGTGAGAGAGAGAAAGAGGGAGGAAATGAGACTGAAAAAGAAAGTGATTCTACATAATTATTGATTTATAAGGTCCTCAAATGCAGGGACTTATTCCTGATGAACAGGGTCCACATAGGTTGAAGAGGGTAACTTGATGCACCCACATATGGCTATAGATTTATAATATCAATGTTATTTTCTAAACTCATAAGTACTCATACACATTAGAATAGATGTAGTGGAGGGTGTCCAGTGGCGCAATGAGAAGGTGACACTAAACCCAGTCTCCAGGGCCTTTCCCCGCCTGCTGCACCTGCCCTGAGGCTGAGCCTTGAGCCTGCCTGACCACTGAGCCCACAATGGTCCTGAGCCCCCATGAAGTGCCAAGCGCCCCCTGGGTTTCCCTGCTGGTTCCTGAGTGCCCACCTCTGTCCTCAGCACCCCATGCTGTCCTGTGAACCCGCATAGGGAGGTTTGTGTCTGGGCTCACACTGATGTCCCCTCACTGTGTCTTTTGCTTAAAAATACATGGTTGTGGCTGAGCGCGGTGGCTCACGCCTGTAATCCCGGCACTTTGGGAGGCTGAGGCGGGTGGATCACGAAGTCAAGAGTTCAAGAACAGCCTGGCCAACATAGTGAAACCCTGTCTCTACTAAAAATACAAATATTAGCTGGGCGTGGTAGTGAGTGCCTGTAGTCTCAGCTACTAGGGAGGCTGAGGCAGGAGAATCACTTGAACTCAGGAGGCAGAGATTGCAGTGAGCTGAGATCGCACCACTGCACTCCAGCCTGGGTGACACAGCGAGACTCTGTCTAAAAACAAAGCAAAACAAAACTAAACAACAACAACAAAAAACATGGTTATTTGCTTGTTGCTCATGTAGCTCAGCCATAGGAAGAGCTGTTTTTTGGACATAGATCTGGAGGTGGTGACTGGACTCTTGAGGAGTGGGTTGGAATTTTTGCTGCCTTCATGACCTGTGCACCCAACCCACTCCAGTCCCTCCCCTGAATCCAGCTCCATCAGGAAGCACTGGTTGTGATGAGGAATCCAGCATTTACCTGAACTGTTATTGTCATTGATATGCTAAACAAAATGTGGCACTCATTTTTATTGTGTTGAGATACACATAACATAAAACTTACCATTTCAGCCCTTGGTAAGTGTATGGGTCAGTGATACTTTACACATTCACAATGCTGTGCAACCATTTCCACTATTTGGTTTGGGAACATTTTCATCACAGAAAAGGAAACCTCACCTCCATTAAGCGGTCACTCTGTGTTTCCCTTCCCCTGACCTCCTGTGATCTGGGATTTTCCTGCTCTGCGTGCTTCGTGTCAATGGGACAATTAGGGATGTAGACTTCCGTGTCTCCCTCAGTTCAGTCACCCAATGTTTTCAAGGCTCATCCAAGTTGCAGCCTATGTCAGTGCTTCACTCCTCTTTAAAGCTGCATTACAGACACACAGACACACCGCGGCATCTTCATCCCTGTGGGTTAGAGACACACAGACACACCGCGGCGCCTTCATCCCTGTGGGTTAGAGACACACAGACACACCGCGGCGTCTTCATCTCTGTGGGTTACAGACACACAGACACACCGCGGCGTCTTCATCTCTGTGGGTTACAGACACACAGACACACCGTGGCGTCTTCATCCCTGTGGGTTATAGACACATAGACACGCCGCAGCGTCTTCATCCCTGTGGGTTAGAGACACACAGACACACCGCGGCGTCTTCATCCCTGTGGCAGTCGATGGGCACTTGAGTTGTATTCTCCATTCAACTACTGTAAGTGGTGACACCAGGTACACTTGTGTATGAGATTTTCAGTGAAGACCATTTTCCAAAGTTGCTGTCCCATTTCAATACCAACATGCAAGCCATGACCATTCCAAATTCAGTATGTCTATACCTACAAGTGATTATGTTTTTCTATTTAGTTTTGAATACTGGCTTTCTCCGTGTGTGCAAGTCAGTAATCTATATGGAACTTAAATCAGCAGCATAAATCAGATAACCCCATTAAAAATGGGGAAGGGACGTGCACAGAAACTTTTCAAATACAGACATAGAAGTGGCCAACTAACATACAAAAATACTCAGCATCCTCAATCATCAGATAAGTGCAAATCAAAACCCAATCACATACTATCTAACACATGTCAGAATTGCTATCACTAAAAGATCAGAAATTAACAGATGCAGGCAAGGCTATAGAGAAAAGCGCCACTTACATACTTTTGGTGAAAATGTAACTTGGCCAAAGCACTGTGGAAATCGATCTAGAGATTTCTCAAATAACTTAGAACAGACCTACAATTCCCCTCAGCAATCCCATTACTGGGTATATGCCCAAAAGAAAACAAATTATTGTAACAAAAAAACACATCCACTCACGTGTGTATCACTGTGCAATTCACAGTACCATAGACATGGAATCAACCTAAATGTCCATCCGTTATAGACTGGATAAAGAAAACGTGGTTCTTATACACAGTGGAATACTATGCAGCTATAAAAAAGAATGAAATCACGCTTATTTGCAGCTACTTGAATGCAGCTGGGGTCAAAAATTCAAAGCTAACTGACATAGAAACAGATGATAAGAGTCGATGGAAGAGGAAATGAACATTTTGGGTGTTGCTCTGTGTACAAGTAAGAAAAGAAATCCCCTGGTGCATGAACTCTTGAAACACAAAAGCCTGGAGACACTCATGTCCTGACTTCCATTACATTAGGTTGTGTGCTTTGTCTCATTTTCATTCAGTTAAAATAGCTTTCCTTTACTGATGGCCAACATAGCCACACTCTGTAATCATCTAGAGACGTTATGATAAAAATAACAATTCTGAACATTAGAACAAATGCTAACTTTTAGGTCAAAGTTAGTGTGGATTCAGTGTGATAGGAGACATGGCTGAATAGCAGCAGTGTGCTCACAGTAATTTTATCTAAATTATGAAAATTTGTTTACATCTTTTAGATTAGATTCCCATTGAAATCCTTGATCTAATATTATCTCTGATGCATTATACATCAGTAATGAAATGAGGTTATGCACTCAATTGAGTAGAGCAAACTTTCATTCAGAATTTGTTCCTCTATGTGATGTCAAGTCAGCCCGGATGGCAGAAGTTATTGCAGTCAACAGAGCTCATCAATAAGCCAAAGACAAGGATTAAACACGTGTTCTAGAGGAGTGCCTGACTTTGGGATGCTCTTCACACAAAGAAATTTCTCCCACCTTCTGGAACATGTGAAAATGCACAACAAAATAACACATTTTAGATGCAGTCCTGCATTTTAGAGACCTGACTAATGTAACTTGGAAAGTAAAAACCTGAAGGAAAATGACATAGCATACCAACTGAAAGTATACATATTGTAGTGGGTCATCACACCAAGCAAGCAGTCTTATCAGTCAGGGGTTTATAATATTATCTAAATATGGAAGGCATTAGCATTATGTATACAACATAGCATCCATCCCATCCACAATCTTCTGAAAATGTTGAAGAAAATTGTCATCCTTAAACTAAAATTGTCCAAACCTTAAGAAAATCTTGAACTTCCTTGGCCAAAGATTCTCTCCCTAGCAAGAGAGCCTTATAGTTAATCCCCTCAGGGAGACATCAGTTATTAGCCTATTATTTGGTAGCTGGAAGGCCCATACATTTAGAGATTTACCCACAATGCTCACCTCTGTCCTATTACATGCATGCATGACAAAGTGTTGAAAGTGATGACTGCATTTTACCCACACTATTCATCAACAGATTAAACCATCATTTCCCTACATCTTTTCAATAGCCTCTAATAACATTAAAGCAGGGAATTATATCTATTGTAAGAAACATCAGGGTAGAATATTGCTCTTGAACCACTTTGGAAGGAATTTTATCAGGTACTTTTAACCACAACACAGCAGTGAAATTGCAGAAAGTCAATAGTTGGGTTCATATTTATAAACTGTAACCTAAAAATAAATCCCTAAAACCCACGACTGATTAAATAGTCCATCTCTTGGCCTAGGGAACCCCGTAAAAATCCAAAAACTGTTTCCAACCATGTCTAAACAAGAGATCAGACACGCCTCGTTATACCTTCTTCCCTTTGTGGTTTAGACGCAGCAATGGCCAACACTTATGTTAAAATAGAAATCATAAGACTGACAGAACAGTGGCAGTAAGATGTCAAATTATAAACAAGACCTAAGGCCTTGCTAGACGAGGATTTTGCCACTCACTTCTACACTTAAAAGATAAACTATGTTCTAACTGCCAATAGGTTATTCGTTTTCTCTGGTGGCTCAGTAAGCACTGGCACTGAGACAAGCACTATGAAGACAATTGCAGCCCATCCCTGCTGAACTGACCCCCTGTTCCACAAGCCATAACCCCAGCTTTGATTGAACATTTGATATCAGGACCTTTCTCCTGATCAGAGACCGCTGACCATGGCCTGGCTCTGGCTGTTTACAGAGGCTGCACCCTGAGTGCCTTTGTGTCTCTGCTTCTGCTGTTTGCACATAGGGCCTGACTGTAATGAATTTAAATGCTAAGTCACCACTGGCAATTGAACAGGACTCACATGTTAAATGCATGTGTGTTCAGTATGCATGTGTCAGCACCACCTCCATGAACATCAGTAGCCTCTCTGTAACCTGTTGACTAAGTCTGTTTAGCCAAACAGTTCAGCATAAATCTTCTGCCCAACTCCTTCTTCTTGGGAGTGTCTGTCTCTCATCTTTACCAAAACTATGCTTTCCAGCATATGGGATGGCTGTAACCCTTGATAAAAATATAGTCTCGGTTTCCTAATTTGTAGATTGTGGTATTTTTTAATATTTATTATAACTGAATATTAAATTCAGAACTTCATCTAATTATTAGACTACTTTAGTAAAGTATGACAAACTGTGGATATCCTATAAGGATTTTTATATACCCTATAAGGGCCTGTGATAGTTTGAAGCAGGAAGCTGACCTGAGACCTTCAGAATAAACTGATGACAGTGGATAATGAAAAGGCCCCACCCAGGACATTGATTCAGCACCACTGTCTGTCTCATTCCTTCTTCTCTTTCTTTTTATTATGTGCTTACCATAATAAAAATTTTTATTTTCTTTATTTCTGTTTGCTTTTCACACACAGTGGACCCTCATCTCTCTTTTTCACTCATTTTCTTAAGCTGCTAGGGAGAATAAAGTGTCAGGTCCTATTTTGGTGCTTGCTGCTGATGAATTAAGGTTTATTCTTCTTCTCCCTTGTCCCCCACATATGGGAAATCTAGTCAGAAATCGTAGAAGCTCCCTCATCTGATGCCAATGTGAGGTTTAAATCACACAAGCTCCTTCTCCTGAGTATAAATGACCCCCCGACCCCACCACCAAATCATTATAAAGCCCTAAGCCAGCCTCCTTTCCTGTTCCATTGAGGAAATTCCAGTTTGGAATTTCTTGAGAGGCCTGTGCTGCTCTCAGCAGACAATAGTAGAGTTGGTAAATCTTTTCATAATCACCTGAGGTGTGAGTGTGGCACTATCAGACTTGACACATCACACTAATCATGGATGAGGTCTCTCTTCTTTTGAACGTGGTCACCTACAATTGGAACTATGGGCTTGAAGTCCTGACAGTGACCACCACGGGGCCTTTCTTCTCTTGCACTGGATGCTAACTCCCTCTGCCCCAGTGCCCAGCATGCCCTTTATCCTGCCTGCTGCTCACTGACCCTTGGAGTTCTGTTGAGCTGGCGGCAGTGTTGAGTTAAACACCGCACCTTTAATAGGTTTAGCTGATTAAATTCAGAAGCATTGATAATTTATTCACATTGAGAAACCGGAATAAGTGACTGTAGGTGACTCTGCCTTTGGTGCATGTGAGAAAATTTTTCTCTTGTTACGACAAATGTTTCTTCTTCAGGAAGAATAGGAAGAACAGGATAAGGAATCCAGAGAAGTGCCCCAGAGGAAACTGTTTTATGGAGAGGAAGCCACAGGGCTGACGGGAAACCAGACCTTAACCCCCGTCTGCACCTGCCCTGAGGCTGGCTCTTGTGCTCAGTGGGTCCTGAGCGCCCCCGGGTGGTCCTGTTCCCCCTTCAGGGAGGCTTGTTTCTGGGCTCACACTGACATTTTTTCTAACTGTGTTCCCCAAAATGGAGGCAGAGTAAATGGTGAATCCATGCATCTCAGAGAACACAGAACAACAGAATAACACCCCCTGCTTCCCCCACACACATTTAGGTAAATCTTATTAAAACTGCTGAAAAGCAAAGACAAATAGAAATATATGCAGGCAAGTGGAGGTGAGTAGAGGGGGCATTCCTTCCAAAAGAACAGAAAAGATGATGATAGCATTCTTCTGGTTAAAACCTCACAAGCAAGAGGAAAGTTGATGGTATCTGTAAAGTGTTGGAAGAAATGTCAACTAATTATTTTATAACCCATGGATGTTCGCTAAAAAGTGAAAAAAAAAAACAGTTCTATTTCTCTTTAACAGCATGAGGGGCTCAATGAATCCATGCCCTCATGAGACCAGTGAAAATTATTTTGAAAAAATTACAGGGTTTGGAAAGGATCTAACAGCATAAAGCAAGTGAAGAAATATTTATTTAAGAAAATATAGAAAACTCAGTAAGGCCAGTCATCGTATTTGATCTAAGGTGCTCTTCCTTCCTTCCACATCCCAGCTCAGCATGATGTAAACTCCACTGCGGACAGATGCAGCCAAGAAGACAGGGCACCTTCTACCAACTCCCACCAGAGGAAACTCTTCCCCAGGGGCCAGTACGTTGGCCCTCTGACCCTGCCCACAGCACATGATGCTGAGGTTCAGTGCTGGACAAGAGCTACTGAGAGCCAGAGACTCACTCCTTCCATAGAGCCCCACTCATGGATGGAGGCTCTGCCCTGGGTCCAGCGCCACTGGGAACATTGGGTCTCTGGTTCCTAGCTCTGTCCTATGGCAGAGGTTCTGCCCCACCATAACCGAAGTGCTGAGAAGGTGGGAAGCTCCTGCCCGACCCTCCACTGAGCGCTCAGCTCCTAGGCTGAGGAATAAAACAGCTCAACTTTGTCTACACCTGCAGAACCTTGTTTAGGAGCTCTGTCCCAGGAGAGAGGGGGCAATGAAATTCAGTCATAAAATATGATCTTAATAAGTCCTAAACATCCTAACTTCAGTAACAACAGAATGTGGAAAAATTGAAAGCCTGCCAGTGCTCTCAAAAACAGTGGAGGGTGTGGTGGAAGGCCCTTGGAAGGAGCTGGGTGGATGCATGGGAGATGCAGGCTACACTGCAGGGCTGCTGGCTTGCAGGAGAGAACCAAGGACATGGAAGAGCTGGGAAAAGTTCTCTTGTGGTTGAAACAAATGCCAGACACTCTTCAGTGGAGCCCATGTTTGTTTGGTCAGTCTGTGAAGTAATTCAAACCTCAGTGCATGGTTGAAAATAGTAGAATTTTCCATCTGCAAGTGGCAGAGCTCAACATCTGGGTCTGGTCAGGAAAGAGACAAAGAAAGCCCAGCCCAAACCACTGACACCTGAGGATGACCGTGCTGCTTACAGCTGTGTCCCTTTGATATTCGAGACTGGCTTCTCTCACTTAGCGTAATGCCTGGAGTTCACCTGTAATGGTTTGTGAATCGATCATTTGATATTTTTTATTGCTGATGGTATTCAATTTATAGTTGCTTCCTAGTTTTTTCACCTATTCAGATTTTGAGATATTTATGTTATTTTTAGTTTCTAACACACACACACGCAATATCTTGAATATTTGAATAGAGGTTTTGTGTGAATATAAGATTATATTTCTCTGAAGCAAAATTCAAGAGTGGGATATTTAGGTCATGTGTTAAGGGCATGTTTGATTGCAGAAAAAACTAAAAATTATCTTCCAGAGTAGCTGTTTCATTTTGCAGTCCCATTAACAATGTCGTAGACACTAGGAACTTGGTATGCTCATCAGCATTGGTATTACCTGTATTTCTTCTTAATTTCAGCCATTCTAAAAAGTGTATAGTGGTTTCTCATTGTGGGCTTGATTTGAATTCCTTTAATGGAAAATCCTGTTAAGAGCCTGTTTATATGCTTATGTCATCTGCACATCTTATTTGATGAAATGTCTGCACAAACCTTTGCCTATTTTATCCATGGGTTGTTTCTTTCTTTCTTTCTTTTTTTTTTTTTCACAGTTGAGTCCTGAGAGTTCTTATTATAATTAAATTGGTGGTTATCTGATTTGAAAATAGTTTCCCATCTGAAACTTGACATTCATGTTCTTATAGTTACTTGAGTAGAAAATGTCTTTAAATTTAATGAGTTTCAACTGATAGTAATTTCATTTATTGATCATTTTTTACATTTTATTTTATTTTATTTGAGATGGAGTCTTGCTCTGTCGCCCAGGCTAGAGTGCAGTGGCATGATCTCGGCTCATTGCAACCTCCGCCTCCTGGGTTCAAGCAATTCTCCTGCCTCAGCCTCCCGAGTAGCTGGGATTACAGGTGCCTGCCACCGCATCTGGTCAATTTTTGTGTTTTTAGTAGATGGGGTTTCACCATGTTGGCCAGGCTGGTCTGAAACTCCCGACCTCATGATCCACCTGCTTCGACCTCCCAAAGTGCTGGGATTACAAGCGTGAGCCACCACGCCTGGTCTAAATTTTAACTTTAAGATCATTGGTCAACTGTTAATTATTTTATATTTTTAATTTTTTTGTTTGTACATTTATTTATATAAATTTAAAGGCTATGAGTGCAACTTTTGCACATGGATATATTCCACAGTGGTCTTGGCTTTTAGTGTACTCTCACCCAAATAATGTACATTGTACCCACTAGGTAATGTCTCCTCATGCTCCCACCTTCCACCTCCCATCCTTCTAAGTCTCCGGTGTCCATCATTTCTCTCTCCATATCCTTGTGGACACGTTGTTACCTTCCACTTATAAATAATAATGTGTGACATGTGACTCTCTGTTTGTGAGTTAGTTCACTAATTATGTTGTTCCCAGTTCTAGGCATCTTGCTGCAAAAGACAGTTTCATTTATTATTGTGGTTGACTAGTATTGAATTGTGTATACGTGCTATGTTCTTTTATAAAATCATCTGTTGGTGGACACTCAGGTTGACATGTGTGTTATTAAGAATAGTTTTGTGGTAAACATAGAAGCATGGATATCTTTTTGAAGTAATGATTTATTTTCCTTTGAGTAGTTACCCAGTGGTGGGATTGCTGCATCAAATGGCAGTTCTATTTCCAGTTTTTTGGGCAGACTCCATACTATTTTCCATAGAGGTTGTCCTCGTCCACATCCTCATCTACAGTGTAGATGAGTTCCTGTTACCTTCCATCCTCACCAACATCTGATACTTTTGAGTTTTTAATAATAGTCACTGTGGCTTTTGTAAGATAATATCTTATTGTAGTTTTAATTTGCATTTCCCTAATGGTTAGTGATGTTGAGCATTGTTTATGTATTTATTATCCATTTGTATGTGTTCTTTGGAAATGTCTACTCATGTCCTTTGCTCATTTTAATAGGGTTATTTGGTTCTTCTTCCTGTTGTTGTCGTTGTATAGTTTAATTCCTTGTAATTTCTTCATGTTAGTTCCTTGTCAAAGGCAAGGTGTGCGAAAATTTTCTGTCATTTTGCAACTTGCCTGTTCACTCTGTTGCTGCGAAATATCTCTTTAGGTTAATTAAGTCTCATTTGTCTATTTTTCTCTTGGGTGTGCTTTTGGGGTGTTAGTCATAAATTCTTTACCTCAGCCAATGCCCAGAAGAGTTGTCCTGGTATTTTATTTGAGTACATTTATAGTTTGAGGTCTTATATCTAAGTCTTTAATTCATTTTGTGTTGAGTATGTATGTGTTGAGGGTAGGGGTCTAGTTTTGTTCTTCTGCATGTTCATTTCCATTTCCCCAGCACCATTTATTGAATGGGGTGTCCTTTTTCTGGTATATATTTTTGTTAATTTTTGTTAAGTTTGTCAAAGATCATTTGGCTATAGATTGTGTGGCTCAATTCTGGGTTCTGTAAAATGTACCCTAGAGCCTTGATTCTCCTGAGGCCTCAGTACTGACCTGCTGACAGTTAGAACTCTGTTGACTCAGTGGTGTTTCTATGAGTGTAGTGACTCATTGTCATGGAGTGGTTTTCCTAAAATTGTGGACAATTCTGTTTTAATGTTCAAACATGTGCTAAAAATTTCACAATAAATGTGTTTGTGAATTTTCCGTTTCATTTCCACATTACTCCTCGGACTTACTGAGATGGGTTTGTGATGTCAAGATGAGGCATTTTTTCGTTCCAGGTGTTGGATTTTTTACTTATCTGGGTATTTATGGGCTCCCTGTGTGGAAATAAGCCTCATCCATCACACCTACCTTATGGAATTTTTAGAAATTTATTTGTGCACTGCCACTGTGAGACACTCCATGATGATGACACATTTCATCTATTTTATTGTTTCATGAAATTACTAGTGTACCTTCCACTCTAGAAGAGAAGATGCTATCTGGATTTTCATAATTCCTCCTGCTCTCTTATCTCCACATTCTTCTTTGACACCATTTCTGCAGTTTAAGAATGACATATGCTATTGACATTTGTATTTGGTCCCTTAAAGTGATATGAACCTAAGAAACTGGTGGCCGCATATCAGTGATGCATCCGGCACAGGTAATAGGAACCTTTCATGCTGAATCTTGTCAAACTGGATACAGCCGCTGCTGTGTCCTGTTGAATTAGGCATAGAATAGAAAGCTTCATTGCCAAAGAAAAAAATAGGGGGTAAAATGGGTGGTTTGTCTCCAGCAAATACAATGCATAGGAAAACAAATTGCCATATGCTTTAAGCCTCCACTGTAATCTTCTCTGAAACATTCTTTTTCCTTCTCAGCTTATTCGAGCAGCAGAATCAGCTCCAAAGCTGCAGGCAGAGGCACCGCTCCTGAGGCACTGCTAGGCCCAGCTCCCATGTCAAGGGCCTCATGCAGCCCTACACACAGGGCTTGCTGGGTGCTCCCAACCCAAGCCTCTGTTGGGTGGTTTCTTCCTCAAGATTTTAGAAACAGGCTTTCTGGTCTGTTGAAATAGAGGCAGTGGTCTGATGGTTTCTAAATAAATTTAAAGCTTATTTTTCTCTCTTCTGGAAGAATTGTGTACATTTGCAGCCAAGTAGCTCTATTATTCCAGGCCATTAAATCTGAAAAATCTAACAGTATGCATCAAATTTGTCTCAGGTCAATTCTCATTCTTTAAAACCTGAAATATTTCTTTTCATAGAGTATCTTAAGCTTCTTACTGAGTGATATTTGAGCCATATACTCAGTGTTCTTTGTAGAATACAGTTTCTGATTTTTGCAATATGGATAGGTTGTGAATTTTCTAAGCCCTCAGCTTTTGTATTCTTTTTCTTTTATTTTTTTCTGATTTTAATTTATCTACCTCACTTATTTTAAGCACTCAGGAGGAATCAAGCAAAATATCTTCAACACTTAGAACTATTCTCAGCTACTCACAATTTCTCACTACTCACAACTTCTCTTTCACTAAATATTATATCACTGCCCAGCCAAGTTTTTTTTAAAAAACTTTATGATAAGGATGACTATTGCTCCATTTTCCAAAACCACTCATTTCTGTCTATCAGCATGACCCTCAATATGCAAATTTCTTCATATATGTCAAAGGTATCCATCCTGTTACACATAACCCAATTCCAAGCTACTTTCACAATGTTCAAATAATTGTAACATCAGATTTCCTCTTCTTAACCCCAAATTTTCTTTCGTCAGTTTAAGCTGCCATTACAAACTGTCATACTTGGTGACTCGTGCAACATTAATTTTATTCCATTTATCAGTGCTGTGAACTCCAAGATCAAGATGCTGACAAGATAGGTTTAGTTTGAGGCTTCTACTTTTGGCTCAGAGCAGCCATCATATTGTTACTTGATCATATGATCTTTTCATTTAGGGCATGTGTGTGTGTGTGTGTGTGTGTGTGTGTGAGAGAGAGAGAGAGAGAGAGAAATAGAGAGAGAGAAGTAGAGAGAGAGAGACTGTCTGGTGTCTTTACTCATGAGGTCAGTAATTTCATTCTGATGTTTCACCCTCATCGTCTCCTTTAAATTCAGTACTTTCTTTCTTATAGAAATTCCTTAACTGCTATAAAAGTATTCCTGGGGATGAGAAATTTATAAAAAATAAATTCTAATTTGGCTGACTGTTTTGAAGGCTGTACAGGAAGTGTGGTTCTGCTATCTGCTTCTGGTGAGGGCTTCAAAAACCTTATATTTCTGGTAAAAGGCACAGGGGAAGCAGGAGTGTCACATGGTGAGCAGGGGAAAGAAGGAAAGGGGGAGATCCACGTCTCCCTTAAACAATCAGATCCTGAGTGATCTAACTATGTGAGAACTCACTCGTCACCAAGTGGATGGCGCTAAGCCACTCAGGAGGAATCCGCCCCCGTAACGCAAAACCCCAACCAACATTGGGGATAACAGTCAAACATGAGATTTTTGAATGGACATATATGGAAGCCACATAACTCTTATCACCCAAAATCTTATATCTTTCTCAACTGCAAAATGGGATCATTTTCTTCCCAATACCCACCCCTCGAAATCTGCCCCTTAAATCTGAACTTGTTTCACCATTAAAGTCCAAAGTCTTGTCTGAGATTCATGCCCACATTTCTTCCATCTGTGAGCCTGTAAAATTAGAAAGAACTTATTTACTTCAAAGGTACAATGTTGGTGCGGACATTGGGTAAACATCTCCATTTTAAAAGAGAGGAACTTGCCAAATGAATGAGTAACAGGCTCTATGCAAGCCTAAAACCTAGCAGGACAGGCGCTCGATCTTAAGCCTCCAAAGTGACCAGTGACTCCACATCTTGCAGCCGGTGCAATTATGGGCTCGCAAGTCTGAGAGCAAAACCGCTTATGTGACTTTTCTCAGTGCAGCCAACACGGCTGCTGTCACAGTTTAGAGCTGAGTGCCTTCAGCGTTTCTAGGCTTGGGGCACATGCTGCTATTGGATCTCCCATTCTGGGTTCTAGAGGGCCAGTGACCTTCTCTCCACAGCTCCACTACACAGTGTTCTCCTGGGGATCTCTTTTGGGGGATTTAACTCTTCATTTCACCTCAGCATTGCCCTGGAAAAATTACTCTGTGTGTACTCTGACCCTGAGGTAGGCTCATTTCTGGCACCTAGCCTTTCTCACACATCCTCTGAAATCTAGAGGCCAGTCACCAAGCCATGTTGACTCTTGCATACTGTGCAGACCCAGGCTTTATGCCACATGGAAGCCACCAAGGATCACAGCTTGCGCCATCAGACGTGGTGAACCGAGCTGTACCTTTGAGCCCTAGCTGGTCTCACCCCCAAAAACATTCTCTGCTCCTATACCTAAGCCTGTAATGAGAGAATTGGCCTCAAAGATTTCTGAATTGACTTCAAGACTATTTTCCTATTGTTTTGTATTACCACAGTCAGCTCCTTTTTAGTCAAGCTAATCTTTCTAGCAAGCGGTTGCTTCACAGTGTAACTGGATTATTTCTTTACCAGAGAACCAGGCTGTACATTTTCTAAACTTCCATGTTCCACTTCTCTTTTAAATAGAAGTTCCAACTTTAAGTCATTTATTCACTTCTGCACCTGATTTTAGACTGTTAGAAGCAGGCAGACTCCATCTTGAATGCTTTGCTACTGACAATTTTTTTTCTGTCAGATACCCTAAGTCGTCACTCGTAAGTTCAAACTTGCACAGATCCCCAGGACATGAACATAATGCAGTCAAGTGATTTGCTTGACAGGCGATCTTTACTTCACTTCCCTATAACTTTCTCATTTACATTTGAGACATTCTCTGCCTTGACTTCACTGTCCATATTTATTTCATCATTTTGGTCAAACCATTTAACCAGTCTCTAAAACTTTCCCAACTGTTCTTTATCTTCCTGACTTTTTCTGAGCCCTCCAAACCCTCCAAATCCCTGACGGTTATCCTGTTCCAAAGCTGCGTCCATATTTTCACATATTTTTAATAGCAATGCTCCACTTCTTGATACCAATTTTCTGTGTTGCTGTGTCCTTGCATTGCTAGGAAAGAGTACCTGAGGCTGGAAAATTTATAAATAAAACAGGTTTCATTTTGGCTTTCCATTTGCTAGGCTTTACAATAAGCGTGGTGCCAGCATCTGCTTTGTGAGGGCCTCAGAAAGTTTATAACCATTGTGGAAGGCAAAGAGGCAGCAGGCACACAGGTGCATTACATGACAAGAGAAGGGGCAAGAGAAGAGATGGGGCCAAGAAAGGGCAAGAGAAGAGATGGAGGAGGCTCCAGACTTTTCTAAACAACCAGATTTCATGCGAACTAACAGAAAATTCACTCATCACCACATGGATTGCATAGGCCATTCTTGAGGGATCTGCCTCTATTATCCAATACCTCCCACCAGGCCCCCCCTCCAGCATTGGTGATTACATTTCAACATGACCTTGGGAGAGGACAAATATTCAAACTCTATCACTTTCAAAAGTCTCATTTCCAAATACTGTAACATTGCAGGTTGGGAATTATACTTATGACTTTGGGGAGGGCACCATTAGGTCCATAGCCGGGCTCCTTGAGAGAAGAACACTAGGGCTGTGATTTTCTTGTAAGACTGGTCTACTTTGTATGCAGGTGGCCTTTGAGGATAAAATGGGATACAAAGGGAAAATATGTCATCCTGCTGCCTTTTAGCATTAGCTGTTATTGATGAGAAATCAGCTGTTGATAGAATTATCTTGTATATGAGAAGTTGTTTTTCTCTCACTGCCTTCAAGATTTTCTCAGTAGTTTTTCTGTAAAATATTTTATTATAATGTGTTTTGTTGAGGATCTCTTATAACTTATTTTACCTTGAGTTTGTTGAGCTATTCATACTTCAATGTGTATATTAGTATTTATCATAAAAATCATGGAATTATCTGTCATTATATTATGACATATTTTTGTGACATATTTCTTTCTCTCTTCTCATGCTAATGTTCACACTAAACATATGTTGATTTGTCTAGCAGGGTCCACCTTTTATGTTAAGCTTATTTCATTTTATTGCAATTTTCACTATTCTTTGAATATAGCATATCTACTAATATATATCTAAGTGTGCTTTTTTTTCTTTTTAGGTTCAAGTATACTGCTTATCACCTCTGACATATAGTTTTGAATTACTGTGTTTTTAATTTTAGCGTGTCTATAACTTTCTTTCAAAAACCCTCTCTCATTATTGATATTAACTTTTTGGTGAGATACTGTCATCATACCTTCCTTAACTTTTCTAGGATAGTATTCCTTTGTGATTTGTGCATTTTTATAATAATTGTTTTGAAGTCTCCATTTGTTAAGTCCAAAATCTGTACCAACTCAAAGACAGTTTGTGTTTTCTGGAAATTTTCCTGTACATTCGTGACGTTATTTTTTTCTTTGTGTATCTCATAATTATTTTCTGAATGACAGTTAGGTAACACAATTCAGAAACTCTGAATAGTGATCACCCAAAACGCTCTGGTGTATTGGTAAAACCAATCGCTCTATTTATTTCTTGAGTCCCTTAGTTTGTCTATTTCAGTGACGTCTCTTTCCCCGACACTATTAAAGGGTTGATGTCGTCATTCCCAGGTGCAGTTCCAGATGTACACACGGTTTCCATAAAAAGCCTGACGCTCGGCAGTGCAGCCTTTGACAGCTTCACTGTCTGATGTCTCTGTTTGGGTGTCTGTATCTCTTCATATGTCATCCAAGTGTTACACTGCACTCACAGCAGGCATGGTGACACTGTTGTGTCATCCATTAATCCACAGTGTTACACAATTAAATTTGGGCTTCATTTCAGGGGCAGTTTTTGAACTTTGTCCTGACCCCAAAATGTTATTTATTTTACTAAATGGGGTCTAGCTACGTTTTCAGGTTGGCCTTGAAATCCTGGGCTCAAGTGTTATTCTCACATCAGACTCCCAAGTGTATGGAACCACAGGCAGTGCCACAGTGCCCAGCTCATTATTCCTAAATTATGGTTTTTCTCCTTCTGTCTGCTGAAATGAGTGGATTCCTGTTTAATGTGTTGCTCTCATGAAGCCACCAGCTTTCTATTAATAACTTACCATAAATATTTATAATATTTTAGAAAAAACCTAGGGTTGAAATTATTCTCCTTTTACTGCAAATAAAGTCACATCCATTAGAGAGAGCTCTGCATTTCTGTTTTTATGCCCTCTGTCTGCCACTGTAAAAATATAACCGCCTCTGCCTTGGTGCGGAAGAAAGGGTTCATCTGTGTCAGAGGGACACCTCTGCTTTAAGTACAGGAAACTGCATGGGAGGGGTGGACTCATACAGTCTCTTTGTGCCTCACCCAGAAAGCTCTCCAGATCCTCTGCCCTACAGGTGAGCTGGGTGGGAATAATTGGGGTTCCTCTATTCTTGGCCTATAACTCATAGCATGGAATCTCTGTCTCATAAGTGGAACTAGATGAAGAAAGGCATCCATGAAATCACAGACTGGAATTCACTCTCAACCACAGAGATCTGACACCACGGCCTCAACTGCGATCTGGGGGAGAGGAAGGACTCTCTGCTTGTCAGTTCAGCCCGAGATCAAGCTTCTGTCATCCTGAACTGGAAAGGAGAGGGTGATGCTCGTCTCTCAAGTATTGTGGGCCCTCACTGCCCTAGCTGAGACTTGATGTTTTAGCTGCTGTAAGAGAATAGTCTGGGTGGTTCAGATCAAGCATAAATGTATTTGTCACAATTCTGAAGGTCAGCAAGTGCAAGGCCAACATGCTTTGAAACTGGTATCTGGTGAGAACCTGCTTCCTCCTTCATAGTTGACCATCTTTCTACTTTTCCTTCACCTGGTGGAAGAGGAGAGGGAGCTTTCTGGAGTCTCTAACAAGGGCACTGATTCCATTCATGAGGGTGGATGGGGCCTAGTCATCTTCCAAAGGTGACCCATTCACTTACCAACGGCCCAACCTCGTAACACCATCACATTGGGGTTAGAATTCCAACAAATGTCTGAGGGCGGAAATAAACATTCAGTCTATAGCAGCACACTTTATCAATCAATGATTTTTATTTACTGTGCATCCTTAGAATAATTTGAATTGATTTTATATGTTTGGGTTATTACAATTTTTATCAGACGTTGTTGTTTCATCGGAAAGCTGAGGACTCTGGTAATAACACTTAGCTTAGGGCTCTAGTAATATCAGTTTCATAATAATAATAAGCTTTCATAATAATATTATAATAATTATATAATATTATAATTAATAATAATTAGTGTTAATAATAATAAGCTTATAATAATAATTAGCTTTCATAATAAGAATCAGTTTTCATCAGAAAGCTGAGGGCTCTGGTACTACCACTCTGGTAATAATTCTATTCGTATACTTGTTTGAAGCTTCCTCATTATGGCCATAAGCATTTCGAATGTTGCTCTCTGAAATCATTTGCCATGGTAGAATAAAATTGTTCCCCTCATAAGTATTATTATTTGCTCAGAAATACTCTTTTTATATTTTAATGTAGCCAACCCACCTTTCCTTTATTTGACTTTATTATGGTGCCTTTCCGTATGTTTTAAAGTTTGTAAGTGTATATTCATATATTTACCATGGCTCTGGATTTTAGGGAGAGCTTCCTGCAGCAGGGTGTGTTCTCACGTACAACTTTCCCTGCTTTCTACACACTGATCTGCACTCTGTCAAGTCTGGGTGTTCCTCCTGCCATCTATGGGGTTCACTCTCTGACAGTTTTCTGCAATCCACTTGCTATCCTGTGGTATCCACACTTCTTGGCCTACGTGGGTTTCCAGCTCCATTTTATTAATGCTAAATCCACATGGTTTCCACTCCAGCACTGTAGCCTGGCAACACCTTTGAGGAAGTATCTGAGCCTGCATTCACCGGAGGGCTCCTTATGCTTATTTCCTCTCTCTCTTAGTAATCACTGTCTTTGTTGAGTGGTGTCAAGCATCTTAAAATCCTGATTAAGAAATTTCACTGTGCTTTCCAGTAATTTCTGGTAGAAAGATACATCTGGTTTCTGTAGCTAAACCTTATTTGAAAGTGATCATCTTGCACATAAAAATTAGAATATATTTTATGAAGTCCACCAACATTTATCCTGGAATACATGTAGATATTAAAAAATTCAACACTAAATCCCAGGAGACATTATAAAATATATATATATATATGTCCTGATATTTCATATATATATCATACCTAATATTATATATATATGCACATACATATGTGAAGTATTTGGTAGAATTAATGTCATATATATATACCATATATCACTTACTATATATTATATACATAGTAATATATATAATATAGTTATATATATTGTATTTGGTAGATCTATCTATCTATCTATCTATCTATCTATCTATCCATCTCACACTTTTCCTACACCTCTCATAAAATGGATATTGACATGGTTTATAAATTAACTGGATAACAACAACACTGGTGCTATTTATTTTTCTGATACTTCACTAATAACTTATGAATTGACCAATTCTCACCTAGAAATTCTGACATGGTTTGGCTCTGTGTTTTCACCCAAAGCTAATACTGAATTGTAAACCCCAAGTGTCAGGCGAGGGGTCTGGTGAGAGGTGATTAGATTGTGGGAGTGGTTTCCTCCACGCTGTTCTCCTGATAGAGTTCTCAGGAGATTGGTTTGTCTGATAAGTTTCCGGCTCTTTATCCTGCTTCTCCTTCTCTCTCTCTCTCTCTCTCTCTCTCTCTCTCTCTCTCTCTCTCTCTCTCTCTCTCTCCATCCTGCTGCCTTGTGAAGAAGGGACTTGCTTCCCCTTCACCTTCCACCATAATTGTAAGTTTCCTGAGGCTCCCCAGCCATGCAGAACTGTGAGTCCATTAAACCTCTTTCCTTTACGAATTACCCGGTCTCAGGTGATGTCTTTACAGCAGTGTGAGAAAGAAATAATACAGACCCTTTCGTATGAAATGTAATTTTTTAATTAAATAAACATTTCTACCATGAGATAAAACAGTCTTCATGGTGACTAACTATGCGTGTTGATTTTGACATGAGAACCATCATGCTGTAGATGACGGCATTCTCAGAAAAAATGACCCAGGTTCAAGGAGTTAATGGCAGAGTCATATTTACCTCGTTTTGCTCTGTATATATATAATATGTATAAAATGTATATATATAAATGTATATAAATATATATAAATGTATATATATAAATGTATATATATAATCTGTAACTCATAACTTTCTTATATATACAGATTATATATATATAATCTGTATATATAATGTATATAGATAGATATAATCTGTATATATATACAGATTATATCTATCTCTCTCTATATATAGTGGATAGTCTACTTATATATATACATATAGTGGTTGATATACTTAGGCTTGGATGCTCTTAAGCAAAAGAAAACAACCCAAGCTTCTAGTCAGAGGTTCTCTGGCTGTTTCCTCGCTGCACCTGCTCCTAAATGGTGCTCTGCCTTGAGTGAGTTCTGAGCATCTCCTGCTGGTCCTCATGATGCCCATGCAGTCCAAATAAAGGGATGGGGTTGGGGAATCTGCTTTTGAGACACCCAGTCCTATGTCTGGCTCCTGGCCAGGAATTCTGCCAAGCCTGGGGGCTGCTCCTTGGATGTCTCCTGTGCAACCTCGCCTGTGCACTGAGCATCCTCACAACAAGGTGACAGGTTCATCATCACAGACATTACTGCAGGCAATTTTCAGCAAATCTAATTGTAGTTTGATGATATAATTCAGAAATCATGTTCATTGGGGTGTGACTGACATATCCCCACACAACAAACACACACACTGCATGGACATTCATTTACATTTCCCCAAAACTAGACACATTTTGTATTATTCCTGATGAGTTCATAAACTTCTGAGATTTGAATCAGAGTCTAAAACATAACATTTTCTATAACCCAATTTACAAATGAATAAGATGAGAAAATGGGGTCAGAAAAATCAAGATTGAGTTATTACCGCAGTCTAATGGTGGTAAGTTACATAATGAAGCTGCGATGAGATAGGCTTCTGAGTGCTCTAATTGTTAAACTCTCAATTACAGCTGACCAGTAATCTCTGGCCATGGGTAAGCTAGAGGTTCCCCACATGGGAAAGCTCTCTGACTCCATAAAACTTCACTGGGCTTCTCTGCAGGCTGTGAGCTGAGCAGACTCCTACCCCAGATTCTGCAGTCAGGCAAATCTCTGCTTTTTCCCGGGGACACAAGAGATAGTGTGGATAAGGGCCAGACAGGCTCTACTCAAGGTCTCTGCACACGGAGAAAAACCAGTGAAAGTGGAAAATGCATGTTCTTGATTCATTGAACAATATCTATGAAAAATGCAACTCTGTGTCAGCATATCATGCAGAATTACAAATGAATGCAATTAAAATAACTGAAAATTACAATTGTTTGCAGGCTCACATTTGTTCATGTATTTTCCAATAAAACACAGTAAAAGCAGGTGTTCTTTATAGAAATCCAAAACAGTGTGTTGTCCCTGAGGATGCACCTCCCTGCCTTTTCCTACAGGCAGCAAAATGCAGGTGGGTCAGGTTCCCAGCAGCTGCTTTCTGACATCTGTGGCATGGCGTGTGCTGAAGCCCATGTCCTGTGGTCTACTCTAATGAAATGACTGACTCCTCAGGGATTCCTAAGCAGAGCCATTTCTGGGAGTCATGGGGATCACCTGAGAGGCAGCACTGACTTGCACAAAACTCAATTATATTTTGCACTTCCTTGCACAGCACACAAATATAGGGACCTTCCACCCAATCCAGCTTCCCCCTCTCCTTCACTCAGGGACAGGCTTCCACCATGTGCCATCAGCTTCCCAGCCTCATTCCACCCCCTGTGCATTTTCTCTCAAAGGGATGAATGTATTTCTCACAACGGATGGATTATTCATGAGTCCCCTGGGCAATTCCTGAAGCTGAGGTTTCCTCCCCTCCTTTGTAGACCATGCAGGGAAACTTCCTGATGTTACCATGACATGTGTAAACGGTCATGCACTAGGGGGAGTGTCTTTTAGCATGTTAAGGCAATACAATAAGCATATAATGAGTAGTGAGGATGAATAGAGATCACTTTCGTGACTGTCTTGGTTTTGGTGGGCTGTGGCCAGCTTCTTTACTGTAACCTTCATCAGCAAGGTCTTTATGACCTGGATCCTGTGCAGACCTCCTATCTCATCCTGTGACTAAGAACGCCTTAGCTTACTGGGAACGTAGCCCAGCAGGTCTCAGTCTTATTTTTCCTAGCCCCTATTCAAGATGAAGCTGTTCTTATTCAAAAGCTTCTGACATAACAACAACGTAGCAAAAGTATTTATAATATGAGCACGACTATATTGCCAAATATATAATAAAATATTATAATGGCAACAATTAATTTTATGTGTCACCTTGACTAGACCACAGTCTCATCTACTCAATCACACACTAGCTTAGGTGTTGCTCCCATGGCATAACACAGGTGTTAGTAGAGCCTCCCATTATTTTTTCGTAAGTCACGAAGAGTGTTCTAGATAACCTAGGTGGGGCTGATTCAATCAGGGCATAATAGAAGACGATGGGACTCCATGGTGGACGGCAGATGCAGGTCTTCCCAGGAATTCCAGCCTGTCTTTCCTGAAGGCCAGCAGTATTGACCTTAGGCTGCCTAGCCAGGCCCTACTATTGTTACCCAGAGCTCACAGCACAATGGAGTGTCCATCCTCAGCTCTCCTCAAAGTCACGGGTGAGAGTCCAAACTCTGTGACAGTGTGAGAAGCACAAGATCAGCTCTACATCAGTATCCCATTGGAGAAAACTAGTATTATTCCCTTCATGACTAATGTCCACTTCATCTTCCAAACATCTCTGTTCACAGACGACAACAGGAGAGTCCAGACAATGGTGAGTGAGAAAGTCCCCGTAGCCTACCCAGGTCCTGCAGACCTGAGCCCTGGAATTTAGACTACAGAAAACACATCCTCAGTTTTCGGGGAAGAGAAGAAAGGGAATTGTGAGAATCAAGTATGCAGAGAAGGAAAATGGATTAGCAGAAAGGGGGTCAAGTGAATCAGTCTGAGTCATATGTACACAGTTTTACAAGACCAGGGGGGATAGCTGTGAAAACCATCAGGCTTTAAGGACCCTGACCCTGTGTGAGCGTCTCTCTTGGCTCCTATCAGAACTCAAAGCCTGTTCTAATCAGAGATTCCCGTGGAGGTCGCTGCCCTGAGTCTAACTGGCAAACACTCTTCGGGTTCCCCTGAGATTCCTCGGAACTTTCATCCTGCTGACCACAGAAGGATCATCTGCCCCCAAAGTGACACTGTGGTTTCTGTGGAGGTGAGGGTGTGTCCTCCTGTTACAAAAACAAAGAAACAAAAAGGACAAAAAAGTTTTACATTTAGAGACATGAAATGTCAGTACAGAATTGTAAATCTGGAGAAGTTCCCTGGGGAAATTTGACAATGAGGCCGCCGCAGGCCATGACAGGAAGCCAGCCCTCAGCAGCACCTGCACCTGCCCTGGAGACAGCCCCGTGCACAGTGTCCCGGGCGCCCCCTGGTGGTCCTGGGGACCCCTGCAGGGAGGTTTGTGTCTGGGCTCACACTGACTTCCCCTCACTGTGTCTCTCGCACAGTAATACACAGCCGTGTCCTCGGCTCTCAGGCTGTTCATTTGCAGATACAGTGAGTTCTTGGCGTTGTCTCTGGAGATGGTGAATCGGCCCTTCACTGAGTCTGCGTAGTATATGTAACTACTACTACTACTAATGGATGAGACCCACTCCAGCCCCTTCCCTGGAGCCTGGCGGACCCAGTTCATGCTATAGCTACTGAAGGTGAATCCAGAGGCTGCACAGGAGAGTCTCAGGGACCCCCCAGGCTTGACCAGGCCTCCCCCAGACTCCACCAGCTGCACCTCACACTGGACACCTGCAAACAGAGAGACATTGGTCAGAAACTGTCACACACATCCACCGTTTCTCTCACTCATATCCACACACACTAAATCTCTCTACTTTTCCATGATTCACCTTCTAAAATAGCAACAAGGAAAACCCAGCGGAGCCCCAGTTCCATGGTGAATCCTCGGTGCTCAGTGCTGATCACCAAGTGGATAGGCCTTGGAATCCAGGGCTAAGGCTCCTCTCTCAGAGCTGCAGGGTCAGGGTTCGGTTGGTTTTCATCAGTAGAGGGAGGTCCCTATTTGCATATCTCCTACTATATAACAAGCTCTAGGGTGGGACGCTGGAGGAATAGGCTGTACCCAGATAATAAGACGGTGCCCTGCAGATGTTTGCTGACGATGGTATTTGGAAAATATGCTGTCTTATGAAATTGTGCTGTGATAAACACTTTGCCCTGATCACCCTATTTCATCTGTAAATATTTGTGTAAATTATGTTCTGTAGGAGTCAATATTTTCTCCTTTTACAGAAGTGGAAGTAAACCCACAAGTGGAGGGGGCTCTGTATGCATCCAGGAGTTCATGTCTGGGATAAGTGAACGCTGGTATCTGGCCCTGTGCTCCTCGTCACTGGCTGTGACATCCCCCTAAACCAACTCCAGGACAAAGCTGGACGTGCCTGGTGTGGTTTTCAGAACCCACTTTCTGTAGTAAGAGCATGTGTGATGTTGCCACCAGCACTCACCTGAAAATATGGAGAGAACTAGGGTCCAGACACACTAATTTTCAGATACTTCTGACATTTAACATATGTTTGTATCTTTCTATTACTCCGTGCTTGTCTAAATTTCCATTTGCTTGTAATACATTTTATGTGGCTTAATTGAAAGATAATAAACTTCACATATTTAAAATGTACAATTAATAAACGTGATGTAACTGTCGTCATTATCAAGAAAGTGGACAAGTGAATTCTTCTCAACACTTCCTCTTATTCTGCTGTATTCCTCCTCCTCTCCCCTTCCCTTCTACCATTTCCCCCAGCAACTACTGATCCTCATTATTTTACTTCAGATGCATTTTTTATTCATCAGCATTTATAAAAATGAAATGACATAGTATATATTCTTATTTGTTTGGCATATTTTACTCGGTATAAATACTTAGATATTTTATGTTGTTCTGTGTGTCAGGCATTTATTTATTATAAATGACGGGTAGTATTCCAGTGAACACATTTACCAGCATTTGTTTTTCTGTTAAGCAGCTTAACAGTATTTGCAGTCTTTTATGACTCTGGGTCTTACCAAAAAAAGCTGCAACTCAGTTTTGAAACGTACATAGATGAGGAATATATTCTACTTACTTTTTACAATAACAACATCAACAATATCAGGTAAACAGAGAAAATGGGATTTTGCAAAGTTTTAAAAATACTTTAAATACTTGAAGTTTTAAGAAAAACATCAAATCTGAAATGCAGGGAGAGGCAAGTTCTTGTAGGCAGTAACAAGGCCAGGATATGAGCTGAACTGGGCAGAGTCTGGCATGTAAAATGTAGGCTACTACAAGAGAAAAACACACATATATATATTGGGTTGCTTGAAGTCAAGTGTGGTAAAAGGTGTTGTATGAATTTCTCAGGGACCACATACTGAAGAGCTTTCCTATCCTCTTGAATCAGTTTTCCCAATAATGTGGAGAGTTACAAAAATCTTTCCGTGCCAATGTGTCTGTCTGTGAGAGAAAAAGAACCCACACTTTGAAATGCATTCAGACTCACCTCCTTTATCCCCATTGCAGAACTAAGAAATTACTCTGCAGGGGCAAGCCACCAAAACCAGGATCTTAGGGGCACTGGGACAATCCCTTAGAAAATGAGATGGAAAAAGAGGTCTTTACTTAAGTTCCATTGAGAAGTACCTCCCCCTTTCATACTGAATCAGAGCCTTAATCTATGGGTCAGGTCAGCAAATCTGGAAGATGATAACACCAAAAGAGAACATTGGAGCTGTGGGAGGGAACAACTGGGGAAAACAAGAGGACTCTCACCCAGGGAAAACAGCAAGAACACACAGACCAACATCTCATCTGGAGGGAGTTCAGAAACAATGGAAAGGTCACACCCAGACTCAGGATCACAATATGGACCCATGAAAGGTCAGAAAATATCCCTTTATTCTAAATATCCCTTTATTCTATGACAATTTTACAATTGTCAGTTGAATATAACATCTTAACCCCCCTGAAGGAACTGAAGGAGATTCTCTGGAGGAGGGAACAGGTGAAGAGACAAAGCCAAGCAGGAAAGAAAAACAAGGTATCACTGGAGGATCTGAAGTCTCTGTCGGGCACAGAAGAACAGACTTCAACTCTGACGTCCACTGCAAAAGTAAATGTCAAATGTAGCTCTGAGAAGATTCAGACATTTCCACATTAAAGGCCTGGCAAAGATAAAGTGTGGTCAAATACAGGCAGAAAATGGATAAAATGAAATAATAAGATAATATCAACTGTCTGACCCAACATGTCTGGTTATCAACAACAATTATTACCTATATTAATGAGAAATACTAAAGTCACAATAAACAAATGTTCAGAATGAGATTTGTAAATGATACAGATATTAGAAATATCTGATTAAACAAGATATGTAAAGTAACTGTAATTCATATGTGAGAATCTCTTCAAGAAACTGTGGACATAATGCAGGACTAGATAGGGAACTGAGAGATATAAATATTAAGAAAGAATCAAATGGAAGTGCATAAGAAACCAAAAGCAATGCAGTATAAACATTGAGCAAACTTTGGGCATACCCCTCAGTAGAGCTGGCTCAGCTTTTAAATGAAACCATGCACTTAAATTGTCTCTAGAAAATTCACAATGTAAATTGCAAAGGAACAGAGACTGAAGAAACTAAACATTAATATCAAAAAGTGTAGTATATGTATATTTTAATTCTGAAAAGGAGAAATTGCAGATAAAGAGAAAGTATTTGAAAAAGTAATGGCTAAGAATGTTCCCAATTTTTTGAAACACACTGAACTACAGATCCTAGAATCACAGAGAACCCCTAGCAGAGGAAACACAAACAGACACAGACACACACACCACACATCCACCATGGACAGTGTGGTTACAAGAAAAAGCTCACACATCACACACCACACACACATTTCCTCAACTTTATTCCTTTTACTTAGCTGTTCTAAAATTATTTTTATTTATAGTATTAAGTAGAAGTCTAAGTTTAAAATATATTATTCTTTGCATAAGTCTGTCTATACTTACCATGATCAAATACACAGTTTGGTGCAAAAGAATGTAACTATTTTGTTAGGAATTTAACTATTTCAAATAAAAATGTTATATTTTCCTGGCTCTGTGTTGAATCATTTGTAATGTATGCAAATAAAATCTTTTTTAATTAAAGGATTTTTTAAGTTGGCAGATAATGATTGTTTATATTTATGGGGTACAGTGTGATATTTCAATACATCTGTGCAATGTGGTTTGACCAAATCAGAACAACGAGCTAATTCATCAGCTCAGACATTAACATTTCTTTGCTTGGTAGCATACAAAATTCTCTCTTCTGGCTACTTGTAAACATAAAGTGTACAATATATTGTTAACTGTAGTCACCCTTCTGCACTGTAGGGCACTAGAGCGTATCCCACCTGTCTACCTGTAATTGTGCATTTGTTAACAAACCACTTCTTATCTCTCGGTCTCCACCCATTTCTGATATTTCATAACCACTACTCTACTATTTCCTTCTAGAAGATGAACTTTCTTAAACTTCTACATAACATTGAGAAAATGAGGTATTTTTTTTTCTGTGTCTGGCTTGTTTCACTCAACACAACGGTTCCCAGTTACATCCATGTTGTTTCAAACAGCGGAATTTCATTTTTAAGGCTGAATAATATTCCATTGTGTAAATATACCCCGTTTTATTTACCCATTCACGTTTTGATGGACACATACATTAATTTCATATCGTAATTGTGTTTAGGGCTGCAATAAATATGGGTCGACAGGTATCTCTTCAATATTAGTTTTTTCTTTTAATTTTATATATATATATATATATATATATATATATATATATATATATATACACACACACACTCAGCAGTTGCATTGCTGATTTATATGGTAGTTGTCTTTTTTTTCCCATGATGGCTGTACTAATTTACATTTCCACAAGTGGTCTATAAAAGTGTTCATTTCCATGAAGCCTGGCCAGCTTTTGTTTTCCTTATGTTGTCTTTCTGCTAACAGACTTTCCAGCAAAGATTAAGGAAAGATAGCTCATTGTGAATTTGCATTTTCCTGATATTAGTTATTTCTAGCAATATATGTATGTATATATCCCTATCGATCTATCTATCTATCCTTTGCATGTCTTCCTCTGAGAGACGTTTATCCATGTTATTCGCCCATTATTAATCATATTGTTATTTGCAGTTCAGTTGAGTTTATGTGCTTGATAGTAATCCCTTGTCATATGAATAGTTTTGAATATTGTCTATCATCTGCAGGTTCTCTCCTCCTTCAATTGTTTTCTTTACTGTGCTGGAGGTAAACTTCCTTGATAGAACCAGGACAGGTGGTCTGAGGTGCTGCAGGACATTGCAGGGGAAGAGATGGACCCCATATCCAGAACCGTGTGAGCTTTTACTCACCATGTGGTTTGTTTTCTGAGTTTATGGTATGAACAGATGCAGAAGAGTTTGTCACGGGCTTCTGGGGGTTGAAGAATTTTAAGGGAGAATGATACATCTTATTAGTCAAATAAATAAAAATCTCATAATTGTGTATATGTACTTGTGAGTGGGGGTCACTCAGCAGTGTGTGTTCATCCCCTGAAAAGAGAAAAATATGTCTCCTGTGGAAAGAAGACATAGGTTTTGACATACGTGGTTATTATTGATGACAACTGAGCCTGGATACTAGATCATGTTATAATGCTAGTGGGAAGATTCAATAGAAGAAAGAATGTCATAGCAACAAAAAATGAAGCATCAAAGATTTAAATGAAATGACTTTGAATATTACTGGTAATGAACACACCAAGAAAAATCCATTACTATAACCAGAAGAATAATTCATGATCCCCCATGGGATTCAGCTGAAATGATATAAAATTTCCATTAAATGGCTCATCACCACCCTCATAAAATGGTTCAGAGAACAAACTAAGAACAGAGTGCGACCTTACAGCAAGTGGAGGCCAAACATTTGGGAGAGAGAGAGTCTATGTTGGAATCGTGAGAAGTAGAAACCTGAACTCTGCAGAGAAGCAGCAGTGATCAAAGGCAGTGCTGAGTCCACTTGAATTTAGTGTTGAATACATGATGATGGGTTTCTCTACCCTCATTCAGTTTTTGCTCCCAATACGCTCTTGGAAGCTTAGTTGTGAACATTTGGAATCTACCTAAATCTCAATCACGGCAAGCAATTTTTCACTGAAGAAAGAGGTAACAATTTGGGGGAAATTAAATTTAGGTTATAAATATTAGTTTTTGAAACCTCAATGTCACTCTCTAGTAACTTATATCATAAAATACTCAGCCTCATCAATGGAATCCTCTTATCCTATCAGGGGTGAGTGTCCATGTGGGCAGGAGGTGCAGTCATGGAGGCCGGGGAGATGGTCTGTCCAGGCTTTCCTGGTCCTTCAGAGGAGAAGTGCAGACTCATCTCCTCCCCTAGTCCTACCAATTTTCATATATGTGTGTGGACCTTGAGAATGTCATTGCCATATCTCTACATAATAGGAGTAAAATGGGGCATGAAGCTGATATGCTGGGTGTATCAGTGTTGAATTGGGAAAAGAAATTACCTGCATACATGAAGTGTTCCATTATCCAGGCCTGGAGCCTCTCACATCTAGGCTTTGCATTTTATTAGTGATTTTCTGTGTTGTTTAGTCCGTTCAAATGTTCTTTTTAAGTTTCTACTGAAATTGACTCACATAATAATCTAGAGGCACAAAGATTAAAGAATGACTTATTTGGAAATTAACCTAGGTTCCAGGTGGGGTCATAGTTAGTTTGTGGTGATAGTGAGACAGGGAGAAGCATAGCTGGAAACTGACTGTGCTCAAAAATGCTTCATGTTAATAGAGGAGACCCTGTACACACAAGACATTTAGACACTCCCACTGAGAACCTCGACCTAATATTATTTCTTATGACTTGCACCTCAATAGTACAACTCTAGGTTAATGACTAAAATTGCTCTTACTAATGTAAGATTTCCTTTAGAACACAGTCCTCTATCTGATATAAAATCAGCCCAGATGGCAGAAGTGATTGTATTTATTAGAACTTTCTAATTTGTCAAACTAGGAAATAAACACCTTTTGGCACAGTACATGGCTTTGGGGTGCTTTGTAAACAAAAGAGCATCTCATAGGTTCCAGAACACTCACCAAAATGGGCAAGTTAGGGGACTCTTAGAGGCACTCCTATATCCCAGATTCCGGGCAAATATAAAGGTGGAAGTCAAGGCAAAAAGAGGTAACACTGAAGCTAAGAGAACTGCCACGCCAGATCATATCCTCAGAAGACAAAACTGCTGAGAGAGACATGGGTGTTATCAAAAATATCAACGCTTAGCTGATGATCTTAAATACAAATGAATGAAAAAACATCATTATCGACTTTGCTTAGATAATTTGTGCCAGATTATTTCAAATGAAATTTGTTGCATTTCAACTCTATAATTTATAGACAAACTGGTTATCAGATTAAATAAACACTTTGAGGAAACAGCAGAGGTTAATTCTTGATGAGGAGTGACGAGCTAGCCACAAAATCCTGGAAGAACCCTAACACTGGGACTTAGACAGAAACCAAGTCACAGGGCCCTTTGGACACCTTTGGGTAAATTTTCCTCAATTTCTACCCTTAAGGGGATGTGAATGTATTTTATTTATCATCCATCTGTGTTCTCCGTGTCTTGAAATAATTCCTTGAGAAAAGGCTACAGCTCTTTCAGTTGATTAAAAGCTTCTGTATTTTGTGTTTTTAGCCTGTAAACTGCCAGGGTTTGCATGAACTGAGTGAAGAACACCCATGAAAGTATTATAAAGTGATTATGTGAGGCATGGCTGATAGTAAAGGACAACATTGTGAAAACCTCCTACAATCTTCCACATAAGTTTAAAAGAATGGTATTCTTACATTAAAATTATCATAATTTTAATAAACCCTGGAACTCCCTTGGACAAATGTACTGCTACTAACACTGTGGCATTATGGTCCTCTACCTCAAGGACGTATCTGCTATTGTCCTATGACTTGGTAGCTGGAAAAAATTCATTTAGAGGTTTTACCTCCAATACTAGCCTTTGCCACACTGCATTTGGATGAGGCAGAACACTCAAAGAGATCATGTATTATGCTCACTCCTATCATGAACAGATTAAAGCTGCCATTCTAGTATGTCTTTTTAGCAACAGCCTCTTATAATATTCAGCCAGAAAAATTTATACGCTGGAAAAAATTTTGGAGAAAAAGTTTTCTTGAAACACTGGAAGGAATCATATTAATCTTTTTATTATACTTTTAAGTTCTAGGGTACATGTGCACAACGTGCAGGATTTTTACATATGTATACATGTGCCATGTTGGTGTGCTGCACCCATTAACTCCTCATTTACATTAGGCATATATCCTAATGGTATCCCTCCCCACTACCCCCACCCCATGACAGGACCCAGTGTGTGATGTTCCCCATCCTGTGTCCAAGTGTTTTCATTGTTCAATTCCCACTTATGAGTGAGAACATGCAGTGTTTGGTTTTCTGTCCTTGTGATAGTTTGCTCAGAATGATGGTTTCCAGCTTCATCCATGTCCCTACAAAGGACATGAACTCATCATTTTTTATGGCTGCATAGTATTCCATGGTGTATATGTGCCACATTTTCTAAATCCAGTCTATCATTGATGGACATTTGGGTTGGTTCCAAGTCTTTGCTATTGTGAATAGTGCTACAATAAACATATGTGTGCATGTGTCTTTACAGCAGCATGATTTATAATCCTATGGGTATATACCCAATAGTGAGATGGCTGGGTCAAATGTTATTTCTTGTTCTAGATCCTTGAGGAATCGCCATACTGTCTTCCACAATGGTTGAACTAGTTTACAGTCCCACCAACAGTGTAAAAGTGTTCCTATTTCTCCACATCCTCTCCAGCACCTGTTGTTTCCTGACTTTTTAATGATCACCATTCTAACTGGTGTGAGATGGCATCTCATTGTGGTTTTGATTTGCATTTCTCTGATGGTCAGTGATGATGAGCATTTTTACATGTGTCTGTTGGCTGCATAAATGTCTTCTTTTGAGAAGTGTCTGTTCATATCTTTCACCCACTTTTTGATGGGGTTGTTTGATTTTTTCTTGTAAATTTGTTTAAGTTTTTTGTAGATTCTGGATATTAACCCTTTGTCAGATGGGTAGATTGTAAAAATTTTCTCCCATTCTGTAGGCTGCCTGTTCACTCTGATGGTAGTTTCTTTTGCTGTGCAGAAGCTCTTTAGTTTAATTAGATCCCATTTCTCCATTTTGGCTTTTGTTGCCATTGCTTTTGGTGTTTTAGTCATGAAGTCCTTGCCCAAGCCTATGTCCTGAATGGTATTGCCTAGGTTTTCTTCTAGGGTTTTTATGGTTTTAGATCTAACATTTAAGTCTTTAATCCATCTTGAATTAATTTTTGTATAAGGTGTAAGGAAGGGATCCAGTTTAAGCTTTCTACATATGGCTAGCCAGTTTTCCCAGTACCATTTATTAAATAGGGAATCCTTTCCCCATTTCTTGTTTTGTCAGGTTTGTCAAAGATCAGATGGTTGTAGATGTGTGGTATTATTTCTGAGGGCTCTGTTCTGCTCCATTGATCTATATCTCTGTAGTGGTACCAGTACCATGCTGTTTTGATTACTGTAGCCTTGTAGTATAGTTTGAAGTGAGGTAGCGTGATGCCTCCAGCTTTGTTCTTTTGGCTTAGCATTGTCTTGGCAATGTGGTCTCTTTTTTGGTTCCATATGAACTTTAAAGTAGTTTTTTACAATTCTGTGAAGAAAAGTCATTGGTAGCTTGATGGGGATGGCATTGAATCTATAAATTACCTTGGGCAGTATGGCCATTTTCATGATATTGATTTTTCCTATCCATGAGCATGGAATGTTCTTCCATTTGTTTGTATCCTCTTTTATTTCATTGAGCAGTGGTTTGTAGTTCTCCTTGAAGAGGTCCTTCACGTCCCTTGTAAGTTGGATTCCTAGGTATTTTATCCCCTTTGAAGCAATTGTGAATGGGAGTTCACTCATGATTTGACTCTCTGTCTGTTATTGGTGTATAGGAATGTCTGTGATTTTTGCATACTGATTTTGTATCCTGAGACTTCGCTAAACTTGCTTATCAGCTTAAGGAGATTTTGGGCTGACACTATGGGGTTTTCTAAATATACAACCTTGTCATCTGCAAACACGGACAGTTTGACTTCCTCTTTTCCTAATTGAATACCCTTTATTTCTTTCTCCTGCCTGATTTCCCTGGCCATACTTCCAACACTATGTTGAATAGGAGTGGTGAGAGAGGGCATCCCTGTCTTGTGACAGTTTTCAAAGGGAATGCTTCCGGTTTTTGCCCATTCAGTATGATATTGGCTGTGGGTTTGTCATAAAAAGCTCTAATTATTTTGAGATAAGTCCCATCAATACCCAGTTTATTGAGAGTGTTTAGCATGAAGGGCTGTTGAATTTTGTCGAAGGCCTTTTCTGCATCTATTGAGATAATCATGTGATTGTGATCTTTGGTTCTGTTTATATGATGGATTACGATTATTGATTTGCATATGTTGAATCAGCCTTGCATCCTAGGGATGAAACAAACTTGATTGTGGTGGATAAGCTTTTTGATGTGCTGCTGGATTTGGTTTGCCAGTATTTTATTGAGGATTGTTGCATCGATGTTCATCAGGGATATTGGTCTAAAATTCTCTTTTTTTGTTGTTGTGTCTCTGCCAGGCTTTGGTATCAGGATGAGGCTGGCCTCATGAAATGAGTTAGGGAGGATTCCCTCTTTTTCTGTTGATTGGAATGCTTTCAAAAGGAATGGTACCAGCTCCTCTTTGTACCTTTGGTAGAGTTTGGCTGTGAATCCGTCTGGTCCTGGACTTTTTTTGTTTGGTAGGCTATTAATTATTGTCTCAATTTCAGAGCCTGTTATTGGTCTATTCAGGGATTCAACTTCTTCCTGATTTGGTCTTAGGAGGGTGTATGTGTCCAGGAATTTATCCATTTCATCTAAATTTTCTAGTTTATTTGCGTAGAGGTGTTTATAGTATTCTGTGATGGTAGTTTGTATTTCTGTGGGATCGGTGGTGATATCCCCTTTATCATTTTTTATTGCATCTATTTGATTCTTCTCTCTTTCTTCTTTATTAGTCTTGCTAGTGGTCTATCAATTTTGTTGATCTTTTCCAAAGACCAGCTCCTGGATTCATTGATTTTTTTGAAGGGTTTTTTGTGTCTCTATCTCCTTCAGTTCTGCTCTGATCTTAGTAATTCCTTGTGTTCTGCTAGCTTTTGAATGTGTTTGCACTTGCTTCTCTAGCTCTTTTAATTGTGATGTTAGTTTCAATTTTAGATATTTCCTGCTTTCTCTTGTGGGCATTTAGTGCTATACATTTCCCTTTAAACATTGCTTTAAATATGTCCCAGACATTCTGGTATGTTGTGTCTTTGTTCTCATTGGTTTCAAAGAACATCTTTATTTCTGCCTTCATTTCATTATGTACCCAGTAGTCATTCAGGAGCAGATTGTTCAGTTTCCATGTAGTTGAGCAGTTTTGAGTGAGTTTCTTAATCCTGAGTTCTAGTTTGATTGCACTGTGGTCTGAGAGACAGTTTGTTATAATTTGTGTTCTTTTACATTTGCTGAGGAGTGTTTTACTTCCAACTATGTGGTCAATTTTGGAATAAGTGCAATGCGGTGTTTGGAAGAATGTATATTCTGTTGATTTGGGGTGGAGAGTTCTGTAGATGTCTATTAGGTCCTCTTGGTGCAGAGCTGCGTTCAATTCCTGGATATCCTTTTTAACTTTCTGTCTCGTTGATCTGTCTAATGTTGACAGTGCGGTGTTAAAGTCTCCCATTATTATTGTGTGGGAGTCTAAGTCTCTTTGTAGGTCTCTAAGGACTTGCTTTATGAATCTGGGTGCTCCTGTATTGGGTGCATATGTATTTAAAATAGCTCTTCTTGTTGAATTGATCCCTTTACCATTATGTAATGGCCTTCTTTGTCTCTTCTGATATTTGTTGGTTTAAAGTCTGTTTTATCAGAGACTGGAATTGCAACCCCTGCTTTTTTTGTTTGTTTGCTTTCCATTTGCTTGGTAGATCTTCCTCCATCCCTTTATTTTGAGCCTATGTGTGTCTCTGCATGTCAGATGGGTCTCCTGAATACAGCACACTGATGGGTCTTGACTCTTTATCCAATTTGCCAGTCTGTGTCTTTTAATTGGAGCATTTAGCCCATTTACATTTAAGGTTAATATTGTTATCTGTGAATTTGATCCTGTCATTATGATGTTAGTTGGTTATTTTGCTCGTTAGTTGATGCAGTTTCTTCCTAGCATCGATGGTCTTTACAATTTGGCATGTTTTTGCAGTGGCTGGTACTGGCTGTTCCTTTCCATGTTTAGTGCTTCCTTCAGGAGCTCTTGTAAGGCAGGCCTGGTGGTGACAAAATCTATCAGCATTTGTTTGTCTGTAAAGGATTTTATTTCTCCTTCACTTATGAAGCTTAGTTTGGCTGGATATGAAATTCTGGTTTGAAAACTCTTTTCTTTAAGAATGTTGAATATTGACCCCCACTCTCTTCTGGTTTGTAGAGTTTCTGCTGAGAGATCCACTTTTAGTCTGATGGGCTTCCCTTTGTGGGTAACCCGACATTTCTCTCTGCCTGCACTTAACATTTTTTCCTTCATTTCAACTTTGGTGAATCTGACAATTATGTGTCTTGTAGTTGCTCTTCTCGAGGAGTATCTTTGTGGTGTTCTCTGTATTTCTTGAATTTGAATGTTGGCCTCCCTTGCTAGGTTGGGGAAGTTATCCTGGATAATATCCTGAAGAGTGTTTTCCAACTTGGTTCTATTCTCCCCGTCACTTTCAAGTACACAAATCAGACATAGATTTGGTCTTTTCACATACTCCCATATTTCTTGGAGGCTTTGTTCATTTGTTTTTACTCTTTTTTCTCTAAACTTCTCTTCTCACTTCATTTCATTCATTTGATCTTCAATCACTGGTAACCTTTCTTCCAGTTGATCTAATCATCTACTGAAGCTTGTTCATGTATCATGTATTTCTCGTGCCATGGTTTTAAGCTCCATCAGGTTATTTAAGGTCTTCTCTATGCTGTTTCTTTTAGTTAGCTATTTGTCTAATCTTTTTTCAAGGTTGTTAGCTTCTTTGCAATGGGTTTGAACATCCTCCTTTAGCTCAGAGTAGTTTGTTATTGCCAATTGTCTGAAGCCTTCTTCTCTCAATTTGTCAAAGTCATTCTCTGTCCAGCTTTGTTCTGTTGCTGGCGAGGAGCTGTGTTCCTTTGGAGGAGAAGAGGTGCTCTGATTTTTAGAATTTTCAGCTTTTCTGCTCTGGTTTCTCCCCATCTTTGTGGTTTTATCTACCTTTGGTCTTTGATGATAATTTTTATCAATACAGCAGTAAAACTCCATGGAGTCAGTCCCTGAGATATTTTTTAAAAACTCAATAAGGAATTGAAATTTCCACACAATTAGAAGCTACTCCCATAGAGAGAATTTTTACTTACTGAATTAATAGACCAACCTTCACTAAGAGGCACTCTCCCATGGGATCCCAAACTTAAACAGATCTCTGTAACCTGCTGACATCTCAATGCACTTTTTCTCTAGATAGCTATAAATGCAAAGGCAAATTTTGTGTATTTGTGCATGAGTGATCTGAACACACCCTTGGCATTTTAACTAAATTTCATGGAAACATGATTACTTACTGTGAACTCACATTTCATGGCATTCAAAAATTCATCACCCTTATGATGGGGTGACAATATGTGCCTCAGAGAATATGCTGATGCTTCACTTGAACAAATTCTAGACTCCTCCCTTGACTTCATAGTTTCTTACTCAGTACAGATGTGTCTATGACCAAAACCCAACACTGATATCCAGCACTTTCTCCTCTTGTGAAATTTATTTTTTCTCATTGTTGGCCTGACTCTCTCTCTCTCTCCCTCTCTCTCTCTCTATCATTCTTTTTCTTGCCTTCTCATAATGATTTTCTGTATCATTCTGAAACCCGCCAACAGTATGCATCTGGAATCACGCCAATTACCAGCCTTAAAAAGAAAAATGTGCAAAGTCATAATTTTCTTAACAAGGTTAGAAAACTTCCTGCATTTCCACCAGGCTCATTAGAGACTCCCAGTGAGAATCATGGTCAAACATTATTTGTTTTTGGATCATACCTCAAAACTGAAACTGCTTTTTATAATGGTTATTCCTATTGCATTTCCACTATTGTACAAAGTAATATGAAGACTCCAAAATAAATTAAAAATAGAAATACCTGATGACGTGGCAAATCCTCTTCTGGGTATGTTCTGAAGAAGATAAAATCACCGCCTCATAAAGGCATGTGCACTCCATGTTCTTTGCAGCTCTACTCACAATAGCCCAGATATGAAAGCACCTCAGTGTCTGCAGGTGGGCAAATGGATAGAGAAAATGTAATCTATGTACGCAATAGAATATTATTCAGCCATAAAATACGATATCTTGTCATTTGCAACAATATGAATGGAACTGGAAGCCGTTATGTTAAGTTAAATAAGCCAAGCAAAGAAAGACAAATATGGCATCTTCTTACTTTTATGTCAAAACTAAAAAATTGGATTTCCTGAAGACGAAGAGTAGATTGTTGGTTACCAGAAGCCTGGGTGGATACAAGAGAGAAGGGGATAAAGAGAGGTTGATTACTGAATTCAGATACATAGTTATATAGGAGAAATAAAACCTAAATGTCTGATAGATCAGTAAGGTGACTATAGTTAAAAATAATCTAATGTACACGTTAAAATAACTAGAAGAGAGTCATTCCAATGTGCCTAGCATAAAGAAAATATACCTGTTTAACGTGATAGATATACCAATCCTGATCTGATCTTCACATATTTGTAAATGTATAAATATATTGCATGCTCCCATAAATTAGGTATATCTATTATTTGTCAATAAAGTAAATAATCTCCATGGCATGTTTTTACAAAAATATTTTTAAAATGCTCCAATTTATATACAAATACAAAAGCCTTCCAATAGCCAAAGTAATTTTGGGGAAAGTATAACAAAGCTGAATATATCATATTCTATAATTTCAAAATCAAATCTATCTAAATCAAAACAGTATAATGCTGACATTTAAACAGACATATACTCTAATGGAACATTATAGACACCTGATAATCAACCCACTTCTTCTCAATAAACTGATCTTTGACAAGTTGCCAAGAACACACAATAGACAAAGGACAGTCTCTTCAGCAAGTGGTGTGAAAACTGGGTATCCATATGTAGAAGAAATTAAATGGACTGGTTGGGCGTGATGGCTCACACCTGTAATCCCAACACTTTGGGAGCCTGAGGCAGGTGGATCACGAGGTCAAGAGTTTGAGACCAGCTGGCTAATATGGTGAAACCCTGTCTCTACTAAAAATACAAAAATTAGCCAGGCGTGCTGATGCACACCTGTAATCCCAGCTACTCGGGAGCCTGAGGCAGAAGAATCGCTTAAACCCGGGAGGCAGAGGTTGCAGTGCCCCGAGATCATGCCATTGCACTCCAGCCTGGGTGACAGAGCGAGATTCTAACTCTAAGGAAAAAAAAAAAAGGACCTTCCCTCACAAAATACACAGAAATCAACAAGAAATGGATTTAACACTTAAACGTAGACCTGAAAATTTGGTACAAAGGTATCCATGTATGGTTTGGAACAAAATGTAAATTAGTACAGCCATTATAAAAACAACATTAAGATTACTGAATGAATTGAACATAGGGTATACCCACTTCTAAGTGTACATCTAGAGAAAATGAAGTGAGTGTATCAAATATGCTCATTGTGAGGTTATTCATAATAGCCTAGATATGGAAAATAAGTCAATGTCCATTTATGAATGAACAGATAAAATGTGGCATATACATACATAAAATTGAATATTATTCAGCCTTTAAAAGAAGGAAATTCTTACATTTTCAGCATCATAGAGAACATTATGCTAATTAGAATAAGCCAGACACAGAAAGACAAATGCTGCATGATCTCATTTATATGTAGAATGTAAAATATTTCAGCTCTTGGAAGCAGAGTAGAATAGTAGCTCCCAGGCCCTGAGAGGAGGAAAATATTGGGCGATGTAGGTCAAAGGGTAAAAATTTCGGTTATGCAGGTTGATGTGTTTTGGCCCTGCGTTCCCCCTCAAATCTCATGTCAAATTGTAATCCCTACATGTTGAAGAAAGGGCCTAATATAAAGTGATTGAATCATGAGGTGATCTTCCTCTTTGCTGTTCTCATGATAAAATTCTCAAGAGATCTGATGGTTTAAAAGTGTGGCACCTCCCCGCTCACTTGCTGTTTTTCTCCTGCCACCATGTGAAGAATGTTCTTGCTTCCCCTTCACCTTCTGCCATCATTGTGTGTCCTGATGCCTCCCAGTAACACTTCCTGTTTAGCCTGCAGAACTGTAAGCCAACTAACCCTCTTTTCTTCATAAATTACCCAGTCTCAAGTAATTCTTTATAGCAGTGGGAAAATGGATTAATACAGAAAATTTGCACCAGGAGTGCGGTACTGCTATTACGATACCTGAAAATGGGGAAGTGACTTTGTAATGGACAGATGTTGGGAAAGCCTAGAAGGCTCACAAGAAGACAGGAAGTCGTGGAAAAGTGAAATTTCCTAGAGGCTTACTGACTGGTTTTGACCAAAGTGCTGATAGTGATATGGACAATAAAGTCCAGGCTGAGGTGGTCTCAGATGAAGATGAAGAACTTCTTGTGAATTGGAGTGAAGCTCACACTTGCTATGCTTTAGCAAAAAGACTAGCGGCATTTTGCCCCTGCCCTAGAGATCTGTGCTATGTTGAACTAGGGAGAGATGATTTAGGGTATCTGGCAGAATAAATTTCTAACCAGCAAAGCATTCAAGATTTTCCCTGGCTGTTTCTGAAAACATAAGTCCTATGCATTCATGAAAAGATGGTCTGAAATTGAAACTCATATTTAAAAGGGAAGCAGAGCATAAAAGGTTGGAAAAAAATTGCAGCCTGACCATCTGGTAGACAAGAAGAACCCATGTCCTGGGGAGAAATTCAAGCTGGCTGCAGAAATTTGAATAAGTAATGAGGAGCCCAATGGGGAAAATGTTCCCAGGGCATTTCAGAGATCTTTGTGGCAGCCCCTCCCATCACAGGCCCAGAAGCCCAGGAGAGAAAGATGATTTCATGGTCCAGGCCCAGTACCTCACTGCTCTGTACAGCCTTGAGACATGGCACCTTACACCCCTGTCTGTCTCGTGCCAGCCATAGCTAGAAGGGACCAAGTTCCAGCTCAGACCATTGCTTCAGAGGGTGCAAGCCCTAAGCTTTGGTTGCTTCCACATGGTGTTGAGTCTGTTGGTGCACATAAGGCAAGAACTGAGGTTTGGGAACCTCCTCCTAGATTTCAGATGATATATGAAAATGCCTGGATATTCAGGCAGAAGTCTGATGAAGGGGCTGAGCCCTAATGGAGTACCTCTACTAGGCCAGTGTAGAAGGAAAATGTGATGTTGGATCCCCCACACAGAGTCCCCATTGAGGCACTGTCTAGTGGATCTGTGAGAAGAGGGCCACCATCCTCTAGACCCCAGAATGGTAGAACCACCAACAGCTTGCACGGTGTGCCTAGAAAAGCCACAGGAACTCAATGCCAGCTTATGAAAGCAGCCATGGGCGCTGGACCCTACAGAGCCACAAGGGTGGAGCTTCCCAAGGCCTTGGGAGACCATCTCTTGTATCAGTGTGTCCTGCATGTGAGACATGGGGTAAAAGAAAAATTACTTTGGAGCTTTAACATTTAATGACTGCCCTGCTGGTGTTTGGACTTGCATGGGACCTGTAATCCATTTTCTGTGGCCAATTTCTCCTATTTGGATTGGGAGCATTTACCTAGTACATGCACCCCAGTTGTATCTTGGAAATAACTAACTTGTTTTTAATTTTACAGATTTATAGGGGGAAGAAACTGACCTTGTCAGAGGAGACTTTAGACTATAGATTTTTATGATTATGCTGAAATGAGTTAAGATTGGGAGACCGTTGAGAAGGGATAAATATATTTTGCAATGTGAGAAGGACATGAGATCTGTCATGGACCAGGGGTGGAATGATATGGTTTGTCTCTGCATTTTCACCCAAATCTCATGTTAAATTTTAATCCCCAAGTGTTGTAGGAGGGGTCTGATGGGGAGAGATTGAATAATGGGGGCGACCTTCCCCTTTGTGATTCTTGCAAGATCTCACAAGGTCTCATGGTTTAAAAGTGTGGCTCATCTCGCCTTGCTCTTTCTCTCTCTCTCCCCTGCCAGCATGTGAAGAAGGTCCTTGCTTCCCCTTCACTTTCCATGATGTCTGTAAGTTTCCTGATGCCTCCCAATAATGCTTCCTGTTAAGCCTGCAGAACCGCGAGTCAACTAAACCACTTTTCTTCGTAAATTTCCCAGTCTCAGGTAGTTCCTTACATTAGGGTGAGAATGGACTAAAACACAGGTTGAAATAGTTCTGGAGATGAAACGTAAAGCAATGTGACTATACTAATGAATATTGTATTATAAAGGTATCTTTTGCCAGAAGAGTAGATATTAGGTGTTTTTATCACACACACACAGTAAATTAAAGACATAAAATGATAACTCTCTGAGAGGACAGGCATGCCGATTACCTTGATCATGATGAGCATCTCCCCAGGTACATCAATACATCAAGTGGTGTACCCTAAATATATACAATTTTATTTGTCAGTGATAGCTCCATAAAGCTGAAAAGTTATAATGCATACCTATATATCTACATATTTTATCAATAAAATGTGTGAATATAAACAGAAGAACTTGTACAAAGATACTTATAATAGTTTTGTTTATGATGTTTATTTTGGAAACAAATTTAAATCCCATCAACAGGAAAATAGATATACATATTGTCACTTATTTACTTAATAAACAGATTTATTTATTTAATAATCTGTCATTTATTAATGTAATTGATTTAGATATGAAATATCTATATGTGTATGAGTACATACATATTTATACATATGATGACAAAACCTTGATAAATGCTATTACATGAATGAACCTCACAAATAGTAAAAGTTGCCCCTTACAAAAATGATCTATAATATTTTATTCCATGTATATGAAGTTCTAAACAAGAAAAAGGGACCTCCTATAGTGACAGAAATCAGAACATTTTTCTACTTGCATTTCTCTGATGATTAGTGATGTTAAACATTTTTACAATATATTTGCTGGGCACTTGCATGTATTCTTTTGAGAAGTGTCTGTGTCGTTTGCCTATGTACTAGTCCATTTTGAAACTGCTGATAGAGACATATCCAAAACTGGGAGGAAAAAGAAGTTTGATTGGACTTACATTCCACATGGCTTGGGAGGCCTCAGAAACACGGCGGGAGGAAAAAGGCACTCCTTACCTGGTGGGTGGCAAGAGAAAATGAGGAAGAAGCAAAAGCGGAAATCCCTGATAAGCCCATGAGATCTCATGAGACTTATTCACTATCAAGAGAATAGCACGGGAAATACCAGCCCCCATGATTCAATTACCTCCCCCTGGGTCCCTCTCACAACACATGGGAATTCTGGGAGATACAATTCAAGTTGAAATTTGGGTGGGGACACAGCAAACCATATCAGCCAATTTTTAAAGGGTTTTTTTTTTTTTGGTTCTTTTTGATTTGTTTATCTACAGACTCTGGATACTAGGGCTTTGTGGGATGCAATGCTTGTGAATATCTTCTCACATTCTGTAGATTGTCTGCTTACACTGCTGATAGTTTTGTTTGTTGTTTGTTTGTTTGTTTGTCTTACTGTGCAGAAACTCCTTAACTAATTAGGTCCCACTTGTCTATTTTTCTTTTTGTTGCAACTGGCCTTGGATACTTAGCCAAAAATTTTTTGTCAAAACTAGTGTCGATAAGAGTGTTTTCAAGGGTGTCTTCAAGGAGTTTTATGGTTTGAGGTCCTACATTTAAGGCTTTAATCAATTTTGAGTTAATTTTATATATGTTGAAAGTACAGGGTCAGCTTCAATCTTCATCATATGGCTAGCCCGTTGTCCCAGTATCATTTATTGAACAGGGAGTCCTTTCCTCATTGCTTCTTTTCATCAGCCTTATCAAATATGAGATGATTGTAGGTGAGCAGCAACACACCACTCAGAATGGTATCACAAAAAAGTCGAAAAACAAAGGATGCTTGTGGGACTTTGGAGAAAAGAGAACACTTATACACTGTTGATGAGAATATAAATTAGTCTTGCCACTTTGGAAAGCAGACTGGAGATTTCTCAAAGAACTTAAAACAGAGATATCATTTTACCCAGCAATTCCACTACAGGGTATACACTAAAAAGTAAATAAATAATTCTACCAAAGAGACACCTACACATGCGTATTCATGGCTGTGCTAGTCACAGTGGCAAAGACGTAGTTTAACCCAGATGCACATCACTGGTAGACTGAATATACAAAATATGGTACATCTACACTATATAATACTACACAGCCATGAAAAAGAATGAAATCATGTCCCTTGCCGCAAAATTAATGGAGCTGTTGGTCTTAATCATAAACAAATAAATGCAGGAACAGAAAACCGAATACCACATATTCTCCTATGTGGGAGCTCAGCATTGAGCACACATGGACATAAATAGAAGAACAATAGACACCGTGGACTGCTGGAGAGTGGAGGGAGGGGGTGATGGAATCTGGATTCCAAACCTCAGCATCACTCAATAATCCCGTGTGACAAGTCCACACACGTCCCCTCTGTATCTAAATTAAAAGTTGAAATTAAAAAAAAATCCTTATGTGAGAGCTGACTGGAAACACTGAGAGGACACTTGTGGAGATGGACCTGCTCCTCACCCTAACTTAGGTGCTGGAGACAAACGTGCACATTTGCCAGAAACCCTCAAACTGTACATTGAAGAGCTATGCATTTTTGTATATGTTATCTCATAAAAACAGAAAATAGACAATTGGAGGAAAATATTTTTATTGAAATTAAAATCTTAATAACATGCATATGAAAATTCAAATAGAAAATATAAATGTGATTATTACAATAATTATTTAAAGACATTTAGTTATATCTACTAGAATAAAATCCCAGAAATAAAAAAGATAAAGGTGACATCTTAAAACGAAAAACTAATAAGCACACATTTCACAAATAAGTAAAATATGGCTAAAATATGTTGAACATTTTATATTATTAGTTATACAAAGTTAATAAACTATTGATATAATATTGTAAACTGTTTTATTAGGATAAATTACTAACATTTTGTATCAAACCATAACTGGGGACAGCCGACAGAAAAATAACAATATTTGCAAGCACATGTTATAAATGTTAATATAGTCTCAATGTTGGCCCAACTCTTACACCTGAAATTTTCAACTATATCATGGATTTGTTTGGAGTCCTAGGAAAAATTAATTTTAAGAAATGACTTAAAGGAATTGTCTCCAATATGGAGATATTAGTATCTCATCTATAAATAAATGGAAAATACATAATACATGTCAAGTCCTTGTAAGAAACCCTGTCCCATGGAAAAGGGCTTATCCTATTTGTTAGTGATACATTTACTGTTAACATTATCACCTTCACGATGATTTAGAAAATTAAAGCAAAGCGTGATGAATTGAAGTGTGATGTTGCTTGTTTGGTACAACAGCGGGGTGAGGATAATGAAGAGCCCTGTGATCCCGAGGAGATGGCCTAATCCAAGGAGAGGGAGGCTCCAGGTCGTGTGGACTCACATGGGCTCCTGCTTCTGCCTGTCCCACAGCCACTCCCAGAAGCCTTCAGGAGACAGGGGTGCAGATGGGCCCTTGAGACCATCAAATGAGAGCTGGAACTGAAGAAAAAGATAATGATCTGGGATAAATTTTAAAAAATTAAAATAAAAAATTTTATTTTAAATTCACGAATTATGGTTGTTTATATTTACAAGGTAAGAAGCAATGTTATGATTTGTGAATACCATATGGGATAACTAAGATAATTAAGAAATGATTAAGATAATTATCATTTATCAATTCAAATTCTTATTATTTATTGTGACAACCACATTTGAAATAACCATTATTTAACAGTAGTTAAATGAACAAATATAAATCAATTGATGTAAACAATTAAAAATAACCAAAATCAATTGTGAAATACTCAAATAATTTACATTTAGCTCATCATTAAGTTTGATTCTTTAGGACATATTTTTAGAATTACTTTATTGTAATGTTTATTATGAATTCCTACACATATATGCATATGTCTTTGTATTTATATATTTTTTCTTTCTTTGTTTTGTTTTTGTTTTTTGTTGTTTTTTTGAGATCGAATCTTGCTCTGTCACCCAGGCTGGAGTGCAGTGGCGCCATTTAGCTCACTGCAATCTCTGCCTTCCGTGTTCAAGTGATTCTCCTGCTTCAGCCTACCGAGTAGCTGGGATTAAAGGCACATGCCAATACGCACAGCTGATTTTTGCATTTTTAGTAGAGATGGAGTTTCACTATTTTGCCCAGGCTGGTCTCGAACTCCTGGCCTCAAGTGATCAGCCCACCTATGGCTTCCAACGTGCTGGGATTACATGCGTGAGCCACCGCGCCTGGCCTATACATCTTTCTATGGTTATAAATTTATGTCCCTATAGCTTCGTAGCTGCTGACGTCAACAAATGTTAATAAAACTCTGGAAGAATCGGTGCAAATAGGAATGCTTATTTCATTAAAGTGTAAACATATATATATAATTTTTAAATTACTAAAATTTAAATACTAACGATAATAAATTCATAATAAACACAAGTAATAAAACGTCACAGCCTAGAAAGCTCCAGAGTCCGGCAAACACAAACCTGACTTTTCCAGCTGAGGAGAAAGGAAACCTCTCCCGGCACCTGCTCCTGTCCCGCCCTCAGTGGGTCCCTAGCGCCCCCTGGTGGCCCCGCGCGGCCCTGCAGGGAGGTTTGTGTCCGGGCTCACACTGACCTCCCCTCACTGTGTCTCTGGAACAGTAATACACGGCCGTGTCCTCGGTTTTCAGGCTCTTCATTTGCAGATAGGTGATGCTTTTGGAATCATCTCTTGAGATTGTGAATCTGCCTTTCACAGACGTGGTCTATTCTGTTGTCCCACCATTAGCTTTGTTTCTAATGAAACCTACCCATTCCAGCCCCTTCCCGGGAGCCTGGCGGACCCCGCTCATGTAGTAGTAACTGAAGGTGAATCCAGAGGCTGCACAGGAGAGTCTCAGGGACCCCCCAGGCTGTACCAAGCCTCCCCCAGACTCCACCAGCTGCACCTCACACTGGACACCTGCAAACAAAAAGAAACCCTGGTCAGAAACTGCCACACGTATCCACTGTTTCTCTCACTCTTATCCGCTCACACTCAATTTCAATAGTTCTCAATGAATTACCTTTTAAAATAGCGGCAAGAAAAACCCAGCTCAGCCATGACTCCATGGTGAGTCCTCTGTGTTCAGTCCTGATCACCAAATGAAAACATCTGAAAATCCCAGGGCTGGGGCTCCTCTCCCAGAGCTGCAGGGTCAGGGCTGGGCTGGTTTTCATCAGCAGAGGGAGGGCTCTATTTGCATGTCTCCTACTATATAGTAAGCTCTGGGGTGAGAGGCCTGAGGAGAGAGTGGGGCTCACAGCATGTGAGAGCGTCCTGGGGGAGATTTGTGATATTGATAGCATTTGGGAATTGTGGTTACTTATTGTAAGTTTGTTCTGTGGTAAACCCTTAAAACCTATAAATCTTATAATTTTGTAATTTTTATTTTAAAAGTTTTATTGAGGTACAATAGATCTACATAAACTGCATATTTTTGAAGTTCACACCAATAATCTTTTATTTTTACACATGCAGAGAAACCATGGTATGTAGTATCAATGTTATTTCCATGTTACAAATGAGAAATTACCAGCAGAAGCACAGATGGGTTGTACAGTGTCCCCAGAGCTCACATTTGGTCAGAGTGACCTGGGCATCTGGGCCTGTGCTTCTCACCACTGGACCTGACTTCTCCCTGAACCAAGCCCAGCACACAGGGGTTGCACCTAGTGAGGTTTACAGAACCATTTCTCTGTAATGGGAACATGGTGTGATGTGTATGCTCTTTTGTGATTACCTAACAATTGTAAAGAACAGCATGTTTCCCACAGTTTTATTTTCTTAAGTGTCATACATCTCTCATGTTCGTGTCTATCTTTCCATCAGTCTTTATCTAACAAATTATATATTCACTTATTTGCAATACCCTTATTGAGGCATTATTGCTATATAATAAATATTGCATAATTAAAGTGTGCAGTTGAATACACACTGAAGCCGAGCATGGTGGTGCACAACTGTAGTCCCAGCTACATAGGGCAGAGGGAGGAGGATTGGAGACCCAGGGTCTGAGGCTGCAGAGAGCTGTGATCTCACCACTGAGCTCCAGCCTGGATGACAAAGCAAGACCATGTCTCCAAAGAAAAAAAATGTAATTTCACATGTGCTCACCTGTGTATCCAAAATAACAATCAAGATAATGATGATTACAGTTAAAAGCTTCCCTGCTTCCCTGTGTTCCTCTCATTCCTGCCTCCCGTCATTTCTCTCTCACTATACTCAGTCAACCTCTCATCTTTGTTAATTCAGATCTATTTTTCAATATTTTGTTAAAGTGAAATCTTTTAGTTTCCATTTCATTTGTGTGGCTTCTTGCTCAGAATAATTACTTGTGAGTCAGTAATTTGATTGTGTATAAAGGTGTTGATTCTAACGAGGAACAGTATTCCAGTTAATGAGTACACCCCTATCATTTATTTATAAATCTCCTTAACATTTGTGTTATTTCCAGTTTCTGAGTATTACAAATGTATCTTCTACTCCGCCTGGAGATGTAGTCATCCAATAAAAAAGTATTATTTTTACAACAACTAGCCTTACTGAGCTACAAATTAGCACATTTTATTTAATACATGAGTTTATTGATGTATAGGGCAAATGAGAGAACTTACCTCTTGTGAAAATCAAATCAGTGACTTGTAAGGATAAACAGGAAAAGAATATAATTTTATCTGAGGCAGAGGCCAGCAAATGTCATATAAGTTAATGCAAGATTAAATTAGATATATTTACCCGATTGCTTAAAATTAAGTATAATGAAGAAGTTATTATTTAAATTTCCACAGGACTTAAAACTGAGAGACTCCTATTGCTATTGAAACCTTTCCTCCCAAGATTGAGGACACATCACAAAAATCTCCACCCTCTTCCTCCCGAGATGGTTCTGTGTGGGAAACGGAACAGCAGCTGTGGCTGAAATGCATCCAGACCCAGCTCCCTCACCACCACTACATGACCAAAGAATTAACATGCAGGGGCAAAGCCACTGACAGCTCTGTGTTACAGGCACTGGAGGAACTCGTAGAAACTGGGGTAGAAGAAAGAAAAGCTCCAAAGCTCTGTCCATTCTTTCAGGAATAACAGCCTCATCTCCCACCTCCTCTCTCTTCCCTCAGGAATAACAGACTCATCTGCTGGGAAGGGCAGAAAAGAGGAAGCTGAAGACATCAGTGGGAAGACATAGTGGCTGCTGGGAGAAGATTGGGGAAAGAACAAGGAGACCCTCTACCCAGGAATGGGAGGAAGATGCATGGATCAGCATCACACCTGCAGGAGGGGCAGGGATACTTGGAAGGACACGTCCTGAGCCAGGACTGCCATGTCTGCCTGGAGTGTGGCTCCCTCAGAAGGACAGAGAGTGCCCGTTCAGTGCAACCCTTCCCACCACATTGACAATCATCAGGTCCATGTGGCTCTGGGATGACCTGGGGGAGATGAAAGACAGAGTCTCTCTGGAACACACAATTTAAGGCCCAATGCCAAGCAGGAAACAAAATTAAGGTGTCACTGGAGGAATCTGGGTGTCTGGTGGCTGCAGAGGAAACCCACTGCAATTCAGGCAGCCACTGTGACAATGAATTTCAAATGTAGCCCTGACTGGTTTCACACAATTTTCTACAATAAAGGCCTAGAAAAGATACGGCATGATCATCTACAAAAAAAGTCATAAAACAAATAATTATCTAATATAAAGGATCTGATAGAAGTATCTGTGGAACATACATTTTGAAATAACTGCATAAATACTTTGAAAATTTACACTTGATCCCATAGTTAGTCTATGCGTAACTTCGTAAGAAACTGCCAACATGTGCTTATTTTTAATAACTAATACTTTATTACTATCATGCTTTTGAATGTAACAGAGACCACAGAGTAGATTCTATCGATAAAAAGCCAACTTTGGAAAATACTTAGAGAGATTTATTCTGAGCCAAATGTGGGGTCCATGCCCTGTGACGCAGCCCCAGAGGATCCTGATAACATGTGCCCAAAGTGGTTTGATTGCAGGTTAAATTTAATAACATCAATTGATACATGTGAGATATCTGTTGATTTGTTTCATAAAGACAAAACAGCTAGAAGTGAGGCAGTGTGGGGAGATAATTACCGCTTACAGGTGAATTAAATGATTTTTCAATTGGCAATTCATTGAAAGACTTAAGTTTTTATCTAAAGACCAGAAATCAGTAGTAAAAAGTGTCTGGGTTAAGATAACAGGTTTTGGAGAACAAAATTCATATTATGCAGATGAAGTCTCTTATGTGGCCACGCTTAGAGGAAATAGATGGCAAATGTTTTTCTACTAAGACCTTTAAGAGATGCTAGACTTCCAGCTAATCTCCTCAGTATAACGAAAGACCTGGAAAGGGAAGGAGATTCTCTACAGAATGTAAATCTCTCTCACAAAGGATAACTGTGCAGGGCGATTTAAAAATATGTCAAAGAAATATATTTTAGGGTAAAAGCCTTCGATTCCTTTCAAGGCCTGCTCTGTGTCACATGACGCTATTCTCGAGTCAGGTTAGAATTTGGTATCTTATTGCTACACGGAATCCGTTTTCTGAGCCTTGAGTCCTCTGTTTTCATGAAAATGCTGGTCAGTTGTGCTTGAATTCCAAAGTGAGGAGGGTATAATGAGGCATTTCTGATCTGTTTCTAATGTGGCCTGAACTAGGTTTTCAAGTCTCTGGAACTCCTTGGTGAAGAGGAAGGTTCCATTCAGTCAGCTTGGGCGCTTAAAATTCTACTTTTAGTTTATTGGACATATATGAGACTTACCCTACTCAGGGGTATCAGAAAATATTTACTGAGGTAATCACATTGAAGTTGAGACTTGAAAGATAGTCTCAGATTCCTCCCTGCAAACCTTTTCTCCTGAGACTAGAAGAAGAAAACTTAACCAGAAACAAATACTAACATTTCTTCAATGTTCAAAATCGCCACCCATTAGGAAAATAATTAAACTTGCAAGGCTTATCTTTAGAAACTAGTATAACGATTCCTAATGTCCTTTAGAAAAACACAGATTCTGATTAGTTTACAGATTATACAGAACGTCCCATCCAATGGCAATCTGCAATTAGCTGGATTCCCTTCCACTGGTGTTTTTTAATGTGTAATTTAAATAGATGCATAATAGTTCAAAACCTTTATGTGGTACATGTGATATTTCGAAAAAAAGAAAATTATGTGCATATCTGGATAACTGGGACAACCTTCAACCTTCATCTCAATCATTGACTACTTCTTTGTGGTAAGAACATTCTAAATGTTATCTTCTAGCTAATTTGAAATACACAATAAATTATTAACTGTAGTTGTCTATGTGCCAATTCAGCATTCTCAGGAGCAATGGGTGAAAATTCCTGTTTTTCAACTTCCTCGTCAACATTTGGTATTGTCTATATTGTGTATTTTACCCATTCTATTAGGTTACTAGGATTTTTTCAATATTAAACATACATTTACCTAATGAAAATCCAGTTGGTCACTTTTTATACTTATTGTTAGATGCACTTTCTATTCAGGTCTTTGCCCATTTTAAAATTAAATTGTGTGGTTTTGTTGTTCAATTGTAAGGTAATTTGTATATTTGTAATAAAAGTCCTTTTCCAAATATTTGATTTGCAAGCAAACTCTCCAAATCTATGGCTTATCTTTTCACTCTCAGATAAGGGTTTATTTTCAAAGGCCTAGGTTAGTTTATCCATCTATGAAAAGAGGATAATTGGCCAGGTGCAGTGGCTCCTGCCTGTAATTCCAGCACTTTGGGAGGCTGAGGCGGTTGGATCACCTGAGGTCAGGAGTTTGAGACCAGCCAGGCCAACATGGTGAAACCCCGTCTCTATTAAAAATACAGAAATTAGCCGGGCATCGTGGCAGGCGCCTGTAATCTCAACTACTTGGGGGGTTGAGGCAGGAGAATTGCTGCAACCTGGGATGCAGAGGTTGCAGTGAGCCGAGATTGCACCATTGAACTCCAGCCCAGGCAACAACAGTGAGACTCAGTATCAAAAAAAAAAAAAAAAAAAAGGAAAAAAAAGAGACAATTATCATTCTAACTTCTAACTTAGAATTCTTAGCATAATAACGTAGGTTGTAAATATTTCAGTATCTGAAATATATACCAGTTTTGGTAAAACACTAGGGAGGAAAATTTGTAGAGTGTTCTGAGCGCACAATGGCTTCCCCTCGCTGTGTCTTTTGTATAAAAATCATGGTTGTGTACTCCTTGTTAAGGTAGCTCAGCTGTAGGAGAAACTGTTTTTTGGATGTGGATCTGGAGATGGTGACTGGACTCTTGAGGAGTGGGTTGGATTGTGCACTCCCTCATGACCTGTGCACCTGATTCGCTCCAGTCCCTTCCCCGGGGGGTGACGGATCCAGCTCCAGCAGGAAGCACTGGTTGTAATGGAGAAGCAGAGATGCCACAGGCCAGGGGGAGGATCTGTGAGGGCTTCACCAGGCCAGGAGTGCACCGAGAATCACAGTTGTCGGCATGCACAGGTTCTGAACAACATGTTGAAATTCACAAATTTGCACATTTTGATGAAAATGAAGAACTCACTGTTTTGCAATTTGTAGGTCCCCGAGAGCAAATAGCAGATTCAGAGGTTAGAATTAGATGAATATATGGTCACATTTTTTCTTCAAACTTTCAACCAAATAAGAAAGACAAACTGCGGACAGAAGAATGGGTACTGGATTATTACCTCTGTCTATAATTACGGTGATTTTCAGAATAAGATTGACCTGTGATAGCCCAAAGGGTGTCATAATCCCGAATCCACAATTAGACCTGAGCAGCAATCACGGGCAGTGGAGGTCGCCTCACATGAGGAAAGATCTGACTCTGCAAAGCTGCACACGGGGGTCTCTGCAGTCCCTGAGTTGTACAGGAACAGCTCCTCCCTCAGACTCAGAGTGAGGACAATGTGCTCTATCTGGGGGAGGTGAGGGTTAGTGTGTGGAAAGAACCAAACTCACTCTAATCAGTATCTCTGTACTTGGACAGAAATCAAAGTTTACAAGAAATCATGAACTTGGGGTAAAGCAGGAAATTACAATTGTTTGCAGGGTGCATGCTTGCTTCTCCATGTCGTCTAAGAGAACCAAGGAAAATCGTGATTTATTATGTACATTTCCATAAAAGGTGTTTCCACCCTGAGAACGCACCTCCTATACCTCCAATGTCAGGGAGCACGTGGACCAGGCACCCGGCACAGCTCTCTGACACCATCACCCAGTTTTTGACAAAGAGACACATCCTGGAGCTCCTCCCAAACAATGACTGTGCACAGTGAAGTTGCTAACGCGTGGCTGCTGCTGGGCACATGGGAGATTCCCGATGGACAGCTATGCTCTGGGAAGAACCAATGGCCTTGATGGAATTAGCTTGGACCACAGGGTTGTTAGTAAGCTTCATCAGACTCCCACCTTCTCCAGCACTCGTGGTGGGATTGGCATAGTGGGCTGACAGTGTCTACAGCCTCACCCGGCCTCCTGCACACTTTTCTGCCTCTTGTCTCTCCCCTACACTCCACCACCTGCACCTCACACTAGACACCTACAAACATAGGGACATTTTGGTCCGAACCTGCCACACATAATCACTGTATTTTCACTCACATCCACTCATGCTTAATATCTCTAGTTCTCCATTATTTGCCTTTTAAAATAGCAACAAGAAAACCCAGCTCAGCCCTAACTCTATGGTGAGCCATGTGTGTTCAGAGCTGATTGTCAAATCAAAACTCCTGGTAATGCTGGACTGGGGCTCTTCTCCCAGAGCTGTAGGCTCAGGGCTGCGATGGTTTCCATCAGGAAAGGGAGGGCCCTATTTTCACGTCCCCTCCTCTGCAGCAAATGCTGAGGTGGGATGCCTGAGGAGAGAGCAGAGCCCAGGGCAGATGTGAGACTCCTGGAGGAGTTTAGTGTTGATGGCAGCATTTGGAAAATATAATTTCTTGTTATGTGATTTTCTCATTAAAATTACTAAGCAAATATTTTTATTTCTCTTTTACATATTTGAAAAACTAGAAATATAACTACATTTATGAAACTTTAAGATGTATAAAAGGAGAAATAGAAAACTATAAAAAAATTAGGAGACTTCAAAACCTCGCCTTCAATAATGTACAGAGCATCCACAGAAAAATTCTTAGGAAGCCCGTGGACTTAAGCACTCTCGAACAAACTGCCCTAACAGACATCTACGGAACATTCCAACCAACAGCAGCGTAATATGCATGCTTCCCAAGCACACTAGAGATATTCCTCATGATGGGTTATATATTAGATAACAAATGACTCTCAGCGTTTAAAAAAGTGATGACAACCGTTCTCTAACTTTTTAAAAAATCCGTGAGGTCCCCACCTTCTAATCTCTTTCTAAGAGGCTCCAATCACTGTATTACCAGTAATAGACAAGGCAAAAGAAGAAAACCAAACTTCTGACAAATGTTCTTAGTATATGTAAACAAGCTACTCCCAATTCATAGTCAACTAAGTTCTATAAGACTTTAAAAGGATTGTACACCATGACAAGCTCCAAATTATTTTTGAGATGCGCTGATGAATCAATATCTTCAAATCAATAAATCTGATGTGGTAAATTAAGAGAATAAAGGAAAAGCATCAGTTAACTTCTCACCAGACATAGAAAATAACATTTAAAAAATTCAAGATCTCATAATAAAACCTCTAAAAGTTAGGAATACAAGAATATAACCTGTATATAATAAAAGTCATTATTTAAAGCCATACTTTTATATGGAAGAGTGAAAGGTTAAAATATTTTGCTATAGCATCTGTAAAAAGGCAAAAATAAACTTACATCTTACTTCCAGATTTCAAAAGTAATAACAAAAGTAGAATAATAAAAACAGGATGGAGTTGGCATAAATATGTAGAAAGAGCTCAGAAATAAACTGATGTATCAATGGCAAACTGATTTTCAGCATAAGAACCCACAATATAAAACAGATAAACCAAGTCTCTCCCTATGAATGTGTTAGAAAAACTGGATGTACACATGCAAAGAGTTAAGAATTTTGGGTTAGAATAAACACAAAAATCACTCTGAATGGGCCAGATATTTAAACATATGGCCTGCAATTGTAAAATTTCCCCGACCCAGAAAATAATATATTAACAATGATTTCCTATATTTCACATTAAAGGCACAGACAACAAAAGCAGAATTAAACAGGTGGAACTACATCACAACAAAAAGATTCTACAAAGTGTGGAAATAATTCCAACCTACAGAATGGGAAAATATAATTGCAAGCCATGCATCTGAAAAAGGGATGACATCCAAAAATACATGCAACATCTACCACTCATTAGCAAAATCATATTTGCCTGATTGGATAGTGATCACTTTTTCACCTTAAAAAATTATGAACATAGATCTCATGTTAAAGATTCTTCCCTCTGGGTAATGGTAAATTTGATGGTACACTTGGTTAGGATAGACTTTGTAGTTATTCACTGCAACACTAATATATGTGGTGCTGTGAATTTACTTAAGACAAGCAAAACAGGTGGGCCTGATTCCATCAGAGCAGAACTGGAGAAAATGAAATTCCATGGTGTTTCAGCAGCTTTGCCTCTCTCTGGGACCTCCAGCCTGCACTTATTGATGGATGATCTTCTGGACACTGGGTATTCCCAGACATCTCCAAAAACTGTCATCCTCCACATCTCACAGAAAAGTGGCATGTCTTTTGTCCTTGCGATAGTTTGCTGAGAATGATAGAAGGATGGTTTCCAGTTTCTTCCGTGTCCCTACAAAGGACATGAACTCATCATTTTTTTCCTCACTCATAGGTGGGAATTGAACAATGAGAACACATGGACACAGGAAGAGGAACATCACACTCCAGGGACTGTTGTGGGGTGGGGGTAGTGGGGAGGGAGAGCATTAGGAGGTATACCTAATGCTAAATGACGAGTTAATGGGTGGAGCACAACAACATGGCACATGTATACATATGTAACAAACCTGCATTGTTCACAGGTACCCTAAAACTTAAAGTACAAGAATAATAAAATTTTTAAAAAAAGTCATAAAAAAAGAAAGTGGCATGTCCATCTGTAGCTTGTCAACCCTGAATAACAGAGAGAGAGAGACTCTAAAATATAATAATATGTATTCTAGGAAGTGTATTGCAATTGAAATGTATGGGTGCATTCAGGTTGGTATAGGAAGATAAAGAATAAAGGAAAAATGAGGAGGGTCACATCAGCTGTTTAAGACAATTGTCCTGGGCTAGAAGGATCAATAACAGGGGCACATCGGTGTAAAGTTGAACAGGGAGTTGCTGGGCAGATACACTGGGAGAAGTAATTCTTTTAATGTTGTGGTGGCTTCTGTGCAAGGTTATGGTTGTGCAGAGTCTATTTATGGTAGTTCTTATTATCAGGAATATGTGTGTTAGAACCCTCCTTCATGGCCTTCCCCAGCTTCATTCATTAGGGCTTTAACACAAGTGGCTCCATCTTGATTCTGATAAATTTCACCAGCTCTTTCTAACACTACTTCTGAAGCAGACGACTCTGACACTGTGCACGGAACAGGGTTAACTCCACATCCACATCCCATTTTGATCAAATGAGTTTGTCCCCTTCAGTATTAATGGTCAACTGCATTCCCAGATGAGCCTACACACAACACAGTGGAGGGTCCTGAGAAAATGGGGAGAGAAGGAAGTCCCATCAGCCTCTCCCACGTGGCTGCAGGAGCCACAGCCTGAGCCCCACCTGAGCTCCAAGAAAATGCCTTGAGCCCTGGAATGTGGACCAAGGGGACCATCTGTTTCTTTTTCAGGAAACAGGAAAAGCAAATAAAAAAGGGAGAAGAAACTCTCCAAAGAAAGAACATGGATTGGGAGCAAAAGGAGCACCAGGTCAGTGCTGATGCTGATTGGCTTTAGTGTCAGGAGAAGGGTCAGACGTGGAACCTGTGAGGTTCTACATGACTCTGGCCCTGGCCCATCCTCTCTGTTAGATGTGATCAAAACTCATAAAGGCTGTCCCTGAGGTTTCTGTCCCAGGACTGATTGCGGAAGAGTCACCAGGCACCCCTGAGTTTCCTCAGGACTCTCATCCTGGTGACCATGGTTGAGAACTTTTCATCTCTGTAAGCGTCAATCTGCATTTGGTGCGTGTGAGAATAGGTGCTCATATTAAAATGATCTTTTAAAAAATACGTAGAGATGACATTAGTAAGCACAGAATTCTGAGGTTAGAGAGGTTCACTAGAGAAACTGTCAGAAGAAGATGAAGTCCCACACCCTGACAGGAAACAGCCTCCATCTGCACCTGCCTCTGGGGATGACTCTGATCAGCGGGTCCTGAGCGCCCCCTGCCGCTGATTTCCCCCCCATCGTTCCTGCAGGGAGGTTTGTGTCTGGGCTCACAATGACTTCCCCTCACTGTGTCTTTCGCACAGTAATATACGGCCGTGTCCTCGGCTCTCAGGCTGTTCATTTGCAGATACAGCGTGTTCTTGGAATTGTCTCTGGAGATGGTGAACCGGCCCTTCACGGAGTCTGCGTAGTATGTGCTACCACCACTACCACTAATAGCTGAGACCCACTCCAGCCCCTTCCCTGGAGCCTGGCGGACCCAGCTCATGGCATAGCTGCTAAAGGTGAATCCAGAGGCTGCACAGGAGAGTCTCAGGGACCCCCCAGGCTGTACCAAGCCTCCCCCAGACTCCACCAGCTGCACCTCACACTGGACACCTGCAAACAAAAAGAAACCCTGGTCAGAAACTGCCACACGTATCCACTGTTTCTCTCACTCTTATCCATTCACACTCAATTTTTCTATTTCTCCATGAATTACCTTTTAAAATAGCCACAAGAAAAAGCCAGCTCAGCCCAAACTCCATGGTGAGTTCTCTCTGTTCAGTCCTGATCACCAAATGAAAACACCTGAAAATCCCAGGGCTGGGCTCCTCTCTCAGAGCTGCAGGGTCAGGGCTGGGCTGGTTTTCATCAGCAGACGGAGGGCTCTATTTGCATATCTCCTACTATATAGTAAGCTCTGGGGTGAGAGGCCTTTGGAGATAGTGGGGCTCAGAGCATGTCAGAATGTCCTCGGGGAGATCTGTGATATTGAAAGCATTGGGAAATTGTGCTTTCCTATTGTCAGTTTGTTTTGTGATAAACTTAAACCTTAAAACCTAAAAATCTTATAATTTTGTAATTTTTATTTTAAAACAGTTTTATTGAGGTACCATAGATCTACATAAACTGCATATTTTTAAAGTTAGCACCAATCATCTTTTATTTTTACATACGCAGAGAAACCATGGTATATAGTATCAATATTATTTCCATGTTAAAGATGAAAAATTATCAGCAAAAGCACAGGTGGGTTTTACAATGTCCCCAGTGCTCACATTTGGTCAGAGTGAGCCTGGGCATCTGGGCCTGTGCTTCTCACCACTGGACCTGACTTCTCCCTGAACCAAGCCCAGCACACAGGGGTCACAGCTCGTGAGGTTCGCAGAACCTTTTCTCTGTAATGGGAACATGGTGTGATGTGTACACACTGTGGTGATTACCTAACAAATATAAAGAAAAGCAAGTTTCCTACAGTTTTATTTTCTTGAGTGTCATACATTTCTCATGTTGGTATCTATCTTTCCATCAATCTTTAACAAATTATCCACTTATTTGTAATACCCTTATTGAGGCATTATTGCTATATAATAAATACTGCATAATTGAAGTGTGCGGTTTAATACGCACTGAAGCCGAGCATGGTGGTGCACCCCTGTAGTCCCAGCTACATAGGGCAGAGGGAGGAGGATTGCTGGAGACCCAGGGTCTGAGGCTGCAGAGAGCTATGATCTCACCACGGAGCTCCAGCCTGGACGACAAAGCAAAACCATGTCTCCGAAGGAAAAAAAACATAATTTCACGTGTGCTCACCTGTGTATCCAAAATAACAATCGAGATAACGATGATTACAGTTAAAAGCCTCCCTGTGTTCCTCTCATTCCTGCCTCCCCATTATTTCCCTCTCACCATACTGAGTCAACCTCTCATCTTTGTTAATTCAGATCTATTTTTCAAGATTTTGTTAAAGTGAAATCTTATATTTTCAATTTCATTTGTGTGGCTTCTTGCTCAGTATAATTACTTGGGAGTCAGTAATTTGGTTGTGTATAAAGAATGTGTTGATTCTAATGAGGAACAGTATTCCAGTTAAAGAATTCACCCATAGTATTTATTTAGAAAGCTCCTTAATATGTGTGTTATTTGCAGTTTCTGAGTATTACAAATAAAGCTTCTACTCAGCCTGGAGATGTAGGCATGCTATAACAAATATATTATTTTTACTAAAACAACTAATTTTAGTAAGCTGCAAATTAGCACATTTTCTTTAGTACACCAGATTATTGATGTTATAGTATAATCAAGAGACCTTACATCTTGTGAAATTCAGTGACTTGCAGGAACAAACAGGAAGAGAATATGACCTTATCTGGGGGAGAGGCCAGCAAATGTCACATAAGCTAATACAAAATTAAATTAGATATATTCATTGGATTGTTTAAAATTTAGTATTATAAAGAAGTTATTGTTTAAATTCTCAGCGGACATACAACTGAGAGATTCCTATTGCTATTGAAAACTTTTCTCCCAGGATTGAGGACACATCAGAAAAATCTCCAACCTCTTCCTCCCGAGACGGTTCTGTGTGGGGAAGTGGAACAGCAGCTGTGGCTGAAATGCATCCAGACCCAGCTCCCTCACCACCACTACATGACCAAAGAATTAACATGCAGGGGCAAAGCCACTGACAGCTCTGTGTTACAGGCACTGGAGGAACTCGTAGAAACTGGGGTAGAAGAAAGAAAAGCTCCAAAGCTCTGTCCATTCTTTCAGGAATAACAGCCTCATCTCCCACCTCCTCTCTCTTCCCTCAGGAATAACAGACTCATCTGCTGGGAAGGGCAGAAAAGAGGAAGCTGAAGACATCAGTGGGAAGACATAGTGGCTGCTGGGAGAAGATTGGGGAAAGAACAAGGAGACCCTCTACCCAGGAATGGGAGGAAGATGCATGGATCAGCATCACACCTGCAGGAAGGGCAGGGATACTTGGAAGGACACACCCTGAGCCAGGACTGCCATGTCTGCCTGCAGTATGGCTCCCTCAGAAGGACAGAGAGTGCCCGTTCAGTGCGACCCTTCCCACCATATTGACAATCATCAGGTCCATGTGGCTCTGGCCTGACCTAGGGGAGATGAAAGACAGAGTCTGTCTGGAGAGCACAAGACTAAGGCCCAAAGCCAAGCAGGAAACAAAATTAAGGTGTCATTGGAGTAATCTGAGTGACTGGTGGCTGCAGAGGAAACCCACTGCAATTCAGGCAGCCACTGCGACAATTACTTGCAAATGTAGCCCTGACTAGTTTCACACAATTTTCTACGATAAAGGCCAAGAAAATATAGGGTGTGATCATCTACAATAAAATGCAAAAATCATAAAGCAAGTAATTAGCTGATATAATGAATCTGATAGAAGTATCTGCAGAAGATAAATTTTGAAATAACTTGCTTAAATACTTTGAAACATTTACACTTGATCCCATTGTTAGTCTATGCATAACTTCATAAGAATTTTCCAACATGTGTTATAACTAATACTAATATTACTAATACTATATTAATATAATGCTTTTAACAAAAACCACAGAGTAGGTTCTGTTAGAACTACTGATGAAAAAGCAACCTTGCAAAATATTTAGAGAGATTTATTCTGAGGCGAATGTGAGGACCATGAACTGTGAACAGCCCCAGAAGATCTTGAGAACATGTGCCCAAAGTGGCTTGATGGTAGCTTAAATTTAGTGTACTAGAGAGACAGTCACCAAACAATACATGTGAGATATATGTTGATTTGGTCCATAAAGACAAAACAGCTAGAAGTGAGGCAGTGTGGGGCGGGGATTACAACTTACAGTGAGTTCGAATATTTTCTGATTGACAATTGATTGAAAGATTTAAGCTTTTTTCTAAAGACCTGAAACCGGTAGAAAAATGTTTCTAGGTTAAGATAACAGGTTTTGGAGAACAAGATTCTTACTATGTAGATGAAGTCTCTTATGTGACCACCTTTAGAGGCAATAGCTGGGAAATGTTTTCTCCTAAGACCTTTAAAAGAAGCTAGACCCTCAGCTAATCTCCTCGGTATAAGAAAAAGACCTGGAAAGGGAAGGAGATTCTCTACAGAATGTAAATCTCTCTCACAAAAGATAACTGTGCCTGGCTATTTTAAAATATGTCAAAGGAATATATTTTAGGGTAAAAGCCTTTGATTCCTTTCAATGCCTGCTCTCTGTCCTGTGATGATATTCTCGAGTAAGGTTAGAATTTGGTATCTTACTGCTACAAATAATCTGTTTTCTGAGCCTTAAGCTCTGTTTTCATAAAAATGCTGGTTAGTTGTGCTTGAATTCCAAAGGGAGGAGGGTATAATGAGGCATTTCTGATCCTCTATTTCTAACACGGCCGGAGCTAGGTTTAAAAGTGTCTCTGGAACTCCTTGGTCAAGAGGAAGGGTCCATCTGGTCAGGTAGATGCTTAGAATTCTACTTTTAGTTTCTAGGACAGATACGAGACTTATCTTAGTCAGGGGTATCAGAAAATACTTACTGAGGTAATCACAGTGAAGTTGAGACTTGAAAGATGGTCCCAGATTCCTCCCTGCAAACCTTTTCTCGTGACATGAGAAGAAGAAAACTTACAAGACACAAATATTACTATTTCTTCTATGTTCAAAATCGTCACCCATTAAGAAAATATTTAAACTAGGGAGACTTATCTTTAGAAACAAGCAGCCTAGTTGATTTCTAAAGTCCTTTACAAACCCACAGATTCTGATTAGTTTACAGATCATGCAGCACATCCCATCTAATGGGAATCTGCAATTAGCTGGATTCCACTGCATTGGTGTTTTTTAATGTTTGATTTATATAGATACACAATATTTCAAAATATTTAGGTGGTACAACTGATATTTTGATAAAAGCATTTTATGTGCAGTGATCAAATCTGGATAACTAGGATATCCTTCATCTCTATCACTGATTATTTCTTAGTGTTATGAACATTCCAAATCTTATCTTGTAGCTATTCTGAAATATACAATAAATTATTAACTGTAGTTTTCTATGTGCCATTTCGGCATTCCCACCAGCAAGGGGTGAAAGTTCCTGTTTTTCAACTTCCTCATCACCATCTGATATTGTCTACCTTGTAATTTTTACCCATTCTCATAGTTTAGTAGAACTTTTTAAATATTAAACATAAGTACACCTAATGAAAATCAAGTTGATCACTTTTTATGTTTGTTTTTTGGATATGGTTTCTATTCGGGTCTCTGCCCATTTTAAAATTAAATTCTGTGGTTTTGTTGTTCAATTGTAAGTTAATTTGTATATTTGTGATAAAAAACCTTTTCCAAATATTGGATTTGCAAGGAAATCCTCCAAATCTATAGCTTTTCACTCTCATGTAAGGGCTTATTTTCAAAGGCATAGGTTAGTTTATCCGTATACGAAAAGATGATAATTGTAATTCTAAATTCTAAGAATTATTAGAATAATAATGTTGGTTAAATTAATCCCAGTATCTGGTGCTTCACAACTTTTGGTATAACGCCAGTGAGAAAAATTTGTAGAGTATTCTGTGAAGACCAGAAATCAGAAGGTGATAAAGGGACAATTATATTTGAATAATCTGGAGATAGGAAGTGTATTTGGTATTCTTCTCCTTCTATTTCTCTATGAAGATGAAATGGAAAAATGACGTCTCCATGTGAAATGGGACACAAAGTTTTTAAGATGATTCTGAAGGAAAGTTGCTAACACAATCTCTCAGGTGATGTTCCAACACAGGCTGTGGAGGGGATGGTGGCCGCCAGTGGTTGCTGTCAGCCACAGGGTTGGTTGGTGTGGCCATTATTTTGTCCATGAGAGACAGTAGGCTATAATTTACTACATGCAGGTGCATTTCTTAATCTCAGATAAGGGGAGAACATGAGAACACAGAAGACGGGAAATTTGAAGATCTCACTACATCAACCACATTCCACTCAGGAGAACTTCTCACTGAGAGACCGGGGGATACGCAGGGAGTGGAGAGGAGTTTGGGGGATACTATCCATGAAAGAACCAATCCAAGCTCGTCGACCTCCCCATGGAAGGAGAGGTTAAATGTTTGTTCACAGAGAATGGTGGCTTATGTCAGGGTTCCCACAGGATCCAGAAATAGTTTCTAATAACAAACATCATACTATATTTAGAATTGATTTATTTTTTATAATTTATTTTGCCCCTCTAGTCAGCGCCACAGAAGAATGTTCTCAGAATCCTTCCTGATCCTCTGTGAGTTCCTGGTGCAGCTCCTGGAGGAAAAGGCTGTGTGGGAGGGAGCCCTCCTCATGTGAAGCCCTGAGGCAGTCCTGTCACCTCACCCACCACTGCCCTTCAGTCACTTCCTGAACACTTATGAGTTAACCTTCCTGAAACGTGGCATTTGGCAGTGCTTTCCCAGGTAATAAAATACTTCCGTTCTGTTTATCCTTGCAGGCCCCTGTCCGTTTCTGGAGCACGGGTTGCAGCTGAGTGTGTGGTAGTGGATAATCAGTGGGAGGAGGTTTGTGTGCATCTTGTCATCTTCCAGAGTGCACCCCTCATGGGGTTGACACTGACAAGCACGCAGATGGGCTTGCTCAGCTGGAAGATGACAGGCATTTTTGTAACCTTTGACCCCAGGAAGGCTCTCCCACTGCAAGACCAATCAGGCTTAAGCCTCTGGCTAAAGTGCAGCCAGCAAAGGGTACAGTGCCCAACCCTGAGAGCTCCTTCCAGGTGCCAAACCACTTTGTAAAGGAAGCTTTTTTCCTGCATGGATCCCATGGATGTGTCTGCATTTTCTGCACAAAGGGCTTTATCCAGAAACACCCCCCAAGAGCTTACAATGTTTTGAATCCAACTGTAGGGCATTATTCACGAAGGCCCTCATGACCAAAGTCTCCACTTCTCATTAAAGGACATTAATTATGGGATTCACCAGAAGCTGCTGGCTTTCCAAGGTACAGACCTGCCTCTACACCAGTGTCCCCAACCATTTTGGCACCAGGGAACAGTTTGGTAGAAGAGAATTTTTCCATGGATGATGGCGGCGGGTGGTTTTGGGATGAACTTGTTCCCCCTGCAATCGTCAGGCATTAGATTCTCATAGGGAGCGCTCAGTCTAGGCCCCTTGTATGTGCAGGTCACAATAGAATTCGATGAATGCAGCAAACCAACATAGCACATGTATACCTATGTAACAAACCTGTACGTTATGCACATGTACCCTAGAATTAAAGTATATATATAAAAAAAGTGAATTCGGCTTGTAGGAGAATCTAATGCACAGCTGATCCGACAGGAGACAGAGCTCAGGCAGCGATGCTGGCTCGCCCCCACTCATCTCCAGCTGTGTGGCCCGGTTCCTAACGCACTGCACACCTTAACGGATCCACAGCACGGGGACTGGGGACCCCCGCTGTAAACACTGGGAAACCTTACCATTGGGGAAGAGGCATATAAAACCAGGAGAAAGAGGAGCTCCATGTAAATGTACATTTTATGGATCCTTGAGGAAAGAGTGCAAAGAGGAATGGTCCCACCCACTTTCCTTCTACCTGGCATCATTCCCAGTAACCCACTTGAAGAATCCACTTGAACCTGGGGTGCTTCAAGATAGTTGAGGCTTGTTATACCAGGGACCACCAGAAAAGGAAACAACCAATGTGTCTGTGGAGATTCATCCTCTGTAACCGATTTATGACACTGGTGCAGGGTGTTGATAGCAGAGAAGGCTGAGCGTCGGGGGGCAGGAGTGCATGGGAACTCTGTTTCTTCTACTCAAACTTGTTGTGATCCTAAAACTCCTTTAAAATAAATTCAGTGTAAAAGGAAGGGCAAAGACATTTTGGAAGAAATTTCGGCCACTTCTTGGAAATTATATTTAGTCTTACCATGAGATCAAGCAATCCTGTTTCTAATGATTTATAGATCCAATTATAAAATGTATGTCCCCACAAAGCCCCCATGGGAATGTTTGCATCAGCTTGATTGATGGCTGCCTTTCCCACTCTGTGAGTGTTACTTATAGGGTGACAGTTGAAAATACTATTTCCTACATAATGACAGTGTACACATCTTTCCATTGCTGTTTTACTCAATTACTCAACCCATTTTCTAAACAGATTTAAACTTCATAAATCCTGTCATCTCCTCAGCCTCAGCACAGCTGCCTCATTCCTCAGGGTTTCTGACGCTCTCAGGATGTGGGTTTTCACACTGTGTCTGTTGCACAGTAATACACGGCCGTGTCCTCAGATCTCAGGCTGCTCAGCTCCATGTAGGCTGTGTCTGTAGATGTGTCCTCGGTCATGGTGACTCTGCCCTGGAACTTCTGTGCGTAGATTGTTTCACCATCTTCAGGATCAAAACCTCCCATCCACTCAAGCCCTTTTCCAGGAGCCTGTCGCACCCAGTGCATGGATAATTCAGTGAGGGTGTATCCGGAAACCTTGCAGGAGACCTTCACTGAGGCCCCAGGCTTCTTCACCTCAGCCCCAGACTGTACCAGCTGGACCTGGGCGTGGGTGCCTGTGGAGAGGACAGAGGAGTGGATGAGACACCACTTAACTGGACCCAGTCCCCTCATCAGCCCTGGAACTAAGGATTCTCTTGCCTGTAGCTGCTGCCACCAAGAAGAGGATCCTCCAGGTGCAGTCCATGGTGAGGTGCTGCGCTCTGGGGGCTTCTGTAGGGGAGGGATGTGGCTGTTGTGTGATGGTCTCTGGGCAAGGAAAGATCTGTATTTACCTCGGTAGACAGCAGTGCATTTGCATATTCATGAGGCAGGTTTTTCATAGCTCAGGCCACGCCACCCTGAGGAAGAAGATAGGTGACATGTGGACCACGCCACAGTGGGATGCTGAGCTCCCTGCCCTGAACTTTGTTTAATATTTGTCCTCTGACATGCCCAGAAGTCCATGAAGACAGAACTCCTCTCACAGAAACCCAGAATCTCACAGGACATGGTCCTCAATGTGATTCCCTGTTCATATGGCTCACTGTCTACCTGAACTTTTCCTGAGCCTTGCCCTCTGCACATCTAACTTCTGGGATGAGTGTGTCTCCGGACAGTAACACCCATTGAATTAATAAAACCACCCCTCAATTCCTAACTAGAAATACATTTGAAAGACCTAGACATTTCTCCTTTTAAATCCGGTTTGCATTAAATTATTGGGTTAGGTATAGGCTGCGTATACAATAAAATACTTACAGGCACATCAGTACTTGCTAAATTCTTATTTAAATGTTAGGTCATTATTGCTTTGAAATAAGGAACATTCAATTCCTGAGAGAAAACCCTGCCCCAGCCTCCTGTGCACCTGCCCCAGGGCTGGGTCCTGTGCTGGGTGCTCCCTGAGCGCCCCCTGCCGCTCAGCTCCTGCCCTGCAGG